>NC_000018.10:12410399-12710449 GCF_000001405.40 Homo sapiens
GACAAATGTGGAATGTGGCTGGCCGAGGATGCTGTCATTGGCCTGTGGCTGGACGGGTTATGAATGATGTGGTACCATGAGGTGGTACCATGAGGTGTCATAGCATCCAAATGACAGTACAAATTGGAAGTCTGGCTTCCTGGCTGGACTTACTGTGTAGTTTTCCCCTTGTTTCGTCCATTGAAACCCCTGATTTTTTTCCTTTGAGGATTATAGACCTTTCTTTTTCTTTCTATACTTAAAAAAAGTTTGTTGTACTGTTAGGTGAACATTTGATTGGAAATAATACATTTACTTTTTTTTTTCCTTTTTTTTGAGGCAGAATCTTGCTCTATCACCCAGGCTGGAGTGCAGTGGCACGATCTTGGCTCACCACAACCTCTGCCTCTCCGGTTCAAGCAATTCTTGTGCTTCAGCCTCCCGAGTAGCTGGGACCACAGGCGTGTGCCACCACGCCTGGTGAATTTTTTTGTATTTTTAGTAGAGACAGAGTTTCACCATGTTGGCCAGGCTGGTCTCAAACTCCTGACCTCAAGTGATCCACCCACCTCGGCCTCCTGAAGTGCTGGGATTACAGTACTTTTGAAATGAAGAAATAATTAGGCACAAACAGTTTGATCTTATCAAGTTTTCTTCCTGTGTCCACATTGAGAAGAAACTCCGCCCCTGAGATCATCATAGCAGACAGCAGTGTAAACACTCAGACAAAAACAGAGAGCCCGGGGAAAGGCCACTGAATTAACGTGTGTGTTACCTAGACAGGGGTGAAAGTAGTTTAAATAAAATTAAAAGTATATGGCCAAAATATAGAAAGGGGCATTTAAAAATGCGGGCGTTTCACAAGGTCAGGAGATTGAGACCATCCTGGCTAACACAATGAAACCCTGTCTCTACTAAAAAATAAAAAAAAAAAAAAATTAGCTGGGCGTGGTGGCGGGTGCCTGTAGTCCCAGCTACTCGGGAGGCTGAGGCAGGAGAATGGCATGAACCCGGGAGGCAGAACTTGCAGTGAGCCGAGATCGCGCCACTGCACTCCAGCCTGGGCGACAGAGCGAGACTCCGTCTCAAAAAAAAAAAAAAAAAAAAGGACAGGGTTTAAAATGTCTTCTTCCCAGCATTGAGGTTTCAGGCAGACCTATGACAAAATCATCAATAACAAAGCCCATCACAAATAGATTTCCTGCAGGGTTCAAGGCTGCACACACCTTTGATTCTGACAGCTGCCAGGAATGTCTGGCCATGCCCTTCTCAGGGCAGGACGGGCTTTGGGGCATGGGGAGTCATGCCTAAAGCAGGCTTGCCTTACAGCTAGGAGCAGGGAAGAGAAATTGAACATTACAGATGAGTTGAAGCCTGCTCTTCCCCTCCCCACTGGTGTTCCACTGTGTCTCCCTCCCTGCAGGCAGCCGTGAGGATCAGTTTGGTGGGCATCCTTCTGAGGGGGTCTATATTCCAGAGGTTCACTTTACCGCATCTGTGTATACGCATGTGTCATATTGTCTTCTTTTCTTTCTTTTTTTTTTTTTTTTGAGACGGAGTCTCGCTCTGTCGCCCAGGCTGGAGTGCAGGGGCGCAGTCTCGGCTCACTGCAAGCTCCGCCTCCCGGGTTCACGCCATTCTCCTGCCTCAGCCTCCAGAGTAGCTGGAACCACAGGCGCCCGCCACCACGCCTGACTACTTTTTTGTATTTTTAGTTTAGCCAGGATGGTCTCCATCTCCTGACCTCGTGATCCGCCCGCCTTGGCCTCCCAAAGTGCTGGGATTACAGGCATGAGCCACGGCGCCCGGCCTTTTTTTTTTTTTTTCCAGGTGGAGTCTCACTCTGTTACCCAGGCTGGAGGGCAGTGGCGGGATCTCAGTTCACTGCAACCTCTGCCTCCCAGGTTCAAGC
Source organism: Homo sapiens (assembly GCF_000001405.40). Classification (NCBI taxonomy): domain Eukaryota; kingdom Metazoa; phylum Chordata; class Mammalia; order Primates; family Hominidae; genus Homo; species Homo sapiens. Next base: position 12,412,291 of record NC_000018.10, read on the forward strand.
AGTTCTCCTGCCTCAGCCTCCTGAGTAGCTGGGATTACAAGCACCTGCTACCACGCCCAGCTAATTTTTGTATTTTTAGTAGAGACGGGGTTTCGCCATGTTGGCCAGGCTGGTCTCCAACTGCTGACCTCAAGTTATCAGCCCACCTGGGCCTCCCAAAGTGCTGGGTTTACAGGCGTGAGCCACTGCGCCTAGCCCTATTGTTTTTCGAAAATCCATCCATATGAGATGTCTATAGATGTCTACATAAATATATGTAGATATAGATAGATATTAATAGCTGTATGAATGTGCCACCATTTATTCTTTTTCTTATTGAAGGGCATTAAGTTTTCCTCTTATTACAAATCGAACTGCAGTGACCAGCCCTGTGTCTATTTCCCACTCAATCAAGGGCCCACTTAGGCCAATGGATTTCAAGCTCTTCAGCCTCAGGACCTCTTGATTTAGCAAAACCCTAAACAGTTTTGCTTATGTGGGTTATGTCTGTCAATATTTACCATATTAGAAATTAAAAATGATAAATTGAAAAAGTTAATTCATTAAATTTAACAATAATAAACCTGTTATAATGTTTCTGAATAAAAAACTGTATTTTCCAAAAATTAGTGAAAGGAGTGGTGCTGTTTCTGTTTTTACTAATATCTACAATATCTGGCTTAATAGGAGATAACTTGATTCTCATATCTGCTTCTGCAGTCTGTGTTTGGCAATATATAGTTTTGGTTGAAGTGTATGGATAAACCCCAGCCTCACACAAACATGCAGCTGGAAAAGGTGGGAGCATCTTAGTAGTCTTTTTAAGTAATTATGGCTATTCTTTCCTGTTATGACAAAAGAAACGGTAGCTTCTTAACACTTAGTTGGAATACAAAACCTGAAACTATAATGAATAGAGTATTGAACTCTGAGGCCTAGCGGGGGTAATCGGTTGAGCTCAGGAGTTTGAGACCAGCCTGGGCAACATAGTAGAATATGTCTCTACAAAAAATAAATACAAAAATTAGCCAGGTGTGGTGGCTTGTGCCTGTAGTCCTAGCTGTTCAGGAGGCTGAGGCAGGAGGATTGCTTGACCCCAGGAGCTTGAGGCTACAGTGACAGAGCCATACCATCTCTTAAAACAGCCACCACAACAACAAACCCATTGGCCTGTCCTGTGTATGAATGAGTCTTTAACCCAAGTATGACTTGGAAGCATTTGGAATATAGGCCTCCACTGAGCGTGCAGCATGAGGCAGTCATCCAGCTCCTGGTAGCAGATACAAGTTTTCTGAAATTTCAATTATCACTTTATTTATTTATTTTTTTTCCAAGACAGAGTCTCACTCTGTCGCCCAGGCTGGAGTGCAGTGGCATGATCTCAGTTAACTGCAACCTCTGCCTCCCAGATTCAAGCAATTCTCCTGCCTCAGCCTCCCAAATAGCTGGGATTGCAGGTGAGTCTCACCACGGCCTACTAATTTTTGTATTTTTAGTAGAGACGGGGTTTCGCCATGTTGGCCAGGCTGGTCTTGAACTCCTAACCTCAGGTGATCCGCCTGCCTTGGCCTCCCAAAGTGCTGGGATTACAGGCGTGAGCCACCGTGCCTGGCCAAATTATCACTTTAAAGCTCAAATTTTATCTTTGGCAGCAAATGCTATCAGTTGTTTTCCTTGAAGCACAGGCTTACTTTGTTAATTTTCAAGAAATCATCTGCCAGATCCCCAAGTCTGAATAAGCAAAGTTTATCTGTTTATTGTTCTTTCTGTTTATTGCTCTTTCAAGTACAAGAGGCAGGCAGTGGAAAGCAGCAGAGAGACAGGGGCTCCCACTCAGAGTGAACAAGTGCCGGCGCCCCCCAGACACCCCAGAGTCGAGGGACTTGGGCCGCAGCAGCAGAGGGGCTTCTGGTGCACTTCTGTTCCCTCACACAGAATATCAAAGAGAAGAGTACTCAGGGGTCAAGCAGTCATAAAACTAATCACTTGGCCATTTACTCACAGATGTCCCTAAGAGAAACTGGCATTGTTTCCCAAGTGCACAGCAGTGAGGACTGCGGTGACCACATGCAATTTGGAGCCCTGCCTTGATGCTGGGAAGATACTGGCTCTGTCCTTTTATTGCTTTTGCAGAATTAGCGCAAATGTCAATACAGCAAAAAAGGCCAGTCATTGGCCGGGCGCCATGGCTCATGCCTGTAATCCCAGCACTTTGGGAGGCCGAGGTGGGTGGATCACCTGAGGTCAGGAGTTTGAGACCAGCCTAGTCAACATGGTGAACCCCCATCTCTACTAAAAATACAAAAATTAGCTGGGTGTGGTGGCTCATGCCTGTAGTCCTAGCTACTCGGGAAGCTGAGGCACGAGAATTGCTTGAACCCGGGAGGTGGAGGTTGCAGTGAGTTGAGATCACACCCACTGCATCCCAGTCTCACTCTGCAACAGAGTGAGACTTGGTCCTCCCCCCACCCCTCCACCCCCACCAAAAGAAAAGGTCAGTCATGTCTCAGTAGCACTGTGACAACAGTTATGTCTGGAAAAGTTCTTGGAGCCACCAGGGTGTGTGGCCCAAATGCTAAGGAGCAGCTGATGGAGGCCTTGGGTCACTTGGTGGTGGGGTATAGCAGGCCTACTATCTTGTTTTTGGCTGCCTACATCTTTTTTTCTTTCTTTTTTTTAGAGACGGTCTTGCTCTGTTGCCCAGGCTGGAGTGCAGTAGTGCAATCACGACTTACTGCAGCCTCAAACTGTTTGGCTTAAGTGATCCTCCCATCTCAGGCTCTGCAGTAGCTGGGACTATGGTTGCGAGCTACCACACCTGGCTAATTTTCGTATTTTTTGTTGACATAGGGATCTTGCTCTATTGCGCAGGCTGGTCTTGAACTCCTGGTCTCAAGTGAACTTCCTGCCTTGGCCTCCCAAAATGCTGGGGTTACAAGCATAAGCCAACACACCTGGTCTGCCTACATCTTTTTTTTTTTTTAATTTTTATTTTTTTGTTTTGTTTTGAGACAGGGTCTCACTCTGTCACCCAGGCAGAAGTGCAGTGGTGCGTTCTTGGCTCACAGCAACCTCTGCCTCCCAGGTTCAAGCAATTCTCCTGCCTCAGGCTCCTAAGTAGCTGGGACTACAGGTGTGCGCCACCATGCCCAGCTAATTTTTGTATTTTTAGTAGAGACTGGGTTTCACCATGTTGGGCAGGCTGTTCTAGAACTCCTGTCAAGTGATCCGCCCGCCTCGGCCTCCCAAAGTGCTGGGATTACAGGCATGAGCCACTGTGCCTGGCCTTAAATCTTTTTAAGACAGATTTTTGCTATGGAAATTTCACAACTATGCAAACATGGAGAGACTAGAATACTGAGAGCCGGTGCCACCCCCAGCTTAACAGTTACCCTCTGGCAGCCAGTCCAGGGTCCTCTGTGTCCCCACCCACTGCTCCTTCCCCTGGGTTATTTTAGGCAAATCCCAGACATCATGTAATTTCCTCCTTCTTCATCTTCCCGACACTGTTGGTGCTTAGAGAGTCCTTTGTTATTCCTTTTCATTCCCCAGCTCAGAAACCAGCTTCCCTTAGCCCGCCAGGCAGACCCACCACACACATGGTGTCAGAGCACTTGGGACACGTGTATGTGGGGAGCCATCCATGCTGGGTGGCAGCGGAGGCCTCTTGCCCTTGGGGGATAGGATTCCCCAGAGGTCTCCACGAACAGCAGCAGAGGAGGCTCCTGCCGCCTGGTTGGGGATCTCTGAGTAGGCAGTTCTCTGCTCCTCTTGAAAATAAACTTCAGCACATTCCTCTTCTGCCTCAACCAGGCAGCTGAGAACCCTGACTGATTTCGGCAGGGGCGGGGTGTCCATTTTCAGCTTCTCTGGGTAAACTGCTGCCATTAGTGCCTGTGCCAGTTTGTGTCCACCAGCAGCACTTCCTGTTGTCCTATTTCCTATACCCTTTCCAGTACTCAATATTGCCAGACTTGTCTATTTTTGCCCATTGAAAGCGTGTCAGGCTATTTTTGTTCTTTCTGGGTTTTTGTTGTTGTTGTTGTTGTTTGTTTTTTTAGACAGGCATTTGCTCTGTCACCCAGGCTGGAGTGCAGTGGTACAATCATGGCTTGCTGCAGCCTCGACCTCCGGTCTTAGGTGATCCTCCTGCCTCAACCTCAGCCTCCCAAATAGCTAGTACCACAGGGGTGTGCCACCATGCCTGGTTAATGTTTTCTGTTTTTGTAGAGATGAGGGGTCTTGCTATATTGCCCAGGCTGGGCTTGAGCTCCTAGCATCAAGCAGTCTTCCTGCCTCAGCCTCCCCAAGTGCTGGGATTTACAGGCATGAGCCACTGTGCCCAGACAAGGCTATTTTCTTTTCTTTTCTTTCTTTCTTTTTTTTTTTTTTTTTAGACAGAGTCTCACTCTGTTGCCCAGGGTGGAGTGCAGTGGCATGATCTGGGCTCACTGCAAGCTCCGCCTCCCGGGTTCACGCCATTCTCCTGCCTCAGCCTCCCGAGTAGCTGGGACTACAGACGCCTGCCACCGTGCCCGGCTAATTTTTTGTATTTTTAGTAGAGTCGGGGTTTCACCGTGTTAGCCAGGATGGTCTCGATCTCCTGACCTCGCGATCCACCAGCCTCGGCCTCCCAAAGTACTGGGATTACAGGCACAAACTACAGTACCCAGCCAGACAAGACTATTTTCTTTAACCAAGTGTGTGCTATTGACTTGCTGTGCTTAGACTTTATCATTTTAGAGATGTTGAGATATTTTTATTATGTTTATCATTTTCCTCCATTGTTCTGTTGCTATATGTGTGGTCATCCTGCTGTAATTAGTAAAATTATTTATTATGTGCATATTTTAAGCAGATTGTATTTAGTTTAAATCATCAGCCAGAAAGATGCAAATTTTTTTATTTTTATTTTTATTTTTGAGATGGAGCCTTGCTTCGTTGCTCAGACTGGAGTGCAGTGGCGCGATCTCGGCTCACTGCAACTTCCACCTCCTGGGTTCGAGCAATTCTTCTGCCTCAGTCTCCCGAGTAGCTGGGATTACAGGTGCCTGCCACCATGCCTGGCTAATTTTTGTATTTTTCTTAGAGATGGAGTTTCACTATGTTGGCCAGGCTGGTGTTGAACTCCTGACCTCAAGTGATCTGCCCGCCTCAGCCTCCCACAGTGCTGGGATTACAGGCATGAGCCACTGCATCCAGCCCTAAGATGCAAGAATTTTATATGAAAGAAACATTATTTGAGATAAGCTTAATGCAAAAATCTCTCAATGTTTAGATTATTTTAAGCTTAATGTTAGAAGGCATACCCTGTTCTGCTTAAAGTAATGATTTCTATGGGAATAAGTCTAAGGAACTTAACTGAAAAGCCATCAGACTATTCATTGAGGAGGCTCTCCTGGGTGACTGGGACCCTTTCTGCTTCACATGTATCTCTAGATTCACCTTCCTTACCTAGATCTGGGGTCTGCCATGTCCCTGACAGTTCTTTCCTAAACCTCAGAGAGACGAAAGGGCTCCACTCTGACTGAATTCCTAGAGTGATCAGGACCACCCAGTCTTGGCTTCTTCATCCCTCTCTTCTCTTTATGTTAGCCAGTGGAATGCGTCAGCTTAGTGACACAATTGCATGGTTCAAAAAACTGAACATAAGTGTTCTATTGTTAAGAGAGGATTCCAGGCCAGGCCCTGACAATTTAGAGGCCACCGAATGTAATAGAACAGGTTAGGGAGCTGCGAGACCTGGTTCTCATCTGGGCCCTGCTGCTAACTTTCACCTAGGACAAGAGTGTTTGATGAGGGTAAAGTAAATTACTGATCACTCTGTTATATTGAAAATTGACCTCAAATATGGAAGAAAAAACTTCAGTATCCTCATAATCTTTCATATTTTATTTGGAAATTTCATTTCTACAACTTTATCCTAAGGAAGAATTAGATATGTTGAAAGACTAATGTACACAAATGTTCACTACTGTTATAATTTATCGTGTAAAAGTGAAAGCAATCTACATAACATAACCCACCATAGAGGACTGGTGAAATATACACAGCCACAAGATGACCTAGTGTACAGCTGTTTATAATCATATTCCTGAAAATGGCTTCATGATATAGGAAAATGTTTATCAGCAGTTATAAAAAATGGATGGTAAACCCATATATTGAGTGTAATCCCAGTTTAATTTTTCAAGATGTGTGTGCATGTGCATGTATGTGTGTCTGCATGCATATGTGCACACATGTGAATGTGATGGTGCATAGGTGTGTGCACACATCTGGGCTTGCCTCTGGGCTGTGTCTATACATATGCTGGACAAACCTCTCTGGGCACTTCTGAAGAAATGATGATCTTGTCAGAGAATGTTTGTCCTTGCAGGAGGCTCAGAGGCTTCCTGGGAGAGAGCACACCTTGAAGGAAGGGTGGATTAGGACAATTAGGGCAATAAAGTGACTTGCTAGCAACCCCTTAGCAGTCCGGGGGAAGGTCCATGCTGGACAGGTGTGGTGGCCCCTCACTTGGCTCCCTTCAGACGTGTGTCTGACCCTGCAGGTTTCAGGCCTAAACAAGTGCAGAGCTCTGGAAAGCAATGGGTGACTTGCAACCACTCTGATGGCAGGAAATAAAACAAGGGGAGGCTGAGTGCGGTGGCTCATGCCCATAATTCCAGCACTTTGGGAGGCCAAGGCAGGAGGATTGCTTGAGGCCATGAGTTCGACATCAACCTGGCAACATAATGAGACCTAAAAAAATTGTTAAAATAAAAAGTTGGGCTGGGCACGGTGGCTCACGCCTGTAATCCTAGCACTTTGGGACGCTGAGGCAGGCGGATCACGAGGTCAGCAGTTTGAGACAAGCCTGGCCAACATGGTGAAATCCCGTCTCTACTAAAGATACAAAAAAAAATTAGCTGGGTGTGGTGGCGGGCACCTGTAGTCCCAGCTACTAGGGAGGCTGAGGCAGGAAAATCGCTTGTACCCGGGTGGTGGAGGTTGCAGTGAGCCGAGACAGAGCCATTGCACTCCAGCCTGGGTGACAGAGCGAGACTCCATATCAAAAAAAAAAAAAAAAAAGTTGGCCAGGCGTGGTGGCTTATGCCTGTAATCCCAGCACTTTGGGAGGCTGAGGCAGGCGGATCACTTGAGGTCAGGAGTTCCAGACCAGCCTGGCCAACATGGGGAAATCCCATCTCTACTAAAAATACAAAAATTAGCCAGGTGTGGTGGTGGGTGCCTGTAATCCCAGCTACTAGAGAGGCTGAGGCAGAAGAATCACTTGAACCCGGGAGGCGGAGGTTGCAGTGAGCTGAGATCGTGCCACGGCACTCCAGCCTGGGTGATAGAGTGAGACCCCATCTCAAAAAAAAATTAATTAATTTAAAAAGTTAGGCCGGGCGTGGTGGCTCACGCCTGTAATCTCAGCACTTTGGGAGGCCGAGGCGGGCAGATCACGAGGTCAGGAGATCGAGAGCACGGTGAAACCCCCTCTCTACTAAAAAATAGAAAACAATTAGCCAGGCATGGTGGGGGGCGCCTGTAGCCCCAGCTGCTCCGGAGGCTGGGGCAGGAGAATGGCGGGAACCCGGGAGGCGGAGCTTGCAGTGAGCTGAGATCGCGCCACTGCACTCCGGCCTGGGTGACAGAGCAAGACTCCGTCTCAAACAAAAAAGTCATTCAGGTTTGGTGGCACACGCCTGTAGTCCCAGCTACTGGAGGTGGGGCAAGAGGAGGCTGAGGCAGGATGTTCACTTGAGCCTGGGAGGTTTGAGTCTGCAGTGACCCTGATGGCACCACTGCATTCCTGCCTGCTGGGCGACAGAGTGAGACCCTGTCTCAGACAAACAAAAACCAAGGGGCTGCCAGGTGCCGAGGCGTGCAGGTGCTGAGCCGGCGGCCGGGGAGGGCTCGCGGGACTCCTCAGATTTGTCGGACCAGCCTTTCATTAAAGTGAAGAGACTAGCGCGTTGCCCAGGCCTGGCGGCGGCTTTTCCTCCCCTTCACCCTTGCGGCCCCGGCCCCGGCGCTTGCTCACCGCCGCCTATGCTCTCCCCGCAGCCACCCGTGGGACACGGTCATCCAGGCGGCCATGCGCAAGTACCCGAACCCGATGAACCCGAGCGTGCTGGGCGTGGATGTGCTACAGCGCCGCGTGGACGGCCGCGGCCGCCTGCACAGCTTGCGCCTGCTCAGCACCGAGTGGGGGCTGCCCAGCCTCGTGAGAGCGGTGAGCGGGGCGGGGGCTGCGGCTCCGAACGCGCCCGACTCCCCCACTCCCGCCCCCGCCCTCTCCCGCGTCCCTCCTCCCCTCATCAGTGCCTCTGCTGCTTTGGCTGCCATCGGGGTGGGAGGGCGGCGGGGGGCCTTTCCTGAGATCAGGGGGCGCGGGGTGGGGGTGGCGGTGGGGGGAACTTCCCCGAGATCAGGGGGCACGGGCTGGGGGGCTGGTGGGAGGGTTTTCCTCGAGATCGGGGGGCGTGGGGTGGGGGGTCGGTGGGGGGGGATCTTCCTCGAGATCGGGGGTCACGGGGTGGGGGGACGGTGGGGGGGTCTTCCTCGAGATCGGGGGTCGCGGGAGGCTCTGCCTGGCGCGTGGCGTCTGGCATCCCCATCTGTCCTCCCAAAGGGCCCGGGCCTGCTGGATTAGCACTGCCAGGCGCCCCTCCTCCTGGTTTAACCGCCTCTAAAGCCCAGCGTCCGCAGCCAGCCGCATCCTAGGGCACCGGGATTAGGCTTCACCATGGTTCAGCCCCCCGTGGCCTCTTCCTCAGAGCCAGGGAGGTCGCTGGAAATGCAAATCTGAGCACGGCTCACCCCAACCCGGCCCCTGGATCTCGCCTCCACCTGCAGTCCACACCCTGGCCTGGCGCAGGCCTCTCAGTCAGCCCAGCTCCTGCTGCAGGGGCCTGCACCTGCTGCCCCCAGCCTGACACCCCCACCCCAGCACTATGGTGGTACCTTCCTCTTTGGGGCTCTGCCCAGACTCCGCCCGGCAGAGGGGCCTCCTAGCTCCACTGCCCGCAGCCTGTTTTATTTTGCCGGGAGCATAGTGCTGCTGCACGCTCCACTCTGTTGGAATTCATTTCTTTGCTCAGTGGCTCACCTGCTGGAGCGGAAGCGCCCTGGACACAGGGGTTTTGTCTCTGTCCCTTGCTGCATCCCATGATATCATTTCTTGAATAGTGAACTAATTAGTAAATGCAATGGTATTCGGTGGTGATATGAAGTAGAATTTTTAACGTTCCACTATGCTAGTTTTGCTTTGTTTTCTAGATTTTGGGAACCAGTAGGACATTGACATACATCCGAGAACATTCTGTGGTGGATCCAGTGGAAAAGAAAATGGAACTTTGTTCTACCAATGTAAGCAATGGCCTCAGATGAGAAACGGGCTCAGTGTGTCTGGGTGGTGGTGCGTAAGGCCTTCGTTTAATTCTATTTCCAGCCCACCTTTGGTCTAGGTGTTGCTTATTTTTAACAGAAAGGCTGAATTCATTTAGCAGTTTATCTTTTTATTCAAGTATAATAAGTATATAGAAAAATGCACATAATGATGAATTGTCACAAAGAACGCACCTCTTAACTAGCAGGCAGTTCAAGCAACAGAATTTGACCAGCCCCTGAGACCCCTTGGGCACCCCCCACAGGATAACCACTGTCCTGACAACCAGCAGACGTTTTTGTTTTTTTAAAGATGGGGTCTTGCCCTGTCACCCGGGCTGGAGTGCAGTGGTGTGGTCATAGCTCAGTGCAGCCTCGCACTCCTGGGCTCAAGTGATCCTCCTGCCTCAGCTTCCCAAATAGCTGGGACCACAGGCACGTGCCACCATCCCTGGCTGTTTTTTTATTTTTATTTTTCACAGAGATAGGATCTCGCTGTTGCCAAGGCTGATCTCAAACTCCTGGTCTCAAGTGATGCCTTTCAACGTGCTTTTTTTTTTTTTTTTTTAATTTTTGAGACAGTCTCTCTCTCTCACCTAGGCTGGAGTGCAGTGGATCTCAGCACCCTGCAACCTCCACTTCATGGGTTCAAGCGATTCTCCTGTCTCACCCTCCCAAGTAGCTGGGACTACAGGTGTGTACCACCAACAGGCATTTTTTTTTTTTTTTGAGATGGAGTCTCACCCTGTCGCCCAGGCTGGAGTGCAGTGGCGTGATCTCGGCTCACTGCAACCTCCGCCCCCTGGTTTCAAGCCATTCTCCTGCCTCAGCCTCCTGAGTAGCTAGGATTACAGCCGCGTGCCACTACACCTGGCTAATTTTTGTATTTTTAGTAAACAGGAGGTTTCACCATGTTGGTCAGGCTGGTCTCAAACTCCTGACCTCGTGATCCACCCGCCTCAGCCTCCCAAAGTACTGGGATTATGGGTGTGAGCCACCGCACCTGGCCCCAACAGGTATTTTTAAAGCTACTTCCCCCCTTCACTCCTCTCTCACTTCTCTCAATTAAAAAATGTATATTGGCCTAATGCAAATGCAAGAACATGTTGGGAAATATGCATGGGCTAGCAAAATTATTTATTTCAAAAAATAATCCTTATTTTCAGCAAATATAGAAATGGGCTATGGTGGGTGAAGTCAGCGGTGCCCTCATCTGGCCTCACTTTTCTGTCCCCAGTGCCATGGTTGGCTCTAGCCACCACTATTTACTGGTTCTGCCAACGGTATCAAGTGCCTGCCAGGTACCCAGCACAGTGCTAGGGATGGGGAATGCAAGGATTAAGATATTTCCTCCTGACTGGCTCTGTCATCGCACGGTGGGCATCTAGACAACCCACATAGGTGGCAGCGAGCAGGAGCTCCCCTAAGTGGCCATGTGAAGGTAGGTGACAGGGAGCCTGGCAGGACTTCTCCATACACACTGGCAGTGGGCGCCCTTGAGCCTTAGAGAGCCACAAACAGATGGCGTTAGAGACTAAGAGGGGAAGGTGGTGTGGGAGGGAGGAGGCTGGAGAGGGGCAGGCACAAGACCACAGAAGAGGCAGAGGAGCCGGAGGTCGTTTTCGTGGTAAGAGGGAGCCACTGAGAGTTTGTTGCAGGAAGGTGAGGTAGCCGGGTTGTGTGTTGGGAAGAATACCTTGGCAGCCCTGTGGAGAGAGGGCCGGGGGGATGTTGGGACCTGAGCCAGGGAGACCAGTAGTCCGGGCAGGTAATTGTCCAGGTGAGAGGTAGCAGAGGCCACCTGGGGTGAGACATGGGGAGTAAGGAACAGGAGGCTCACGACGCAGCTCTGCTCTCTGGTTAGGGCGCCAGGCTGAATGGTGGCCCATGAGGGGCAGGTGTGAGAAGAGAGAGGTAAGCTTGCTTTGCACATCTTGAGTATGCAGCCCCTGCACAGCAGGCTGTGGAGTGTCCAGCCTGAAGCTGAAGGTGCGGCCAGCAGTGCTGCAGTGAGGGAATGGCGACCTGGTCCCAGGGGCAGGCAGGGCTGGTGGGTGCAGTGGGTGGGGACAGGGCTGAGGAGCAGGTCATCCAGGCGGCCATGCGCAAGTACCCGAACCGGTACCTGGGCAGCTCCCCATCTTCTCAGCATCTTGTGGGAGGCCCAGTGTTTGAAAGAAAGTGGAGCTGCTCTGGGTCCTGCGGCTCCCCTGCCCCAACCAGAGGGCCTCGGGAGCTCCTATGAGCTTCTCAGGTGGCCATGGGAACAGTCCCCCAGGATGCTCAGTGCTGTCGGCCAGCCACACTCTGCCCAGCTGGGAGCACCTTCCGTAGAAGGCAGTGGGTGCATCCCTGTGTGCTGAGATGAGGCTGTGAGCCACCTGCAGGATAGAGCCTAGCTCCTTAGTGTACTACCTGGACTTCTGCCAATGTTCCCTGGTCCTATTGGCTCCTTGTCCCAGGCTGCACAAAGTCACAGGAGCCTGTCAGGTCCCCACTGGCTATTCCTGACAGCTTACGTATTATGTTCTTTCTGCCCCCAAAACCAATATTTACTTATGAAATTCCACCTTATCCTTCCAGAAAACTCAGTTGTATGTAAAAAGGAGCAGTTTATGCTCCAGTGAAGTCTGATGGGAAGGAAACAGGGTTTGGAGCAAGACAGACATGTGCTTGCATCCTGAAGCCATCGCTGGATGGCCCGATGACTTGGGGATGCTATTTACATTTTCTGAGTCTCACATTTCTTGTATAAAAAAGAAAAGAACAAACCTCAGAGGAGTAAGGTTTATGAAACACAGTGACTTGCATAAAATATTGCACATAAAATGACAACAGCTAATCAGAGTTTAATTTGTAATTGATGCTGTTAGATAGTTCTGTTGAATGTAACGCCCATACACGTGAGACTCTTGATAACCTGGCACTCTGTAGGAGGAGAGAGATTTCCTACTAACCATTTGCATTGGGACAGTGAGGCTGGGGGAGGGATTCAGTGAGAGATTACTGAAAAAATGAGTATTTATCACTACAGAAAGGTTAATTTGCTTTTCACTGTTTAAACTTTTTAAAACATGGTCTTTTATCAGAATTGGCATTTTGAGAAGAGGGTGAACTGAGTTAAACAATGAAGCAATTCTAGAGCTCTGTTGTCCAGTGTGGCAGCCACCAGCAACATGTGGCTATTTAATTTTAAGCTATTTATGGCCAGTGCGGTGGCCCACGCCTGTAATCCCAGCACTTTGGGAGGCTGAGGCAGGCAGGTCACCTGACTTCTCTGAGGTCAGGATTTCCAGACCAGCTTGGCCAACATGGCAAAACCCCATCTCTACTAAAAATACAAAAATTAGCCGGGCATGGTGGCGGGTGCCTGTAGTCCCAGCTACTCTGGAGGCTGAGGCAGGAGAATCGCTTGAATCTGGGAGGTGGAGGTTGCAGTGAGCTGAGATCGCGCCATTGCACTCAAGAGTGAAACTCCATCTGAAAAAAAAAAATTAAACTAATTAGGATAAAATAAAATTAAAAATTCCATTCCTCAGTCACATGAGCCACATTTCAGGTGTGCATTAGCTGCATGTGTGTGTGGCTACCATATCAGACAGCATGCATAGGACATTACTGTTAGCACAGAAAATTCTGTTAGTGTGGCTCTAGAGCTCGAGTGTTTAAATTGGTTTTGACAGAAAATATAGGCTGGGCGCAGTGGCTCATGCCTGTAATCCCAGCACTTTGGGAGGCCGAGGCGGGTGGATCATGAGGTCAGGAGATCAAGACCATCCTGGCTAACATGGTGAAACCCCGTCTCTACTAAAAATACAAAAAAAAAAAAAAAAAATTAGCCAGGCATGGTGGCGGGCGCCTGTAGTCCCAGCTACTGGGGAGGCTGAGGCAGGAGAATGGTGTGAACCCAGAAGGCGGAGCTTGCAGTGAGCCGAGATCATGCCACTGCACTCCAGCCTGGGCGACAGAGCGAGACTCCATCTCAAAAAAAAAAAAAAGTAGAAAATATAGGCCGGGCCCAGTGGCTGACACCTGTAATCCCAGCACTTTGGGAGGCCAAGGTGGGAGGATCGCTTGAGCTCAGGAGTTTGAGACCAGCCCGGGCAGCATTGCAAAATCCCATCTCTACAAAAAATTTAAAAATTAGCCGGATGTGGTGGTGTGCACCTGTAGTCCCAGCTACTCAGGAGGCTGAAGTGAGAGGATCACTTGAGACCTGGAAGTTGAGGATGCAGTGAGCCTTGATCACACCACTGCACTCCAGCCTGGGCAACAGAACAAGACTCTGTCTCAAAAAATAAAAAAGAGGCCAGGTGTGGTGGCTCATGCCTGTAATCCCAACACTTTGGGAGGGTAAGGCAGACAGATCACGAGGTCAGGAGATTGAGACCATCCTGGCCAACATGCTGAAACCCTGTCTCTACTAAAATACAAAAAAAAACTTAGCCAGGCATGGTGGCACATGCCTGTAATCCCAGCTACTCCGGAGGCTGAGGCAGGGGAATCACTTCAACCTGGGAGGCAGAGGTTGCAGTGAGCCAAGATCATGCCCCTGCAGTCCAGCCTGGTAACAGAGCGAGACTCTGTCTCAAAAAAATAAGAGAGAAAAAGAAAAAGAAAATATAGGCCGGGTGGAGTGGCTCACGCCTGTAATCCCAGCACTTTGGGAGGCCAAGGCGGGCGGATCACGAGGTCAGGAGATCGAGACCATCCTGGCTAACACGGTGAAACTCCGTCTCTACTAAAAATACAAAAAATTAGCTGGGCATGGTGGCAGGTGCCTGTAGTCCCAGCTACTCGGGAGGCTGAGGCAGGAGAATGGTGTGAACCCAGGAGGCAGAGCTTTCAGTGAGCCGAGATCGCGCCACTGCACTCCAGCCTGGGCTACACAGTGAGACTCCATCTCAAAAAAAAAAAAAGTATAAATATGTACATAAGGAGTTAGTCTGTTTATAGGAAGCGGTACTGGAGGAGACAAGAACCCTGCAGTCTCCATGTAGATTCAGAGTCTGTCCCATCCAGTCCTAGGAGACAGTGCTCTGTGGGCTGCCATGGGTAGGTGAAAAGCTTTCTCTCACTTATATGGACACACAGGCCTATTTGTCCTTTTCTATGGTACAACTGCTGATAGTTTTGGCAGCTTGACTGTACCTTGAAGGCCAGAGCCCTGCTCACATGTGGAGTGGGACATGGGAAGAAGATAGATGACAGTTGCCAGAAGGAACAGCAAAACCATGGTTTCCTAGGATTTAATGTGGTCGTATCTCCTATGCCTAAAAGTTTCTTCTGTTCTGGCCCCACTAAGTGCTAATTTTGGGATGGAAGAGTATGGGCAGTTGGCTTCAGAAGAAATGCAAGAGAAATACAATCTAAACCTTTTTTTTCTTTTTAAGATCACACTCACAAATTTGGTGTCAGTTAATGAGAGGTTGGTGTACACACCTCATCCAGAGAACCCAGAAATGTGAGTCATCTCCTGTGGGATTGACACATTGAATGCCACGGGTGAGGGCAGGGCAGACCCTCCTCTCTCTCAGGGCTGGTCAGCCCCTTTTCTTCTTGCTCTTTTGCAGGACCGTGCTCACACAAGAAGCCATCATCACTGTGAAGGGGATTAGCCTTGGTAGTTATTTGGAAAGTTTAATGGCCAATACGATATCATCCAATGCAAAGAAGGTATGTATCTCAATCCTAGGAGTCCTGTGTGTGCTCTAGTTGTTAAGTGCCAGATTAAGAATATGACATTTTTAGTCTCATCAGTCTTCCTGGCTGGGCATGGTGGCTCATGTCTGTAATCCTAGCACTTTGGGAGGCCAACGCAGGTGGACCGCTTGAGGCCAGGAATTCAAGACCAGCCTGGCCAACATGCTGAAACCCCATCTACTAAAAATACAAAAATTAGCTGGGCATAGTGGCACACCTCTGTAGTCCCAGCTACTCGAGAGTCTGAGACATGAGAATTGCTTGGACCCATGAGGCGGAGGTTGCAGTGAGCTGAACCACCACTGCACTCCAGCCTGGGTAACAGAATGAGACTCTGTCTTAAAAAAAAAAATAAAAATAAAAATAAAAAATAAATAAATAAAATCCTGAGTGCTGGGGCTCTCCATTTATGCTGAGCTCATAATGCCACAGTATTTCAAAACTAGGGTAGGGAAAGGCTGACCCAGGTCTGAGGGAAGTGTGTGCATGAAAGCCAAGGGAGCCAAAGTTACTCTTCTCAGTAGAGAAAGTATGGGGTAAACCTGGAGCATAAACCCAGCCAAGGCAACTACCACTTCAAAGAGCCCAAATGTCATAAGCTCAGTTACCAAAGCAAACTAACCCACAACATCAGAAATACAAGGTGTTAACAGTGTCAGGTAGGCTATTCAGGACTTATAGTAGTTTCCTATTTAATGGGCATTAAGTGGCTTTGGCTGAACCTCTCCAGCAGTGACGCTTCCATGGAGCCTGCTGCCGTCTTCACAGCTCCTCTCTGGCAGGATTTGGCAGTAAGCTTTGTGGAGGTGAGAGGAGAAAGGATAGATCCCAGGAGGCCATCCATGGTACTCCCTTTGTGTCCAGGGCACTGGAACAGAGGAAGAGATTGTTCTAGGAGTCCAGGTTGCCCTCCCCTCCAGCAGAGTTGATGGAAAGAGCTTGAATGTTTGGTAGGAAGATGTTCCTCACATTTAAAAGATGCCACTTGCCAGAGCAGGGCCTTTGCTTTTCACCTGGGCCCGCCTCACAGGCTCATGTCTTCTCTTTGTCTGTCCCTCCTACCCCTCACTCTTCCCTTTCCTCCCTCTTTCTCTTCCCTCCTTTTTGGGGGTCAGAAATGAGTCTTCATTTTTGAGATCAGTGGGTGATTCCTAAGGCTGTACTTCCCTTTCCAATGTCCTTCCATGCTTAACTCTCCAACTAGTGGAAAACCATTTATGGCTTGCATTTAGTCTCATCACCAATAGAATAGCCTGTCTATCTAATTCTGTAGAATCCAGATTTGAGAAACAGAGATTTGAGCAGCTTAGCTCAGTTCAGAGGAGGTAGGGCAGCGAAGGCCAAAGGGGGAGAGCTTTGTCCATGCTGGAGGAAGGAGACCGGATCTCACCCATCGTTGTTTCCAATGCTTGGCTTAGGGCAGAAGCCCTAAATGTTTGCCAAACAAAATATTATAAGAGGAAGGGAATATTCAGTGAGGCCACAGCTACCTTAGACCTTTTATGTGAAAAATTTGGGGTAAACTCAGTGAGGGCAAATTGGCTTTCCTTTATTTCACTTTATTAGAGGTTGTGTTGAAGGCTTAGGAGAGAATCACTAAGGTGGGGAGAGGTGTTGTGCCTGGAAACAGCGGAGCGGCCTGAGGGCAGGTGCAGGGGATGGGGTTGGGGGTGCGTGGAGGTGTCACCCTGGGCTTTCCTGGCCTCCTGGGGCAGCCTCAGCGCTGGGATTTGGGAGGTGAGGGACAGGACTTGCTGTATTGAGCTAAGCCGGGCGCTGGTTTGCTAACACAGCAGTGACTCTTAGGCACTGTTTTCCTTCCCCCTTCTGAGCTGGAGGAACTGCCTGCCTGTGTGAAGATCACTCGGAAAGGTCACTGCTGTGTCTCCTTGTAACTGCAGCGCTTGCCTTCTGCAGTTTAGCCTGTGGACTTGTCGCTTGCTGTCTGCAGCGGGAGGCGGGACGACCCACTCAGTGCTGAAATCTTTCTGTGTTGCAGGGGTGGGCTGCTATCGAGTGGATAATTGAACACTCTGAAAGCGCTGTGAGCTAAGGAGGCCTGTGCCTGTGCTTGTCATAAATGGTGGTGAGTACAGTATTCACTCACCTGGGGGGGTACTTGCAGCCTCTTGTGACCCGTGTGCATGGTGCACATGGTGAGGGGACGCCAGAAGTACGCAGCTGCTGGTGGCTCTCCAGCCCGGAGCTCCTTAGTTTTCCACGGTGACACAGAATCACTGGGTTCATCCTCTTTCTATTTCATTCCTTGCTTCGTGGCAGGATTTAGATTCCGAGGAAGCTTGAGCTGCGGCCCTCTGGGTCGCATGGTGGCAGCTCGGCCTCTCCAGCAAGCCACCCTCGGGCTGGGTTGCTGAGGTGACCCCGGTGACTGTGCAGAGTTGGCGCGAGTGGCCAGGCCTGTCCTGACAGGGCGCTGTCCTTTGGGTGCATCTGCATCTGCTGCTGTGAGCGAGGTCCTGTGCCCACCTCTTCACTTGCCCCAAGCCAGTACATGGCCACACGGCTGCAGCCGGCCATTTCCTTTTAGCAGTGGAAGCCTTTCTGGCGTTTCCTTGAGCTTCACGAACATTCCCTGGCTTCTTGTGGCATCAGCAGCTGGACTTCTAGTGGCCCTGCCCCGACGGCCAGCGGCCACCAGGGCCTGATCCCCGGGGAGGACGCGCCTCCCACCAGAGGCTGTGCTGCGCTGCTCTGGGCTGCTCGTCCCCATCTGTCCCCCGTGTGTGTGGGTTCGGGGATCCTTAAGAACTTCGTGCTGATTTTGCCTGAGTCACTGAAGCCACACTTTGCTCTCCTTGAACCCAAGCCAGGGGTGGCCATGGGCCTCGCCTCCTTCATGGCCGCACCCTGAGTTCAGTGCCTGTAAGGAGCTTCCTTGCCTGGCATCCTGTATCTGTGTGGTGTGTGGTGTGTGCTGTGTGGTGAGTATCTATGTGTGTGTGGTGAGTGCGGTGTGTGGAGTGTGTGCTGTGCGTGGTATGTATATATGTGTGTGTGGTGTGTGTGTGTGTGCAGCGTGTATGGTGTGCATGTGCTGTCTGTGATGTGTTGCATGTTTGTGTGCTGTGTGTGCTGTATGTTGTGTGTGTGCTGTGTGTATATATGTGGTGTGTGTGTGTGGTGTGTATGCTGGTGTGTGATGTGCGTGTGTGGGGTGTGTGTGATGTGTATATGTGTGTGGTATGTGGAGTGTGTGTGTGACATGTGTGCTGTGTGATGTGTATATGTGTGGTGTGTGTGTGCTCTGTGTATGTGATGTGTATATGTGTGTGGTATGTGTCGTGTGTGCATGTTTGTATGATGTGTATGTGATTGGTGTGTGCTGTGTGTGAATGTGTGTATAGTGTGTGCTCTGTGTAATGTGTATGTGTGTGGTGTGTGTGCATGTGTGTGATGTGTGTGCATGCGTGTATGATGTGCATGTGTGTGATGTGTGTGTGCTATGGGATGTGTATGTGTGTGGTATGGGTGCATGTGTGTGAGGTGTGTGATGTGTATGTGTGCTCTGTGATGTGTATGTATGTGGTGTGTGTGCATGTGTCTATGATGTGCATGTGTGTGATGTGTATTGTGTGCTGTGTGTGATTTGTGCATGTCTGTATGATGTGCATGTGTGTAATGTGTATGTGTGATGTGTATGTGTGTGGTGTGTGCATGTAAGATATGCATGTGTGTGATGTGTATGTGCGGTGTGTGTCATGAGTGTGGTTTATGTCTTGAGTGTGGTGTGTGGTGCGCCCTCTGCTCCTCTGCAACCCGACCCCTGGTGTCTCTGCAGATGCTTCCCAGAAGAAAGGAAAGAAGGAGGTGAGGAGAGGACGAGCAAGGACGGGACGGAAAAGCACGTCTGGCTGCGAGGGCACACAGGGCCGGGGAGGAGGATTAGGCTGGACTGATCGCGGGTCGCAGGTGACCCCGGGACCAGATGTCCCTCCCCTCATGAGCGTGCAACAGGGAGCAGCCCCAGCCAGCCCCACCGCCGCCGTCTGCGTGGATGGAGGGCTCGAGGCCCTCGCCCGTGTCCCTTAGGGGCGGCGCCCATCGTCCTGCCTGCCGCAGTGGCCCAGCCCCTTCTCTCCCTGCAGGTGACCCGCGCCGCCCCCGCCCGCCCGCCCACGCTGTCCTCCACTTAGGCTCCTCCACAAACGCTGGCGGGTGTGCCGCCCTCCAGCCTCTCCGCCCCCGTCCCCTCGGTCCTGCAGATCACCAAGCAGCTCTCCTGGGCCCGCGGCTGCTCCGGGCCTCACATCTGCTGCTGGCCTCGGTGGGCTCTGACTGCGGGGCTCACGGGGCCTGGGGCCATGGCTTTCTTCTCGGCCCCCAAATGCCTTTCCTGGAGTGGCTAAGCCTCTCCTGACGAGGCTCCTCATGCGGGGAGAGGGCTGGGGTCCAGGGGTTTCCCGGCCCTTTCTGCAGGCTGTGCCAGCCCCCTCCAGTCTGCCACTGCCGTGCCCGGGGGACATCCTGCGCCCAGGCTGGAGGCCCTGCCTCGCTGCTTGCCAGCCTCACCTGCTGGGGCTGGAGGCCATGGATCCCTCATAGTATCCAAGGTTTGAGTTCCTGTTTTTCGCCTTATAGTTTTGTGAGTGTTTGAGGGACAACGACCAAAGGTCTTTTCCCCACCATCTTTAAATCAAAGTTGTTTAAAACAACATTAATTTTAAAAAATACATAAAAGCAACCCATGCTTATGGTTAAAAAAGAGTACAGGAGTCTGGAGTCCGTTGAAGGGTAAAGGCCTCCCGCAAGCTGCCAGTCGGCTCTTTTTCGCAAAGCCTTCCAGAAGTTTTCTGTGCTTATGAAAGCGTATGTGTGGCCTTTCTCTTCCCTTCTTTTATTAAACACAGATAGGTTTATGCTGGATAAACCGTTTCGTGTCTGTCTTTTTTCAGCGTTTAAGCAGCGTCATCTTGAGTGGAGCTGTGCGGCGCCTGCCTCCCCAGTCCTGAAGGCAGCGGGGCCTCTGGCCGGGGTGCTGGTGCGCTGTCCCTGCGCCGCCCTTCCCGGCACGCAGCGCCCTTGAGTGGCCCATCTTGCTCCCGTAGCAGCTCTGTAATGTCCCAATGGGAATGGTCCAGAACTTGTCACCTGGTGGTTCTGCTCTAGACGGAAACAAGCAAACGCGGGATCTGGAAACCATCTCTGAAGCAGGGATGGAGAGACAAGGTCGCACACTGGCTGGGGCACGCAGAGGTCCCTGCGTATTTTGGGGGCACGATCACATTTTTTAGGCGAGGACAGTCGTAAATGTCAGACTCCAGCCACTTCAAACCTTTGGTGACCAAAGTGGGGTAAAAACAAGCACCTGCGTGCGTTGTGGTTATTCTATGCTCTCCAATATATATAAATTTTAAGAAGTTTTTCTTGAGGTGGTCAGTTCTTAAACCAAGAAAGTGGTAGTAGTTGATTTTAATTAGTGTAAAGTTGTCTTCGTAACTTCCGTGTTGGTTGGAAATAGGTTCATTCTTTGTTTTGAAAAGGAGTCAAGCGCAGTGGTGAGAAGGGGAAGAGGAGAGCAGGCGGTTCCAGTGCGACCCAACGGCAGCCAGAGGCCGCCCTGCCCCGCCGGCCAGAAGCGGACTCGGTGCAGACATGCAGCTCTCTCCGTGGAATGTGCATGTGCACGGAGGTGAGTGTGGTCTGATAAGGCCGCAGGCAGCTCGTTTGGGAAAACTGCGCAGGGCTCGGCCTCAGTGGCCAAGCAGTGTTTGTGGGGCACCGGAAGCGGCGCCGCACCCGTGCTGGCCGGCCCGCCACTGGGAAGAAACGCCCCCTCGGGCGGCCTACTGCTCCCATCGAAGCCCACAGGCCGTGGCCCTGAGGGCACCCAGTGCTGCTCGTGCGCAGGGTCCGGGACTTTCGCCAGCAGGAACCGCAGTGCACTTGCTGCCTGTTGGCCTCAGTCTTTTTTATTTATTTGTTTATTTATTTTGAGGCATAGTCTGGCTCTGGAGTGCAGTAGCGCGCGGCTTCCGCCTCCTGGTATTAGGTGATCCTTCCGCCTCAGCCTCCTGAGTAGCTGAGACCACAGGCCCGTGCCACCACACCTAATTTTTTTTTTTTTTCTTTTTTGAGACGGAGTCTCGCTCTGTCGCCCAGGCTGAAGTGCAGTGGCGCCAACTTGGCTCACTGCAAGCTCCACCTCCCAGGTTTACGCCATCCTCCTGCCTCAGCCTCCCGACAGCTGGGACTACAGGCGCCCGCCACCACGCCCGGCTAATTTTTTGTATTTTTTTTTCAGTAGAGACCGGGCTTCACCGTGTTAGCCAGGATGGTCTCCATCTCCTGACCTCGTGATCCGCCTGCCTTGGCCTCCCAAAGTGCTGGGATTACAGGCGTGAGCCACCGCGCCCGGCCAGTATTTTTTTTTTTTTTTTAAGAGACGGGGCCTCACTATGTTGCCTAGGCTGGTCTCAAACTCCTGGGCTCGAGCCATCCTTGCACCTCAGCCTTGTCCCCAAATGCTGGGACCACAGGTGTGTGCCACCGCTTGGGGCTGCAGCCTCTCTTACAGGCGCCCCTGCATCTCCTGTGAACAGACAGAAAACGGGCTTGCTCCTCCCGCCACACGGCTGTCCTTCCCCATTTCTAATAAGTGCTGCTCCCATTTCCCAAACACAAAGCCCGGGTCCCCGGCCGGCCGACGTCTTCCTCCTGCCT
Source organism: Homo sapiens (assembly GCF_000001405.40). Taxonomy (NCBI): domain Eukaryota; kingdom Metazoa; phylum Chordata; class Mammalia; order Primates; family Hominidae; genus Homo; species Homo sapiens. The sequence goes on from NC_000018.10 coordinate 12,434,032, forward strand.
TTTCTCTCGGGGCTGTTTGGACATGGCACCTTCCTCCAGCATCTAGGCTGAGTTCTGGGTTTCCCCGCCCCGTTCTGCTCTGCGTACTCGTCCCTGGCGTTGCCACTCTGTGACCTTGCCTGCGTGTCGCGTGCCCGCTGCGGAAGCCGGGCCGCGGGGCTTGGGAGCTGAGGGGAGGCCGAGTCCGGAGATGCGCGGCGCGAGCCCGGCCGGCCCGCACATGGTCACTCCGCCAGGCTTGGAGGACCCTGGAGGGGCCCTCAGAGTGGCCACTGCGGACGCCATCCTCCAGCCCGGGTGCAGCCCCCGGAGGCTGCGGGTCCCGCTGCCATCTCCACTGCCACCTCGTGCGAGGCCCAGGCCGGGATCCCCCGCCAGAGCTGCTCCCGTAAATGCTCATCACCTCCTGCAGAGCCCGGGGTCGTCTGTTATGCAGGCAGTGAACGCCCCGCCTCGTACTTGTCTGCACAGTCACCTTCTGTCTGGCCTCTCGCTCATGCTGTCCCACTTCTTACACTACTCCAAAAATATTCCTGTCATAAAGTCCCTTGATTAGAAAGCTAGGGAGGGTTCTCGTCCCTTTCTGAAAAAGGTCAAAAGCAAGGCCGAGGCACCGGCACGGGTGACTGATGCAGGCGGGCAGCAGTGGCCCCTCTGAGCCCAACCTCAGATCTTCTGCGGAGCTGTCCCTCCGGCGCCGGCCCACAGCGCCACAGCCCACCATCACCATCAATTCCTAGAGATTTATGTTGCCTTGAACTATTTTTTTAAACTATTCGCATATGTATTTGACCAGCCTGGGCTCAAAGTTCTTCCGTGCCAAGGCAGATGTCCTGCTTTTGCGCTCATGATCCTGGGTCTTCTCTAAGGGCTTTGGTGACTGGAGAACGGCCTGGAGTCAGAGCTGCCCGAAGGCGGCCCGAGGGCAGCTGCAGCCTCAGCTTGATGCCGGGCTAGTGGTTTCACCTTAAGCAAATGACTACGTTATTATTCCCAAGTTTTGCATCTGTAAAAGAGGCCGTTAATAGCATCTGTGTGAGAGTTGAGTGTGGGAGGAGAGAATGGGACGCTGAGCAGGATGCTTGCGTACAGTAAGCCCTGGAAAACTGGCAGTGGTCAGCTACTGAAAAGCAAAGTTTCTAAAACTATGTATTAATAGTAACATAAGCATAGAATGATGTCATAAAGTTTATTTTCATATTTTTCCTTATTTTATTATTGGCCAAATTATCTTAATATGACACATTTGAAAGTTTAATGTTTACTTCAGCCTAACTGGTATAAAATCGTTAATCAAACTTTAACACTCATTTTTGTTTAAATTTAAGGGGTACAAAGGCATTTTTTGTTTTGTCTTGTTTTGAGACGGAGTCTCACTCTGTCACCCCCAGGCTGGAGGGCAGTGGCATGATCTCGGCTCACTGCAACCTCTACCTCCCAGGTTCAAGCGATTCTCCTATCTCAGTCTCCCAAATAGCTGGGATTACAGGTGTCTGCCACCCTGCCAGGCTAATTTTTGTATTTTTAGTAGAGATGGAGTTTCACCATGTTGGCCAGGCTGGTCTAGAACTCCTGACCTCAGGTGATCCACCCAGCCTTGGCCTCCCAAAGTGCTGGGATTACAGGTGTGATTCCACCGCGCCCCGCCAAATGCAGTTTTGATACATGGATCTGTCACGTAGTGGAGTCTGGGCTTTTAGTGTACCCATCACCCAAATAGTGTACATTACACATTAGGTAATTTCTCACTCCTCACCTCCCTCTCACCCTCGGAGTCTTCCATTGAGCATATACTATGTGTTCTTTAGCCCTTCGTCCACTGATGTACATTCAGGTTGATTATGTCCCTGCCATTGTGAATAGTGCTGCAATAAACAAAATTGCAGGTATTTTTATGAATTATTTTCCTTTGTGTAGATACCCAGAGGTGGGATTGCTGGATCAAAAATTAGCTGGAGAGAGAGTTGTGCCCTCATGTCACTTCCTCCCATTGCCGACTCGCTGGTGCTGCCCACGGGGCTCTGCAGAGCACGCCTGCTCCCCCTGCCAAGTGGCTCCCTCACGTCGCCTCTTCCTTCCCACTCCTCCCTGCAACACGTCCCACTGCTTATACCTTCTGCATTGTATGTTGATGTGTGCCTGTAGTCCCAGCTACTCAGGAGGCTGATGCGGAAGGATCACCTGATCCAGGAGTTTGAGACTGCAGTGAGCCATGATCAAACCACTGCACTACAGCCTGGGCAAGACAGTTAGACCCTATCTCAAAAAAGCTAAAACAAAAGAAACCAGAAAACTCCATACTGTTTTCCACAGAGGTTGTACTAATTTGCATTCCAACCAACAGTATATAAGCATTCCCTTTTCTCCACATCCTTATCAATGTCTATAATTTTTTTGACTTTTCAATGATAGCAATTTTGACTAGCTTGAGATGGTATCTCATTGCGGTTTTAATGTGCATTTCTCTGATGATAGTGATGTTGAGCATTTTATTTATTTTTTATTTCTTTGAGATGGAGTCTTGCCTTGTCGCCCAGGCTGGAGTCCAGTGTTGTGATCTCAGCTCACTGCAACTTCCCCCTCCTGTGTTCAAACGATTCTCCTGCCTCAGCCTCCCAAGTAGCTGGGATTACAGGCGCCTGCCACTATGCCCAGCTATTTTTTGTATTTTTAGTAGAGACGGGGTTTCACCATGTTGGCCAGGCTGGTCCCGAACTCCTGACCTCATAATCTGTCCCCCTTGGCCTCCCAAAGTGCAAGGATTACAGGTATGAGCCACAGTGCCTGGCCGATGTTGAGCATTTTAAAATATGCTGGTTGGGCCAGGTGCAGCGGCTCAGGCCTGCAATCCCAGCACCTTGGGAGGCCGAGGCGAGCACATTGCTTGAGCCCAGGAGTTGAGACCAGCCTGGTCAAGGTGGCAAAACCCCATCTCTACTAGGAACACAAAAAATTAGCCGGGCGTGGTGGTGCACCTCTGTGGTCCCAGCTGCTTCGGAGGTGGTAGTGGGAGGATCACCTGAGCCCAGGAAGTGAAGGCTGCAGTGAGCCGTGTTTGTGTCACTGCACTCCAGCCTGGGTGATGGGAGTGAGACCCTGTCTCAATAAAAAAGAAAATAAATTAAAAAATAAAATATGCTTGTTGGCCATTTGTATGTCTTCTTTTGAAAAATGTCTATTTATGTCCTTTGCCCACCTTATTATTGGGCTATTTTGCTGTTATCCCTGAGTTCTGTGTAAACTCTGGATCTTAGTCCCCTGCTGGTTGCGTAGTTTGCAAATATTTTCTTCCATTCTGCAGGCTGTCTCTCCACTCTGTTTCTTTCTTTTGCCATGCAGTAATAAAACTTGTATGATTACTCTTTTTTTTGAGATGGAGTCTCACTCTGTTGCCCAGGCTAGAGTGCAGTGGTGCGATCTCAGCTCACTGCAAGCTCCGCCTGCCAGGTTTATGCCATTATCCTGCCTCAGCCTCCCCAGCAGCTGGGACTACAGGCACACACTGCCACGCCCGGCTAATTTTTTTTTTTTTTTTTTTAGTAGAGACGGGATTTCACCATGTTAGCCAAGATGGTCTCCATCTCCTGACCTTGTGATCCGCCCGCCTCAGCCTCCCAAAGTGCTGGAATTACAGGCATGAGCCACCACGCCCAGCCGTATGATTACCCTTAAGAGTTAACTACCACACTCAAAAGAGGCAAGTAGTAAAAAATTAATGAGTACAAGCTCTGTACTAATAAATCCCTTTGCATTCATAAAGCAGCTTTGATGACAGGTCTTCAGGATCCCTGTTCTTCTGCACATCAGTTTGTTAATGGGAAAAGCCAGGTTGGGAGGCAGGGCTGTGCAGGTCCCCCGACTTGGGTTCTAGTGGTGGGTAGAGCCAAGAGGAATGTGTGACGAGTGGCACTTTCAAGCGGGAGGTAGAAAGCCCAGACTGGCACAAGTCAACCATGCTCACAGCATGAGCTGCTGACTTGGCCTTCTCTATTCTAATGAGCTGTTTTAGGGCTGCAGTAATTTGTTGACTTAGAATTGTACTCCTGACTTAAAGGCGCGGGGCTGCGTGTCGCATTTATCTGTTGAACTGCACAGTTGACACACCATGTCAGTTGAAGACATCTTGATGGTTCCATCTTTGTATGTATCACTTATTCTCATGTCCGTATTAACCTGCTCATTCAGTCAGTAATTCCCTCCACGGTTATTAGGCACCTGTTACATGCCAGGAATTATTTTCAGAAGCTGGGGATACAGCAAGTGAAGCAATCTGACAAAGATGCCTGTGTTCATGGAACAATGTAGTAGAATGTTAGGTGGTACAATGGAAAAAATACAATGCAGAAGCCATAAGCAGTGGGACGTGTTGCAGGGAGGAGTGGGAAGGAAGAGGCGACGTGAGGGAGCCACTTGGCAGGGGGAGCAGGCGTGCTCTGCAGAACCCCGTGGGCAGCACCAGCGAGTCAGCAATGGGAAGAAGTGACACGACGGCACAACTCCCAACTCTTTGACCTATTCAAAGATGGAACTTCACAGAGAATCAGCTCTGCTTTGTCCTAGACACATTTAAAGAGAGCTGAGACGGCCTGTCAGGTGAGAGGTTGTGGGTGATTCCTGCCGAAGGGTGGCCATGTGTCTTATCAGCTCTAAATAAAAGCTGGCCATAGAGATCAAATTTAGTGAGGAGTTCAGGCAGCGATGGAGACTTTGGCACTGAGGGCCAGAGCGTGAAGTCTCCCTGCCAGGATCTCATTAGTATACATGAGAGGTGCATATCTCAGGGACTACCTGCAGCGGTGCTCGCTATCCTTGACCAAGCTGGAGAACAAGAGTTGTCTTTACTTGTGTTTCCTTTTAGCGCAACTAGGGTTGCCACACACGCCAAGTGGAGGAGAAGAGCCTGCTGTGTGCGCGCACCTGACAGTCACCGGCTTCTCTTTACGTTTCCAATAGGAAGCGCACACTACGCTGTGGGAACAAAAACACCAGGTGTCTGCTATGGCCAAGGCAGATAAGGTCTTTCTCTCCAACAGGATCCAGAGATGAGCCACTGGTACTAACACCCAACGGCTGATGTAAGGGGCTGTGTCCCTTTTTAAAAAGTCAACTCATCTTTCTGAGGTTTTTCTTTTTAATTTTGAGAGATGGAGCCAGGTTCTTTGTAGCAACTAGTAAAACTGAATTTGCCTTTGCCTCCAGTTTCGAATAAGTGCAGCACATTTTGCACTTTCCTTACTTTCATGTAATATTCATAATCAGGTTTGTCATCAACACAGAAATAATGCTTAGAAAGTATCAGTCATTTCACACTTCACTTTAGTGAAGGGCTGGCTTGGATTACACGCTGTTTCTCAAGTCACACTGGCTCAGGCTTCAAGTGTCTTTACTTGTTGATGCCTGTGTAGTACTGGTTGTTCACACAGTATCCTGAATCTCTCTCCTAGTTGAAAGTGACCTTGGAGAACACCTAGTCTAACACACTTGCTTTATTTCATTTATTTATTTTTTCTGAGACGGGGTTTCGCTCTTGTTGCCTAGGCTAGAGTGCAATGGTACGATCTCAGCTCACCACAACCTCCGCCTCCCAGGTTCAAGCGATTCTCCTGCCTCAGTCTCCCCAGTAGCTGGGATTACAGGCATGCGCCACCACGCCTGGCTAATTTTGTATTTTTAGTAGAGACAGGGTTTCTCTGTGTTTGTCAGGCTGGTCTCGAACTCCCGACCTCAGGTGATCTGCCCTCCTCGTCCTCCCAAAGTGCTGGGATTACAGGCGTGAGCCACTGCGCCTGGCACACTCTTGCTTTAAACTCGAAGAGACAAATTCATAAAAGCTCAGGAGCTGTCCCAGTGTTAGGTAGCTGTTTTGTTGCCACGGTGGAGCACAGTTTTGCCATGCTGGAGCACAGTTTAGTTAGAACCATTCCAGATACTTGAAAACTAGGTGTTGCCGAGAAATAATCTACTTTGCTAATTACAGACTAGTTTTTTTCAGTCATCAGGACAAAAGGTTCTGGGTCTTGAAAAAGCCGTTTTGCTAGTTGAGTATTACTTTGGAGTAGAGAGGCGTCCCTCACTGCAGCTGCTGCACCTGGAGCAGTGTCCAACCAGTCACACCCAGAGCCCCTGGTCCAAGCCGATATTCTGTGCATCTGCCTTCTGCAGCAACCTTGAGATTGTGGTGGATGCCCCCCTAGTGGCTTCTTCTCTCGAGTCATGTTCCCCTTGGTGGGCAAGCTGAATTCTTAGGCTTCTTTTCCCTTTGAGATATTTAAGATGAAAGTTTTATCACTTTAAGGCCTGGCACGGTACCTCATGCCTGTAATCCCAGCATTTTGGGAGGCCGAGGCGGGCAGATCACTTGAGCTCAGGAGTTCAAGACCAGCCTGGGCAATATGGCAAAACCCCATCTCTAGTAAAAATACAAAAATTAGCTGGGCATTGGTGGTGTGTGCCTGTAGTCCCAGTCACTCAGAAGGCTGAAGCGGGAGAATTGCTTGAACCCGGGAGGCGGAAGGTGCAGTGAACCCAGATCGTGCCACTGCACTCCAGCCTGGGTGACAGAGTGAGACTCCATCTCAAAAAACAAAAACAAACAAACAAACAAACAAAAGCACACACAGAAAGTGGCCAGGCATGGTGGCTCACACCTGTAATTCCAGCACTTTGGGCGGCCGAAGTGGGCAGATCGCTCGAGCTCAGGAGTTCCAGACCAGCCTGGGCAATATAGGGAGACCCCTGTCGCTACATTTTTTTTTTTTTAAAGTTAGCCAGGCATGGTGGCATGCACCTGTAGTCCCAGCTACTTAGGAGGCTGATGAGGGAGGATCGCTTGAGCCCAGGAGCTCAAGACTTCAGTGAGCAGCTTTGCACCACTGAACCACTGCACTCCAGCCTGGCTGAGAGTGAGACCCTCTCTCTTAGAAAAAGAAGTGACTGGGTGGGCATGGTGGCTCACGCCTGTAATCCCAGCACTTTGGGAGGCTGAGGTGGGCGGATCACCTGAGGTCAGGAGTTTGAGACCAGCCTGACCAACATGGAGAAACCCCGTGTCTTTATACAAAATTAGCCGGGCGTGGTGGCAGGCGCCTGTAGTCCCCAACTACTCGGGAGGCTGAGGCAGGAGAATCACTTGAACTGGAGGGAGGGGGGTGGGGAGCGTGGGGAGGCGGAAGTTGCAGTGAGCCGAGATCGCGCCATTGCACTCCAGCCTGGGCAACAAAAGCGAAACTCCATCTCAAAAAAAAAAAAAAAAAAAAAAAAAGGAGTGACTTTTCTGTAGAAGCTGCATTGCTCGTTAGGCTCTCCTGTGCAGACGTGGGCTCGCTCCCTCCTCGGCCACGCTATTCCCTAGAGGCTCCACACAATGTCTGCTCACGAGCCTGAGGTTCAGGTTAGAGCTGCAGAAATCCTCATCTTTGGCTTTCTACTCTCCTAAAAACTCTTGCTGCTGGGAGGAATTGGGATGTGAAGCTTTCTGCTGTCACCCTAGGGAAGGGGGTTAGGGATGGAGGCAGATCAGGGACAACAGATAGACGATTGCTGCAGTCAGAAGGCAGCCCCAAAGCAAAGAAGAATGTATACAAGACGGGCAAGCTTCAAGTGAGCCGCATGCCCTCGATTCACAGACAACCTGCCTCATTGCAGCAGCTGTGACCATTCCCAGCACGGGACCCACAGTGTCTGGCCCTCTTGGTGCCAAAAGAAATCTGAATACTAAGCTGTGTCAAACATGCAGATGCTTCTTCAGCTCTCAAGCCCTGAGGACATAAACTTCCAGATGCCCCACATTTCCGGAGCGCTGTCCTGTCAGTTCTGGAGCGCTTGCTGTCACTGCTTCCATCAAACGGGCTCCGAGGCAGCCACCAGTATCGGGAGCACAGCTGCAGTGCCCTGCACGGCAATGGCTAACATACTAGACACCATGTGTATGTTAACAAGATGAGCTGGAATAGTGGTGAAAATTCAGTCTTCCAGGTAACTGCATCTGAACTTTTTTTTCCACCCAGGCTGGAGTACAGTGGCGCAATCTCGGCTCACAGCAACCTCCGCCTCCCAGGTTCAAGCGATTCTCCTGCCTTAGCTTTCTGAGTAGCTCGGACTACAGGTGCGCGCCACCATGCCCAGCTAATTTTTGTATTTTTAGTAGAGACGGGGTTTCCTCATGTTGGCCAGGTTGGTCTTGAACTCCTGACCTCAAGTGATCTACCCACCTCAGTCTTCCAGAGTGCTGGGATTACAGGCGTGAGGCACTGCGCCCGGCCTGCATCTGAACATTTGATTCGTGTAGGCAGAGGCCTTTTCTTTTTTTTTTTTTGAGATGGGGGTCTCGCCATGTTGCCCAGTCTGGTCTTCAACTCTTGGATTTAAGCAGTCCTCTCACCTCGGCCTCCCAAAGTGTTGGGATTACAGGCATGAGCCACTGTGCCCGGCCTAGAGCTTTATATTAAGGTCTTAGCTCTTAAAACTTTTTTGGGTGGGCAAAGGGAGAGGTTTCGCATGCCTTTGGCTAATAGGAGGGAAGCACCACGCCTTTTATTAGCATTATAATCAATGTGTGTGTGCATGTGCCTGGTGCGAGCACTTGCACATTCTGCAGCGATATCAGGAGTCTTTATTTATTTGAGACTGGGTTTCTCTCTTGTTGCTCAGGCTGGAGTGCAGTGGCATAATCTCAGCTCACTGCAACTTCCGCCTCCCGGGTTCAAGCGATTCTCCTGCCTCAGTCTCCTGAGTAACTGGGATTACTGGCACCCACCCCCACGCCAGGCTAATTTTTTGTATTTTTAGTAGAGACAGGGTTTCACCATGTTGGGCAGGCTGGTCTCGAACTCCTGATCCACTCGCCTTGGCCTCCAAAATGTTGGGATTACAAGCATGAGCCACCATGCCTGGCCAAGGAGTCTTTAAATAACTCGTGTGTGCAATCAAGCCCTTTCCTAAAGATAGTTTTCTTTATGAAATTGTAGACTGTGATTTACAACTGTACATCTTTTCCTCAACTGGAGCTGGTAAGAAAAAAGTTAAATATGTGTTACCCAAAGCTTTTCCTACTTATGGTATCCAAATTCTTTGTATATCTGCAATACAGGAAGCACGAGTCAAAGATTATGACTTGGACTTAGTCACTGGACATGTGGATTATGAGTTGGACACATACACACAAGTATCTTGACATACACATATCACAGAGGAACTTCAGAGGAAGGGGCTCCTAAGAAATGTCTGGCAACTGAGGGAACAGGTTATGTAAATGGATTAATATAAAACTCAACTTTATATAATGTGTAAGATATTTAGAAGGTAAACCATGCATTCTTAGTTAAGATAAAAACACAAGAACTTTCCTCTGCTCGTATTTCAGGAATACGTCTGCTGAGGGACACGTTCTACAAAACAATGAAGTTTGCTGCATCAACTGCATTTTCCTTTCATGAAAAATTTCTCTGTACCATGCAGTGGTGTTTGACAGCATGTTACCCACAGTAGAATTACTTTCAAAATCTGAGTCAATCTTCTCAAACCCTGCCGCTGCTTTATCAACTAAGTATGCACTACTGTAAATCTTTGATCACTTCAACAATGTTCACAGCATCTTCGCTGGTAGATTTCCTCTTAAAAAACCACATTGCTCATTCACAAGAACCAATGCCTCAGCAATTTACGTTTTCTCATGAGACTGCAGTAATTCAGTCACATCCTCAGGCTCCATGTCTAATTCTAGTTCACTTGCTAGTTCCACCCCATCTGCAGTTACTTCCTCTACTGAAGTCTTGGAATGAACTTCTTCCAAACTCCTGTTCATGTTGCATTTTGACCTCCTTCCATGAATCACCAATGTTTTTAATGGCATCTAGAATGGTGAATCCTTTCCTGAGGGTTTTCAATGTGCTTTGCCCAGATCCATCAGAGGAACCACTGCCTGTGACAGCTAAAGCCTTATGAAGTGTATTTCTTAAGTAAAAGTAAAACTTACTCCTTGATCCATGGGCTACAGAATGGATGTTGTGTTAGCAGGCATGAAAACAACAACAGTCTCCTTGTACAACTCCATCAGACCTCTTGGGTGACCAGGTGCATTGTCAATGAGCAGTAATATTTTGAAAGAAATCTTTTTTTCCGAGCAGTAGGTCTCAACAGTAGGCTTAAAACGTTCAGTAAACCTTGCTGTAAACAAATCTGCTGTCATCTGCCGAGGCTTTGTTAGTCATTGGCAGGGTATAGGTAGATTTAGCTTCAGATTCAAGGGCCTTAGGATTTTCTGAATGGTAAATGAGCACTGGCTTCAATGTAAGGTCACCAGCTACATTAGTCCCTAACAAGAGCGTCAGCCTTCGAAGCCTGGAAGCCAGGCATTGACTGTTCTCTAGCTATGAAAGTCCTATATGGCATCTTCTGTTTCATCTGCATTGCAAAAGTGTAGTGTAGCCACCTTTTTCAAGATCATAGCTAGATCTTCTGGAGAACTTGCTGCAGCTTCTACATCAGCACTTGCTGCCTTACCTTGCACTTTATGTTATGGAGATGGCTTCTTTCCTTAAACTTCATGAACCAACCTCTGCAAGCTTTCAAATTTTCTTCTGCAGCCTCCTTACCTCTCTCAGCCTTCAAAGAATTGAAATGAGTTAAGGCCTTGCTATGGATTAGGTTTGGCTTAAGGAAATGTGGCTGGTTTGATCTTTATCCAGACCACTCAAACATTCTCCATATCAGGAAATAAGGCTGTTTTGCTTTCTTTTTTTTTTTTTAAAGAAATGGAGTCTCTCTCTGTCACCCAGAACAGAATCCAGTGGTGTGATCATAGCTCACTGCAGCCTCAAACTCCTGGGCTCTAGCGATCCTCCTGCATCAGCCTCCTGAGGAGCTAGGACTACAGGCATGCACCACACACAGCTTGCTTTCTTATCATTAGTGTTCAATGGAGTAACACTTGTAATTTCCTTCAATAACTTTTTCTTTGCATTCACAGCTTGGCTGTTTGGTGCAAGAGGCCTAGCTTTGGGCCTATCTCAGCTTTTGAATGCCTGCTTCACTAAGCATAATCATTTCTAGCTTTTGATTTAAAGCGAGAGACTTTCGACTTTTTCTTTCACTTAACACTTAGAAGCCACTGTACTGTAGGGCTTTTGGCCTCATTTCAATATTGTATCTCAGGGAACGGGGAGCCTGAGGAGAGGGGAAGAGAGACGGGGGAACAGTCAGAACACACACAACATTTATCAATTAAGTTTGCCATCTTATATGGGCACAGGTCATGGCTCCCCAAAACAATTACAACAGTAACATCAAAGATCACAGATCACCATAAAAGAGAGAGTAATAATGAAAAAGCTTGAAATGTTGGGAGAGCTACCAAAATGTGATGCAGACACACAAAGTACGCACAAGCTGTTGGAAAAATGCTGCCGACTGACTTGCCTGCTGCAGGGCTGCCACAAACTGTAAAAATGCAGCGCACCTGTGAAGCGCCACGAAGCCACACATGATGGGGTGGGACACGTCTGTGCATGGCTGGGGAAACAGTCACCCTTGTGGGTGTACAGCTCTTCAGATGTTTTGCATTAGAATGCAGGCATAAAGTCCCTTATGTATTTTTAATTTCCAAGCAACAATAATTTAAAAATCAGTTGGAGAGTGTCAGCAGGTGCTTCTAGGTTCTGTGTGGTGAGCCCCCAGGTCCTGGCGTGTAGGGCTCTGGATGTCTCTGTACACGGGATAGAAACATGGTCACGTGGGAATGCCAATATGACTTATTGCTTATTGAGCTGTGCAGGCTTTTCTGCTTTATCAATTACGCCTCCAGGAAGCTGTGAAAGAAAGCTTCATCCATCTCCCACAGGATTTGTCTCCATATTTGTGACACATAATAAAATGTTATGTACTCTTTATGTAATTTTACTCTCCTACTCATGGCTGCTTATCACTTGTGACAACATGTTAATTTTTCCAGTGCGGTCCTTGTAGACTGTTTTTCTTTTTCTTTTTTTTTTTTTTTTGAGGCGGAGTCTTGCTCTGTCACCCAGGCTGGAGTACAGTGGCACAATCTCAGCTCACTGCAATCTCCACCTGCCGGGTTCAAGCGATTCTTGTGCCTTGCCTCCCCAGTAGCTGGGATTACAGGAGCACACCACCACGCCTGGCTAATTTCTGTATTTTTAGTAGAGATGGGGTTTCACTATGTTGGCCACCATGTACAAAAATACAAAAATTAGCTGGGCATGGTGGCGGGCACTTGTAATCCCAGGTACTTGGGAGGCTGAGGCACGAGAATCGCTTGAACTCCTGACCTCAGGTGATCCGTCTGCCTCAGCCTCCCAAAGTGCTGGGATTACAGGCGTGAACCACCATGCCCGGCCTAGACTGTATTTCTTCAAAGATCACAGGCTGCTTATAAAAGTACCCTGCCTTCCCAATTGAGGTGATTTCTGACAGCTAATTACCAAAAGACATCACCGTCTTACGATAGCAACTCAACACAGAAAGTCTGATGGAAAGCCATTTTATTTTTCTCTAAATTTTAAAATAGAAGACTTTAATGGAAAACATTTAGTACCATCATGTCACCCTGAATGCCAGCAATACCTCGACTTTTACACACGCAGGAAGCCTAGTAAAAGCCCCGTCAGTAGTACACATTTCTCTATGGTCCTTCAACAGTTTTGCATATACAAAATTTTCTGCTATTTTGCTTTAGCAAACAGCAATAAACTTTTGTGTTTCCTATATGACACCTAATATCCAGTCCTACAGTAATATAGTTAGAAAAATAAAAGGCTTAAAAATTTCATAGTACGAGTTCATGGTGCTAATAACAGAATCTCTTTAAACATAAGATCATTTTAAGCCTCTTACATAACCACCTTCTGGTTTCATTTGAAATCCTTAAGAATTAAAATCTAGTAAGATTGTTAAATCAACGTACGTCAATCATTCATTTTCACTTGCCTTGGGAGAGTTAATTCCCACTGTCCACTGAATGAATGCCTTTCAAATATTAATAAATATATTACAGTATTTACAAGCATTCTTATACACTCCGACACTGACAGGGAGTTAAGCCATGGAGAGGGAAGCACAGGTTTCCCAATAGTGTGACTTCATGACGTATGGGACAAAAGGAACCGGTGCTCAGGCCTGGAGGGAGCTGAGATGAGAGCAGGGATGATGGTTCAGATACGCACACATGCTCTAAGACACATCAGACTCTAGCTGAGACCAGCCAGACATTTCTTTTGTTGTTGGATTAGAAGTAAAACTGAACAAGAAACCAGGACACGGAAGGAAGAACTGGAAGCTATGCCTAAAGTCAGACCAGGCTAAGGATTTTAAAACCAAGCTCCACAAGCTCTTAGTGAATTACCCTGTGGAAACTATGTAGCTGACGTGAAGTGTGGAGGGGGGTGGTAGAAAGGGGGGTTAAATGTAAGACTTTGTTTTGGCAACAAAAAATGATAGTAATTTGATTTCTACAACTTTAACTGTGCCATGTGCCCTTTCTTACCCCACTTTCTGCAGATTGTTTCATATGAACGTACCCTCCACGTGACCTCTTTAATGCACTTGGCAAACTCCGTTAATGCTGTTGAAGAATGTATGTTCTGTGCTGTGGTAAGAGGTGATCGTAATGCCCAAATCATCCAATACACTATCATAAAGTGAAGTGAAAGACATGTACTAGATGTTTGCTTTGTGAATGTGAATGAAAGTCTTATTTTGGGGGTGTAGTTTCTTATGTTTTAATAAAAACAGTAGTCATTATTTTAAAAAGCACATTCTCCTAGGTGCATATTTATATACATATACAAATACCATTTCCTTCCCCCTTGTGCCCTTCTGGGTAGTCATTTTAAAAACTCAAGCCTGGGGTCATCAAAAGGGGTAGATTTATACTCCCACCTAACTGTCTGGAGTATAGAGTTCAGATAGTCTCTTAGGAAGTTTTATAAATGAGATTCACCCAGTACAATTCTGAAAGCTCTTAAACAGGAGTCTTTAAAATAATGTAAACACTTAAGTAATCAATAAGGGTTCTCTGGTGGCCCACTTTTACATGCAAATACAGACCAACTGTTAACATGCATTATTTTAGTCAACTGGTAAAGTTTATTTCATAAGTATAAGTAATTTTAAGCCTTTTACTAAACTGTAAATTTCAATCCATTAAAAACTACTACCGGAGCAGTTTTGAGGTATTACTGTTAATTTAGTATAGAAATGTTACTGTATTTTGATGTGGTATGAAATGCAGCCGCCATGCCTTTCATGAAACGGTGCTATCGTGGTGCTGACTACAGACATGTCCTATGGCTTTCAGGAAATTATTGTGCATGTGCATTAACAGATTTTCCAAACATTAATGACAATTTGATTGGTTAGTCATTTGTAAGCATACCAAAATAATACAGTATAGCCCACGTATGAGCCAAACACACTGAGACATTTGAGGCATACAATGCTACCCTCCAGTCTACTTTCGTCAGAAACCAAACCTACTCACTCAAATCATTTACAAGGAAAACTAGTGCAGAAAGCACCCCAAAAATGTTGCCTGTCAGCAGGTTAATTTTCTTCTAACTTTAAAAGAAGTAGATATTTTTTCTTTTAAAATTCATTTATAAAAATAAATTTTAGTTTGAGACCCTAGGTACCAAATTGTGGCTTAATTTACTCAAGATGGATGTACTACAAAGTTATGAAAAATGTAGCTGAAAACCCATGAGCTCCAGCTCATTTCTGCAGCGTGGCCAACAGCTGCCACTGTACACTGTCACAACCCTTCTCATAGGTAACCAAAATACGCTCAACGTCTTGACAAACTTTTAGCCTTCCTTTGTCCTGAAACTCCCACACAACTTTAATTCTTAGACCTCCATTATAAAACTATTAGTAACCATAATACATTCAAGATAGAGAATGAAGACCTGTCATCCACTCAGGAGACACTGAACCAGGGCACTGGGACAACACGGCCACTCAGGGGAAATAGTCACCCTTGTGGGTGTACAGCTCTTCAGATGTTTTGCACTAGAATGCAGGCAAAAAGTCCCTTATGTAATTTTTATCTCCAAGCAACAACATTTAAAAATCAGTTGAAGAGTGTCAGCAGGTGCTTCTAGGTTCTGTGCTGTGAGCCCCCAGGTCGTGGAGTGTAGGGCTCTGGATCTCTCTGTACACGGGATAGAAACACAGTCACGTGGAAATGCCAATATGACTTACTGCTTAGGGCTGTGCTGACATCGGCATCTCTGTTAGACTGATTCTCGTAGGAGAAGCTTTTTTTTTTTGCCTTAGTCAGGAGATTATTCGAGGAACAGTAAAGAACTGAACTAAGGAAGTAGCTACTGGCTTCCAAAGCCACACACACACAAAAGTAAGTTTCAAACTGTTGTCCTCTCTCAGTGCAAACGAGCAATTGGCGGACCTGTCACGTTTCATCAATCGATACGAACACAGCATTCAGTCTGTGGAACAATGTGATGCGGCAAAAATCTGATCTAATGCAAATTCAAGCCCATTAAATAAAACCACAGAAAGGAGAGCCAGCCCGGCTCAGTGTCCTCGCGCACGGACGCTGACTCGTAGCACAAAAGCAGCTGAAAGGCACGAGGCTCAGATCTCACTGATCGTCCTCTCTGAAGGGCAGTACTCCGAGGGGCCTGGCGAGGACATGTAGAAAGACTGCGTTTTCCTTTTCAATCGGGCCCTTTTGTTGGCCAACACCAGACTGCGCCGGCTTGAACTGATGATTTCCGAAATGAACTTCTTGCAGTCCACACACACCTCCATGGTGCTCCAGTCCTCCATCAACTCTTTGGGAAACTGGAGTTCTTCATCTGATTTGTCCATAGACTTAGATTTTGAGGAGAACCTGGGGTGAAAACAAAACAGAAGCCCAGCATTGTTACTTATAGGTCTGCTGCAATATTAAGAAAATATGTATAAAAAAAAGTAAATTTGTTGTCAAAACATCATGGAATGGATGAGTGATTTAATCATATGTCCTTCTAAAAAAATTTCTTATTGGTGACAAGGCTAAAAAATATTACTTAGAAAAGAAAGTAGGAGGCCTAGTGCGGTGGCTCACGCCTGTAATCCCAGCACTTTGGGAGGCTGAGGCAGGCAGATCACCTGAGGTCAGGAGTTTGGCGAAACCCAGTCTCTACTAAAAAAAAAAAAAAAAAATAGCCAGGCATGGTGGTGGGCCCCTGTAATCCCCACTTCTCTGGAGGCTGAGGCGGGAGAATCGCTTGAACCCGGGAGGTGAAGGTTGCAGTGAGCTGAGATGGCACCACTGCACTCTAGCCAGGGTGACAAAAGCGAAACTCTGTCTCAAAAAACAAAAAAAGAAAAGGAAAGAAAGCAGAAAACATGTCTTATTAAGACAGGCACTGCCCAGACTATCGAACAATACAGTCAGGATGGCTAAAGGTGACCCCAAGAAACCAAAGGGCAAGATGTCTGCTTATGCCTTTTTGTGCAGACGTGCAGAGAAGAACATAAGAAGAAGAGCCCAGCGGTCTCTGTCAATTTTGCAGAATTTTCCAAGAAGTGCTCTGAGAGGTGGAAGACAATGTCTGGGAAAGAGAAGTCTAAATTTGATGAAATGGCAAAGGTGGATAAAGTACACTACCACTGGGAAATGAAGGATTATGGACCAGCTAAGGGAGGCAAGAAGAAGGATCCTAATGCCCCGAAAAAGCCACCGTCTGGATTCTTCCTGCTCTGTTCAGAATTCCACCCCAAGATCAAATTCATAAACCCTGGCATCTCTATTGGAGACATGGCAAAAAAGCTGGGTGAGATGCGGAATAACTTAAATGACAGTGAAAAGCAGCCTTACACCACTAAGGCGGCAAAGCTGAAGGAAAAGTATGAGAAGGATGTTTCTGACTATAAGTTGAAAGGAAAGTTTGATGGAGAAAAGGGTCCTGCTAAAGTTGCCCAGAAAAAGGTGGAAGAGGAAGATGAAGATGAACAAGATGAAAAGGAAGAAGGAGGGGAGGAGGAGGAGGAGGAGGAGGATGAATAAGAGACTGTCCATTTGAAAAAAAAAAAAGAAATAATACTAAAAACTCTTAACCACCCTTCTAGAATTCTTGAAAAATAGGGTATTCATCTGATTCCCAATGAACATTAGCTAACTGTAGATGGCAGGTCAGACTACGGGAAATTCAAGTAAATTTATCTTAATCCCATGACACATCCTAAAAACTAAATTTTGACTAGTTTTCTCATCATTTATGTATTTATCAAACAAGCTTCTCCCTCCCCAACAATTCCCTGTATTTGTGCGATTATTTATTGGGATTCCAAGGAGCTGGAGATAACCAGACCAACATCATAGTAAATATTTCCAGGAATGTCTGAGATAACCAGGAATCATCTACTTATTTACTATTTTAACTAAACCAAACAGGATATAAATGGGTAGTCTATAGTATGTTCAGAGTTAAGTATGGAAAACTGTAGCAGCTGTTATGTGCACTGCCTTGAGCTCACTGAAAATTCACACCCAGAGGTCTCAGAGGAGGCAGCCCAAGCACAGAGGCAGACGTTTCAGGCACAAGGTTCATGCTGGGCTCACAGCTTCCTCGCCTCGCTGTCCACAGAGCCAGGACATGTGGTTGGTAGATCAAAGCCCAGCCTCTCGGCCCTGCCAGCTTGAGGCTTGAGCTGGCCTACCTCCTTCCATCTTTCTTAAGGCCCAACACTAAACTTACCCTGCACTAAATGCAAAGGGACTGATACTGAGGTGATGTTTTTTCTTTTAAATTATTAGCTCTTGGCATAAAGCTTTATTTCTGCCTTTACAATAATAGTAAAGTCAGTCAAAGCTATGGCAGAACATTGTAAACAGGATTAAACAGATTCCTTTCAAAACTAGACAAGGAGGAAAGGATGAGACTGTTACATTCCAATTTTCAACTCCATTGAAAACAAGGTCAGTTTTAAAGATGACTCTTACAGGACACAGTAAAACAGTTATTTCTAAAGTAGAAAAAAATATAAACTCTGTGATGAAAGTATCTTTCAAGTAGCTAGCCATTATTCCTTGAAAAGTTACCTTTGGGGAAGTTTTGGAGATTTGTGTGTAAAACTGTATTAAAACCAACCAACAAACCAATAAAAACCCCTCGAGCCAAAACCCTAACACTCTACCACAGTCCTCAAGAGTAGAACTCTTCTTCTGCAAAGGATGGTTTGACAACCCAGGCCCCTTGCTCACCTGGCAATGCTCCGAAGTGGCCGATGATGGGCAGTGGAGGGTTTTTCTGACCTCATACTACTTTCCCCTCTTTGCAGAGCAGAAGGTCCCAATGAAAAGATAGGAAGAGTGGAGTATGGTTTGGAGGGCAGCCGCATCTATTATCCCAAATAAAACTGGCAATGAGCAGTACCGTTAAAGAGGCAGTCACTAAAAGGAACACAAGTATAAATGAACCAAGCTTAGCTTACCTTTTTGCAACACTGTGAGCACACCGGCCTGTAAACAAAATCATAAATGTTATTTGGCATGATACCAGGGGACGCAACTGGGAGTTAGAGAAGCCTATGGCAGTACAGTTGTAAGTTTCCACAATAAACTGCATAACTCTCCCTTCTTCTATTAGAATGTAACAAATTGACACACTGAATTGCCAAAAAGATAATCTACAGAACTTAACTCTTACACTGTCTCCTATAAAAGGATCAACTTACATGTGTTTGGAATTTTCTTATTTGTCTATCCAGGGATCACATGATAATCACATCTTATTTTTTTTCTGTTCAAACATGACATATTATTAGAATGATCTTAGTTATGTAAAAGAAGTAACATACAGAGAAACATTTTCTAGGTTCAATATCAAATAAATATTTGGCTCACTCTCTTAAGAAATCAATATTCCTAACCTACAAGGATAGCACAAGGTAACGTAACAGAGTGAGTCATTTCTAATTTTATTCCTGTTTAGAAAGATGGTGAAATAAGGAAGATAATTGGTATTTCTCTTACGACTGTTAAATTTATCTTTTCATCAATTACAAAATACCTTACCTCTTACAGAACTGACAGGTATAAGACCAAGTGAAGAAGGAAAACCTCCTGGTTCGGCAACAAAAGCAGAGCTAAAAAATACAAATTTAAGAGGAAAAAAAACATTGCCAACAGCAAATTTCCTAATATCCATGTTTGAATATGCTTTACATCTATATATAGGGGAAGCTGAACAGACAAGAGGAGGAAGACAATTCAGAAATCCTGTTTATAACAGCTGGCTCTGTGATGCTGATAATGTAGCTCTGTATTTAATTATAATTCTATTTTAAAAGGTAATAAAAGGCCACAGCTCTTAAGTGTCTCCTCATCATGGAAGGAATCTGCAGAAGGTTCTGAAAAACCCTCCTCTGTTTCTCAGATACATTTTTTTTTTTTTTTTATGAGATGGAGTCTCACTGTTTCGCCTAGGCTGGAGTGCAATGGCATGATCTTGGCTCACTGCAAGCTCCGCCTCCTGGGTTCACGCCATTCTCCTGCCTCAGCCTCCTGAGTAGCTGGGACTACAGGCACCTGCTACCAGGCCTGGCTAATTTTTTGGTATCTTTAGTAGAGATGGGGTTTCACTGTGTTAGCCAGGATGGTCTCGATCTCCTGACCTTGTGATCCGCCTGCCTAGGCCGCCCAAAGTGCTGGGATTACAGGCGTGAGCCACTGCACCCGGCCTTCTCAGATACATTTTCTTTACAGATCCTTTAAAAGTGTAATGACTAAATGCACACATGGCTTTTTTATTGAGACGGAGTCTCACTATGTCACCAGGCTGGAGTGCAGTGGCGCAATCTCAGCTCACTGCAACCTCCACCTCCTGGGTTCAAGCGATTCTCCCACCTCAGCCTCCCGAGTAGCTGGGATTACAGGCACGCACCACCATGCCCAGCTAATTTTTGCATTTTTAGTAGAGACAGGGTTTCACCATGTTGGCCAGGATGGTCTTGATATCCCAACCTCGTGATCTGCCCGCCTCAGCTTCCCGAAGTGCTGGGATTACAAGCATGAGCCACCATGCCTGGCCACATGCATGGTTTTAGGAAGACATATCGATATTTGTTATGGTTGCTTGAAAACCTTCCAGTTTTGATTTCTAAGGCAGAAACAAAAATGCCCCCTCTTGTGAACGAGACAGCACATGTACTGTCTACTAGGATATGAACATCACACATCCCAAATCCCCTCAAAGTCTGTGCCACCTGGCTAGCAGATAACTCTCCCAGGAGACTATGCATGGGACTGGCCATCCTTCTACTCTTCTGATCAATCAACTTTAAACAGCACTACCTTTCCTTTTTTCAAGGCGGTGTAGATGTCTTTATACTGTTGGTATTTTTCCAGCTCTGCCTTCACCAGGACCTGGCGAATATGCATCACTTCTTCCACAGTAAGAGCGAGGCATTCCACTGGGTAGCAGAATTCCTCCTGAAATTCAAAATGTCACGTGAATAAGAGATTCCTACCCCCTGTTCTGGAAGTGCAAAATTTCCCTTCAGATCAGACCCCTGATTAGTAGCTTCAGAGAAGAGAACAGGTTTCCCAATGACCACTGGGGCAGAGCTGGCTCCCTCTGGGGACCACATCATTTCCAATTACACTAAGACTAAAGATGGCAGAAAACATGTGGGGACCAAGTGATCTACTGAAATTTCCAATAAATGAAAGTTCCTCACGTTTGCTCAGGTATTTTGACTCAAGTAACTCTATTCCGTTAAGCAGGGCTATATTGAAATATTTCAAGCAGGGCTTGAAATCTTGAAAAAAATTTTATTCTAAACCAATTTTGTGTCAGTTGTCTTCTACACCTATGAAAAAGACATTACTTAGTGTTGTGTTGTACATTATATACCAATAGATAAAAAGCAAATCTACAGTGGTCCTTTTTTTTTTTTTCCACAACAGGGTCTCATTCTGTCACCCAGGCTGGAGGGCAGTGATGCGATCATGGGTCACTGCAGCCTTGACTTCCTGGGCTCAAGTGATCCTCCCACCTCAGCCTCCCAAGTAGCTGGGACTACAGGTGCATGCCACCATGCCCAGCTAATTTTTTTGTATTTTTTGCAGAGATGGGGTTTCACCATGTTGCCCAGGCTGGTCTTGAACTCCTGGGCTCAAGTGATCTGCCCACTTCGGCCTCCCAAAGTGCTGGGATTACAGGCGTGAGCCACCATGCCTGGCCTGGCCCTGTTTTTAAAACTCATTTGTGGTACCCAGAATAGCCAAAAGAAGATGGTTAGTAATTTTTACTGACAAGCATTATTTAGTGATCAGTTACATCAGCACACCTTTACAAATCCTAATGGTACGAGTGGAACTGGAACATGAAACTACTGGAGCATTTATATCCAAAAGGCAGTCTCTCCAGGCTGCCCCACAGTTCTCTAGATTTGTTGTTACTTTCAACAAATGCTAAATGTATAGTCAGCAATGGAAAGACTAGAGAAATGTAAAAGATTTCATAATAAATATTTATGTTGGCTGTCTTGTGTTAATGGTTTCCCTACAAGCAGCTGCGGAAGATGTTGATGTAACTGATCTCATTGAATAAGAGCCTCACACCCATCCGCTCCCCATCCGGCCCCGCACTTGATTGGTGGATCTCAGAGAAAGACAGAACAGTCTTGTGCATTCGGACCCTGCCAGGCTGCAAGGGGCCATTGTGGTGCAGTGACACTGAAACTGAATGTTCTCAGCACAAACACATTATAATTCACTCCCACACACACACAACAGCATCGCTCACAGGCACTCAGGAATCCAACACGCCAGTGAGAAAGCACATGACTATGAATGCAGTCAGTTTATGGAGTTTTAACAATCAGTTCTGTCTTTCAATCAGAGAAAAACAAAAATCAATCTAGGTTGCAAACTTGTCAAACATTAGCATTTTACTTAAAAAAGTAGTCTGAAGAACTACTGCTTCTTACTAAAAATCAATGCAAAACCATCTCTGTTCAAGCTAACTTAAGGAAGATTACATTTGCTTAAAAATGCTTTGGGAAAAATCCTGCATTTGAATTTTTAACATGAGAAGCTTATTAGTATAAGAGGACAGGGGGATGAGTTTACTCAGAAAGATTATATCATTTGCTCTAAAATGCCTAAAATACGCATTTAAAAAATTAACGATCACAGTTTTCTCTTTCAACAGGAACTACTTTCAGAGATGACAGAATTAAATCAGCGTGCCTGATACCTACTCTGTTTTGCTCCATCCTCAGAAAAAGAGTAGTGTTAGGTGGGAACAATAAACGGCCTTTTTGAGGGTTAGGCCATTAAAACTGTGCACTAAGTAAGTAGTGTTGGCTGAATACATCCGAATGATGGCATTTCTCAGCTTTTAATGTATTTCAGAAGTTTTGCTCTTATTTTTATTCATCAGTGATGAGTATAAGTAGGGTATGCCTTCTGATGGCTAACGATATGACAAAATGGCTATGCTGCAACAAAATAATGTGGGAATCTAGCACATAACCAGGGAAACACTACTAGATTTATTACGTAGCAAATAACCAGATAGCCAGATTTGTTATTGTTTGTGCTAGCAAGACAGCAGATGGTACCAACTTAACTGACTTTATGATGTGGATAACTGGGCTGTAAACCCTTCAGGCAGATGGTGATTTTTTTCATTTGTAGGGATACGCTAGCATGGCACAACAGACCTGGCAGCTTGCACCTCCCTGTCTTCAGTCTTGAGTCACAAATGGGCTTAGTAAAGCATATTTTCAACTCACTGCTTTGACCCACATGAAAATCCAGTACTTCATGGGATATAATCATTTTTCTTTCGTTTTGAGACAAGGTCTCGCTCTGTCACCCAGGCTGGAGCACAGTGGCATGATCTTGGCTCACCGCAACATCTGCCTCCCGGGTTCAAGTGATTCTTGTGCCTCAGCCCCCTGAGTAGCTGGGATTACAGGTGTGCACCACCACACCTAGCTAATTTTTGTGTAGAGATGGGGGTTCGCCATGTTGGCCAGGCTGGTCTCGAACTCCTGTCCTCAAGTGATCTGCCAGCCTCAGCCTCTCAAAGTGCTGGGATCACAGGCATGAGCAACCGCGCCTGGCCATCATGAGATATAATTTAAAAATAGTAGATTTTTGTTTGCTTTCTTGTTCTTTTTTAAAAATTTTCAAGCAGATTACCCTTTAGTGAAATAATTTCCATCCAGTCAAATGCTAATGTTTTAATTTTGGAGACTTCCCAAGGACAACAAAACTTTAATGCAACATAAAAGAAAATGATAAATAGTTACTAAAATAGTTTTAATTATTTTTTTCAGTTTACAAAAATATTAATTCGACATCTCCAAAGCCAAATTAAACTTCCACAGATCTCGCAGAGCTATTAGCACTCTGGAATGTGGAGGGCACTCAAGGCCCCAGCTAGAGCGGGAGCCCTTCCCCACCACGGCACTGCCTGGGGCTCCCACTGCATGTGTTCGGCCCGTTTGAGTGGCCAGATGTGGCCGGGTAAAGAACCACACTAGCGCACCTCTAGTTCCCTTGCTTGCTCATGTGTCAATGGGACTCCCAGATTCAGGAAAGGGAAGCTAAATCTTAGAGCGCTTTAATGAAGACAACAATGTGCTATAAGACTTTAAACTTACTTCTATGCATGTCACTAAAATTGTTGAGTTTTTTTTTTTTGATGATTATTCTGGCTATATTTTACCATTCAAGAGGGGTCAGTTAGGCAGCACGGAGATTAGACAGCATAATGTAAAATTTTGGTTATTGTGCCACAGAGAGAAATGGGAATAGTCACCTTTCTTTTCTTTTTTCTTTTTTTTTTTTTTTTGAGATGGAGTCTCGCTCTTTCGCCCAGGCTGGAGTGCAGTGGTGCGATCTCAGCTCACTGCAAGCTCCACCTCCAGGGTTCACGCCATTCTCCTGCCTCAGCCTCCTGAGTAGCTGGGACGACAGGCGCCCGCCACTGAGCCCAGCTAATTTTTTGTATTTTTAGTAGAGACGGGGTTTCACTGTGTTAGCCAGGATGGTCTCGATCTCCTGACCTCATGATCCACCCGCCTCGGCCTCCCAAAGTGCTGGGATTACAGGCGTGAGCCACTGTGCCTGGCTGGGAACAGTCATCTTTTATACAGTGTTCATGATTAGTAAAAACTTCATAAATTAACCAGTATTTGAAAATTACCCAAAATAACCATTGCTTTTTGAGTTTTTAATAAACCAAAGAGAGGCAAATTTAAATAAAAACAGCAACTATTAAGTTTACTCTTCTTAATCAACTACAAAACTCAAAGTGAAGGCCAGGCGCAGTGGCTCACGCCTGTAATCCCAGCACTTTGGGAGGCCGAGGTGGGCGGATCACGAGGTCAGGAGATGGAGACCATCCTGGCTAACATGGTGAAACCCCGTCTCTACTAAAAATACAAAAAAAAATTAGCCGGGCGTGGTGGCAGATGCCTGGAGTCCCAGCTACTCGGGAGGCTAAGGCAGGAGAATGGCGTGAACCCAGGAGGCGGAGCTTGCAGTGAGCCGATATCGCGTCACTGCACTCCAGCCTGAGTGACAGAGAGAGACTCCATCTCAAAAAAAACAAAAACAAACAAACAAAACTCAAAGTGAATCCTTTCTTTGCCTAAAGTGGTATATGGCCTTAGTGTTCAGATATCTCTGTTTGGGGAGAATTGATAATCAAATGCCAGCAGGTCTTCAGTAGAGGCAGGAGTGACAGGAGTTAAAAAGCCACCGTGGCACCTGACCACGTGCTGCCCAAGAGCACATCTAAAACGGGAAAAAGGACAGAGGTTTTTCCTGCATTTCATGACAAAGATCAGAGAAAGGAATGTTTTGTGTCTTATTTACATTGAGTCTCCTTTCCATATCAAGATGACTAAGAAAGAGTAACAAAGAAACCAGCTGCGGGGTCATCTGTCAAGGACAAGGTTAGTAAATCCAAGGCTTTAGAGAGCCAGGCCCTGCCTACTGTAGCACAAAGGCTGCTCTGAGCACCTGCTACGTGGTGGCAGAAGAGGCTTCAATATGGTCGTAGAGCTTTTTATTTCACGTAGAATTGTGAAGGTTCAAATAATGATATATTATTCTGTGTAAAAAAACCTCAAAAAACAGTAATATAATGCAGAATTATTTAAAATAGCCACATCATTAAAAAGGAAACTTGAAATTTCTCTTTGCAGAGAAGTGACGTACACACCCTGGTTGTCATAACACAGCTTCATGACAGGTGATGGGAGCACACAGGTTTCCTGAGCCCATGCCCTGGTTGTGCAGGTGTCTGTGGGTGGGCGGAGTCCACCATGGCTACCTGGCCTGGCAGGAGGATGCTCTGCTCACGGAATGAGTGAGCAAATACTCTTCTGATGGTGGGGGGAGGCCCTAGGAGGAATGCACCCCACGGGCTCAGAGTGCCTGCTGCACATGGAGAAAGGTGGCAGCACTGACTCTGCTATACAATTAGGTCACCCGAGGAGACAAACACCCACAGGTCCCCTTCATCAGATGCTGCATTTTGAGTTTGTTGTCCTTTCCCAGTTATTTCCCTCAACTGAGACCACGGCATGATCGGTGCATCCTGCACAAGGGTGGAATCAATGATTGGAAGCAAAGTGCTATCTAAGCGGTTAATTCTCAGAGAACGCAACAGTTGAGGTGTCACCGTCAGAGATACAGAGAATGAAATAATCCCAGACCCAGCAGAAAGAGGCCAACCTTTGAGGATTTCCACCTGCTGGTAAAAGCTCTCTCACACAGATAATACATAGCCCCTGCTACCCCAAACATGGCTGCTTCAAAAGGATGAGAGCTGAGCAGAGAAGCTGTTTGTATGGTAGAAAAAAGTGGTCGAAAAGGCGTCCTTGGCCATACACTGGTTATCCTAGGAACCTGAACAACAGATAAGGGAAAAAGAAAATGGCAGGGGGAAAAGAAAAGGAGAAAATAATGCTGAACACAAGTGACCTACACATAGTGATTACAGATCACAAAAGGAAAACAAAACAAAAAACACCATGAGGCTGGTACAGTCCGTGCGAACATCTGCATCCACACGTATAAATCAGTGATGAAACCACGAAGTCCTTCCTGGAGAATCTCAGCGTTCACACAGCAAGGATTTTTCTAATTTAGGGTCCTGCAAACACTCTGAGTTTCCTCAGTGGGGCTTGTTGTGATGAAGGATAGAGGCAACTCGTTACTGTGCCTGAGAAAGCATGGGGACATGTGCCAGGCAGCCACTTGCACCTGCCCCAGGAAGGTACTGCCAACACGAGGTGCCTTTAGACTGGATGGGCATTTGCCCTCGGTTATTTGACCAAATGATGAAAAAAAATGACATTTTAAACATCACAAGAAAAGGGAGGGAGATACAACAAAAATAAAAATTATCAGCCGGGCACAGTGGCTCACGCCTGTAATCTCAGCACTTTGGGAGGCCGAGGCGGGCAGATCACCTGAGGTCAGGAGTTCGAGACCAGCCTGACCAACATGGAGAAACCCCGTCTCTCCTAAGTATACAAAATTAGCCGGGTGTGGTGGCACATGCCTATAATCCCAACTACTTGGGAGGCTGAGGCAGGAGAATCGCTTCAATCCGGGAGGCGGAGGTTGTGGTGAATCGAGATTGAGCCATTGCACTCCAGCCTGCGCAACAAGAGCGGAACTCCATCTCAAAAAAAAAAAAAATTATCAACAATAAAAACATTCCTGCCATTTTCAGTTGAGGAGTTACAAATACAAAATGATTCTTTGTTTTCTAAAATGCAGCTACATTTAAAAATTAATTACACTTATAAAAACAATACTTACCAAGCTATAGGGCATTACTACAAGGTATGATTTTATGGATTTCCCAAGATAAGCTATTAGCAAGGAAGATCATTTCGTCTCTGCTGGTGCTTGGAGGCCTGCGTGGACTCTGCTCCCTGCCCTCAATCTGACCACTGTTCAGTGCTGAGCAGAGCGGCTCTCCCACTGCCTGCTCACTGAGACCTTCCTCAGTGATTGCAAGTTAGTTTATCTTGCTCTCCTTCCTGCTCCACAAAAAAACAGTGCACGGCCTGACCTCGCAACACTAAGAGCTCTGCTTTAACAGGAAACAGACACAGTCATGGGCCCTTGGGGTCAGCTGAAGGTCTCAGCATAACTTCTATTATAAGCTGAAACTACCTTGTAGCTAAGCTGATAGTTCCTTTACATTGCTAATTTTAAACTTTAAGTCTAACCTCAATAATGACATTGTATGATCACATAAAGGCCAGTTACAAGCTGAATGATAGACTGGCTTCTAGGAAAAGCTGAGTGAAGAAGAGAATACCCTAATGATTAGACTTATGAAAAAAACCACAAGTTCCCTCTTACCTATACACATGTATGTGTGTGTGTGTGTATGTATGTATATACATACATGTGTGTATGTATGTACATATGTACGTACATACATATGTGTGTATGCACGTACATATGTACGTACATACATATGTGTGGTATGTACGTACATATGTATATACATACATGCGTGTATATGTATGTACATACATATGTATATACATACATACACACACATATACACACACATACACATATGTGTGTATATATATTTTTAGAGACAGGGTCTTGCTGTGTCATCTACGCTGGGGTGGAGTGGCACATTCTTAGTTCACTGTGGCATCAAACTCCTAGGCTCAAGGGATCTTCCCTCTGCAGCATCCTGAGTAGCTGGGATTACGGGCATGCGCCACCACATCTAACTAAGTTTTTAATTAAAAATTTTGTACAGACAGGGGTTTCTTAAGTTGCCCAGGCTGGTCTCAAACTTCTGGCCTCAGGCGATTCTCCTCCTTTGGCCTCCCAAAGTGCTGGGATTACAGGTGTGAGCCACTGTGCCTGGACCCTCTTACATATTTTAAAGTTGTGATAATAGCTGTATATTTTGGTAAAAGCAATAACTTATTCACATGAAAACAAATTTTTAGATTTTTACGTTTGAATCTGTCTGGTCAGAGTTCTGTTTTCTTGTTGGTAAGTCACTGACAAGGCTATATTTAATCGAATAGCTGTGTTTTGGTGATTATTCTGGAGCTAGAAGAATCCTATCAGGAATCGCCATAAAATCATTAGTTCTTTAATTGCACTGTTTTGGCATAGAGATGAATGACCAAATATTAACATTCTAAGCTCTGTTCAAAATCCCTGTCTTCACAATAATCGCATTATCTCCCATCTGTTATTACTTTAATTGAAACTCTAATAATTCATCACAGCCTTAAAAAATGGACTTAGTATTCAATATATTCTATTATTTTTTATTCATGAATATTTGAAAACACATTAGATATTTGACTGTGGGTAGAATATTAATTACAGCTGTGCATCTTGCCTACAAATATTTCAGAAGCCAAGTGGCGCTACAAAAGAGTCTTTGGAGACCTCTGTTGGCTGGGAGATCTACTAATTCCTCCTGGCAAACCCTTGTGTGCTGCCCACTGTCCTGAGAAATGAGCACCCACTATAAGAACCTGCAAGTCTCTGGAAAACAGCAAAAACTATAAACCAGTTCAACCAAAATAACACCACTGGCCCCAAATAT
This sequence comes from Homo sapiens, assembly GCF_000001405.40. NCBI lineage: Eukaryota > Metazoa > Chordata > Mammalia > Primates > Hominidae > Homo > Homo sapiens. The sequence goes on from NC_000018.10 coordinate 12,462,630, forward strand.
CACAAAACATACTAGAAAACAATGTACAGTAGTTATTAATGGATCAAAATTCTCCCTCGCTTGTACTTCTGCCTCAATAAGATCACCTACTGTAGTCATTTTGCTAAGAGTTTTTTTGGTCAATTTTTAACAATTTTTAAATGGATTAATAGCCTTTGAAAGAAAGAAAGCATTTCTTTAATAATAATCCATACTTTCAACCACTGATAAATTTTCTTGAAAAAAAAAAAGAGCTCAAAATGAACAAACACTGGTCAAGTTTCGTTTAGGTTATGGATAGAGTTTGGAGAAGGTGTCACTCTGCTGCCCAGGCTAGAGTGCAATGGTGTAGTCATAGCTCACTGCAGCCTTAACCTCCTGGGCACAAATGATCCTCTCACACCTCATCCTCTTAAGCAGCTGGGGCCACAGGTGTGCACTACCACACCTGGCTAATTATTATTATTTTTTTTTGCAGAGACGGGATCTCACAATGTTGCTCAGGCTGGTCTTGAACTCCTGGAGTCAAGTAATCCTCCCACCTTGGCCTCCCAAAGTGTTAGGATTATAGGCACGAGCCACCACGCCTGGCTGTTTGTTTTCTTTAGCTATTAAGTAAGTTATTCAAAATTCATTCTAACTTTTGCAAGTTTTTTTCTCCTTATCATCTTCATAAGAAAGCTAATGATTCTATGTCTTCTAGCTGGTCCCTAAGTTACTACAAAGTCTTTCCTGTACTTACAAGAGAGCGGGAACTCTGCCTGGAAGGCGGCAGGAACTGCCTCACGTTAGTAGGCGTTTCCTTTTCAATGGAATGTCGTCTCTGGGGTGGCTGCCGTCTCTCTGGCTGGGGTGTTGATGATATGGGCAGGAATTTTGGAGGCTCTAAAGATTGAACCAAATGAAATAAAACTTACTGTGAATTTTCTAACACAAAACCTTTTGACATTTGTGACAAACACTGTAATTCAAAGATGAATTATTTATTTCATTGGAGAGATATTTTAAGATGGTAATGGTAATCCTTAGGAGTAGACTCTGAGGGCTGTTACAGAAGAATCTTTGCAAAGTAAACTTGCTACAGAAATAGCAAGAAAAAAGGAAAAATGTTAGGTGTAGCCAGAAAGATTCCCAAATCATACCAAAATTCTCAATGTACCCTCTTTTTACATTCTCCTTTTTAAAGATAAAATAAGGAAAATCCTTCTTTCTACATGTTTACCAAGACATTTTGTCCTTAGGTTTAAATTAAACTGTATTTAAACTGCAAAAAGTAAGCTTCAGCTTTGATGTTAATATTGTACCATTGTCCTTCTCTGCCTAGTAATATTTTAAGACTGTTTAAAAGGAGACTGCTTTAGTGTCTGAACGGTTCTGGATTCCCATTTTGAAAACAAAAGGAGAACATTAGAAATAAATTATGGTGCCAGAGTTTTATTTAGTGCTTCCTCCTACTCTATCTACAGAGTAGAGCTGCTTCAATGTAGTGGGTGTGGAAAGTGAGAGTCAACACAAAGTTACATATGATCCATCTATTTAGACTGTCCCACCATGAGAAACCACTAAAGGAAAACACAGATATAATTTCCACAGTCAAGAAAAGATACAGAAATCCATTATGTGATTCAATTGGGTCCCTATAATATCCAATTGTGGATAGTCAGTACCTACTGTTTTTGATATAATCTGTGTAAATAATAAAACTACTTAAAGAATTTTTGTGTATGAGAAATCAAGCCAATATATAATTTTTAATACTTCATAATGTTCTTATAAATGAAAAGGATTATTAAAAGCCTTTAGAAATCCCTTAACTTTAGATATCTGTGTTCAGAATCTATCTCCTAAAGAGTTATAAAGGTGTTTTCACTATCTACACAGGTTTTTGGAGATGGGTGTGTGTGGGTGGTAGGTGGAATGATAATAAATATGGTTGTGTTGGGCTTCTGGTTTAAATTTAGCCAAGGAGGTAATCTATCTAAAACAAAACAAAACAGAACGCTACACACACAACTGATTTATAATATTTCCCATGACTATTGTTCGTAAACACACATGTGCCTGCTCTGTCATAAGACCCCGAGGCCTGGTATGATGCCACTCTTGGAAAATAAGTATTTCATCTCCCGATCAGTGAAATGCCTGAGTTAGTTCTTTCTACCCTAGATGATCACAGGGCGCTCTGGGATCTCTGCTCTAGGTCAAGTGTGTTTTGTAGTAAGACATCCGACTACAGCTCTTAGCACCACAACTACTCACTCTTCCTTGTGGACACGGCCTCCAGGACTGGCTCTTCAGGGAAAGAGGGAGACACGCTGCTGCTGCTGGTCGACTTGTGCAGCGTTTCTTCCTGAGCAAAGTACAGGTGGAGAAATCGACTTCTTAGACATTTGTGCTCTAGTGCTACGTAATAACATTTTATTATTAAACAGTTATTTTAACATGAGGCACCAAAGTATGTCAAAGGTTCAAGGCAAGCAAAAGACAAACTAGAAGGGGTTTCAAACAAGACAGGTCTGGGTTTGTGCCTTGGCTCTGCCCTGATGAGAGTGATGTGAAACTGAGCATGCTTCTTTCTGTTTTTTGGAGACAGGGTCTCACTCTGTTGCTCTGGTAGCAGTGCAGTGGTGTGATCTGGGCCCACTGCAGCGTCTACCTTCTGGGCCCAAGTGATCCTCCCACCTCAGACTCCAGTAGCCAGGATCACAGGTGTGCACTTCCACACCCAGCTAATTTTTAAATTTTTTGTAGAGACAGGGTCTTCCTATGTTGCCTAGCTGGCCTTGAGCTCAAGCGATCCTCCCAAAGTGCTGGGGTAACAGGTGTGAGCCGCTGCACCTGGCCTGAGCATGTTTCTTATCTTAGTTTCATCATTGTGAAAGAGGGTATTTAATATCACTTTTTCCATAGGGTTATTGGAAAGATGAAATGAGGTAATGCATTCAAAATGCTTAACACATTACCTGGCACACAATAAAACAGTGGTTAATATTATTAGGGAAATATTTAATACATTTATACAAGTAATACATTGTCAGCCTCATGGGAGCAGATGCTGGGTCTGTCTTGCTCACTGATGTATGTCCAGTACCAAACCCATCACTTAGTAAGTAATGAGTGTTTGTTGAATGAATGGATGAAAAAATAAACATTTCATGAAATGTCATATGAGTCTAGAAAAATGTCTACATTGTGGGCCAGGTACGGTGGCTCGCACCTATAATCCCAGCACTTTGGGAGGCCAAGACGGGCAGATCACGAGGTCAGGAGTTTGAGATCAGCCTGGCCAGCATGGTGAAACCTCACCTCTACTAAAAATATAAAAATGAGCCAGGCGTGGTGGCACGCGCCTGTAGTCCCAGCTACTTGGGAGGCAGAGGCAGGAGAATTGCTTGACCCGGGGAGGCAGCGGTTGTAGTGAGCTGAGATCGCATCACTGCACTCCAGCCTGGGTGACAGAGTGATACTCCGTCTCAGAAAAAAAAAAGAAAAAGAAAAAGAAAAATGTCTACATCGTGCCAAATAAAATTAAAATTCTTATTACCAGTGAGAAGAGATCCTAACTTGTTTTAGACTAAACAAAAATAAAGTATAATATTTATTCCTGAAATATTTACTAAATACTATGCGAGATAAACATTTACTTGTAATTTCTACTTAGTATCTATAGATATATATATATTTTTGAGACGGAGTCTCACTCTGTTGCCCAGGCTGGAGTGCAGTGGCATGATCTCAGCTCACTGCGACCTCCGCCTCCCGGGCTCAAGCAATTCTCCTGCCTCAGCCTCCTGAGTAACTGGGATTACAGGTGAGTGCCACCACGCCCGGCTAATTTTTGTATTTTTTTGTGTGTAGAGATGGCGTTTCACCATGTTGGTCAGGCTGGTTTTGAACTCCTGAGCTCATGATCTGCCTGCCTCAGCCTCCCAAAGTGCTGGGATTACAGGCATGAGACACCACGTCCAGCCTATAGGCATTTTTAGATACAAAAGGAAGAAAATTAGGCAAATATATTCACTCATGACTATGTGAGATAGTGAAAATTTTTTGATGTTCTTAGCTAAAATGACTTAAATTTTTTTAATTTAAAAAATTTTTGTTTTATTTTTACTTTAAGTTCTGGGATACATGTGCAGGATGTGTGGGTTTGTTACATAGGTAAATGTGTGCCATGGTGGTTTGCTGTACCCATCAACCCATCACATAGGTATTAAGCCCAGCATAAAGTAACTTTTAAGAATTCGCTGTTCACCAAAAACTGGCCTCACCTAAAACCTACTGCTGAAATCATTAGTTTCAAGTAAGCTACAATACAAAGTGTCTGGTCAAAGAACAGGGCGGAAAAAAAGGCCACGTAAACGACATAGTTCAAACAAAAAAGGGCTAGGCTGGGCAAGGTGGCTCACGCCTGTAATCCCAGCACTTTGGGAGGCCAAGGCAGGCAGATAACTTGAGGTCAGGAGCTCAAGACCAGCCGGGCCAACATGGTGAAATCCTGTCTCTACTAAAAATATAAAAATTAGCTGGATGGTGGCAGGCGCCTGTAATCCCAGCTACTTGGGAGGCTGAGGCATGAGAATCACTTGAACCCGGGAGGTGGAGGTTGCAGTGAGCCAGGATCGTGCCACTGCACTCCAGCCTGGGCGACAGAGCAAGACTCTGTCTCAAAAAACAAAAACCAAAAAACCCAAAAAAGGTTTAAATAGTGACCTCCACACTTTTGGGACTTATCATGAACACCAAATCAAGCACTGTAAGCAAAGCCTCTATCCCAGATACGATGTAGGTCAGTCATAGTAATCTCCAAAAAACCTAGCATGCAATTAGAACAATCTTTTTCTGTTTACAGAAGGTCAGACAAGAAATAAAAGCAGAGAGTGTCTCTTAGAAAAGGAACAAAGGAGTCATATACAGTACTTCCCAGATAATTATCTGCTGAGGAGTCATACACAATACTTCCCAAATAATTATCTGCTACCCTGATTAAAACAGCAGAAACCATCCCTGTGCCTCACACGTGTACTTCAGCTCACCTTCGCTAGAAATATTTTTAAAGTCGGCTGGGCACAGTGGTTCACGCCTGTAATCCCAGCACTTTGGGAGGCTGAGGTGGGCGGATCACGAGGTCTGGAGCTGGAGACCAGCCTGACCAACATGGAGAAACTCTGTCTCTACTAAAAATACAAAATAAGCTGGGTGTGGTGGCATGTGCCAGTAATCCCAGCTACTCAGGAGGCTGAGGCATGAGAATCACTTGAACCCGGGAGGTGGAGGTTGCGGTGAGCTGAGATCATGCCACTGCACTCCAGCCTGGGCAAGAAGAGTGAAACTCCATCTCAAAAGGAAAAAAAAAAAGAAATATTTTTAAAGTCTAATTTTACACGTTGTTACCTTTGTTAGTGTTAAGGGAGAATTAGATCACGTTTCTTTACTCCAGGGTGGAAACCAGTTAGAGTTAAATTCTGTATAATGAAAATATCATACTTAATTCTGTAAGAAAACTATCTCTGAGAAAAAGTGGCTCTATAAATAAGCAAATAGGTCAGAATGAAGTCTTTTATAAGCAAATTAAAAAGATCAATGATTTTATGACCACAGATGTTAAAATTCTAAAGAAAACTGAAAACATGAGGAAGCACAATCATCTGTATCTGAAGAGGTGGAGCCGGAGCACACTACTGCAGCCCAGCACTGGCCACACTTCCACTCAGCTCAAAGAATGGCAACATCTAGCTGTACATGCGATGTGGTCCTCTCATGTTTCCTTTATATTTCATGTCCCTTTTAGGTACATGTTGAGCTCCAAAACATGGAGAGCAGTGGAGGGAAGCTTTGCTGGAAGGGGCTCTTTTCTCTCATTCAGACTTTATTCTCAGTGACGTCCTATGAAACCTCCAAATTGGATTTTTCCACCACTGCATCTGATCTTTAAAATGACTACTCAATGTCTGATGGTCCTGAAAATCCTTTGAAGAAGCAAAGCAACTTAATCGAGAGGCTTCACTATGCCCAAATGAGCCAGTTCCACTCTAATCAGTCAGAAGAACCTGGGTGCATAACTCAGCATTTCTCAGAATCTTTTTTATCTAGAAAATGTGGTTGGGTGGAATACTCTTTATAGTCCTCTCCAGTTCAAAAATGTAAATCAAAACTAAGTGTCTTTCCTGCCAGGCATGGTAGCTCGCCCCTGCATTCCCAGCACTTTGGTAGGCTGAGGCCAGAGGATCGCTTAAGCCAGGGAGTTTGAGACTAGCCTAAGGAACATGGTGAGAGTTTGTCTCTACAAAAAATAATAAGAAAATAATAGCCAGGTGTGGTGGTGCACACCTATGGTCCTAGCTACTTGGGAGGCTGAGGCAGGAGAATCCCCTGAGACCAAGAGGTCGAGGCTGCAATGAGCTGTGTTCACACCACTGCCCTGTAGCCTGAGTGACAGAGCGAAACCCTGTCTCGAAAATAAAAGTCTAAGAAAGTCTTTCCTGAATCTCCGTTTTAAAGTAACACTAAAAATTTGCAGATATGGTTCTAGGGGAATTAACATTTCAGTTTAGGTGAATTTAAAGGTAACATTTTGATTTTTAAAATCTTTTTATTTATTATTATTATTTTGAAACTGAGTCTTGCTCATTCACCCAGGCTGGAGTGCAGTGGTGTGATCTCAGATCACTGCAATTTCCGCCTCTTGGGTTCAAGCGATTCTCCTGCCTCAGCCTCCCTAGTAGCTGGGATTATTGGCAAGTGCCACCATGCCTGGCTAATTTATATATATATTTTTAGTTTTGCCATGTTGGCCAGCCTGGTCTCAAACTCCTGACCTCAAGTGATCCTCCCGCCTTGGCCTCCCAAAGTGCTGGGTTTACAGATGTAAGCCACTACGCCCAGCCACATTCTGATTTTTTAAAATCCTAATAATGCTGAATGCTTTTATTTCATGCTTACTCTTTATATATATAAATTATATATATTATATATAGTATATATTATTTATATATTTATTTATATTTATATAAATGTAATTATTTATATTTATATAAATATATTATTTACATATAATTTATATATTATATATAACATATATAATTTGTATAATTTATATAAATATATTTATATAAATATAATTATATATTATATATAATATAATTATATATATACACATATACACTTTACGAGGTCTCATGAGACTCTTATAGATGCAACTGAGGCAAAAGTAAGCACATTTGGAGTACTAGATTTTGGCACTCAGAGGGTGCATTCTCTATTTAAAAAGCATATACTCAAGATTTAAAAATAACATAAGAAAACCACATAACATATTAATTTTTATGTTCATTAATTAACTAGTTAATTAGAGACAAGTTCTCACTCTGTTGCCCAGGCTGGAGTGCAGTGGTGCAATCATGGCTCACTGCAGCCTTGACCTCCAGGGCTCAAGTGATCTTCCCATCTCAACCTTCCAAGTAGCTGGGACTACAGACATGTGCCACCATGCCCAGCTAACTTTTAAAAAACATTTGTTGTAGAGACGGGGTCTCACTATGTTGCCCAGGCTGGTCTCGAACTCCTTAGCCTCAAGTGATCCTCCCACCTTGGCCTCCAAAAGTACTAGGATTACAGGCATAATCTTATACTGGCCACCATGTGTGGCCAGTATATTAATTTTTTAAAAATGCTTTTCCAAGAAGGAAATAACTAAGGTTTGACATTAGCATCTGATGTACCTTGATTACCCAATGCACATACAATATACTGAAATGTTACAGATATAAAGAATTGTTTTAAATTTTACGTTGCTCCCCCAGAAGTGTTAATGGCCCACTGTCCCTGAATACCCACAACAGGCAGCTGCACACAATTTTCTGATTGCTTAAAATGAATCTTCTCCAGGATTAGTTCTTGCCCCAGAGGAATCACACTAACCTCTGCTAGCATATCTTGGGTAACTTAGACACTCAGAAGGAGAGCCAGGGAACTGTTAACAGTCAGGTCTCCTGAGAGAAGGGTGTGTGAGTACACACGTGTGTGCATATGTGTGGGTACATGCATGTGCATGTACAGACTCCTGTTTGCTGCATACCCTCTCGTGTCTATTCCAACTGCCTAATCACTTTTTGCTTATCTGGGGAATTCTGATGGGTCTCTGACATTTCTAGAACATCAGTCTCTTCTACTGCCTGGCCTGCTTCCCGAAATCTGCTTGTGTTTTTTGTCTGATCTCAGAGGCTGGCTGATCCTCACTGAGTTAGGGCTTCTCTAGCTCAGAACCATGGCTGCAGGAAAGCCTCTCGCACTGCTGCTTTGCTCCAGGGCTCACTGGTGCCGAATACTGCCAGAGTATAGTTTCAGGGGCCAGTCTGGGCACGTAACTCACTTAACAGGAATGGAAATCTTCCTCCTCCTGAAAAGAGGATCAAGCAGGGCTCAGACACAGCTCCTTTGCTTAGCTTTCCTACTGGAAGCTTTGATATGGCTACAATCAAAACTCATCTTTCAGTAAAAAAAAAAAAAAAAAAAAGTTACCAAGATAGGCTAGCAAAGGTTATTAAAGATAACAAGAGACACTGAAGTTAGGTTTCCAGGAACTGAAGAAAAGAGTAATGGAAAGAAGGTCTGGGTGTGGGGGTCTAATTTTATAGGGGATCTGTGACTAAAACACTGTATGGCTTTTCTAACTCAGTTTCTACCTGGCTAGGGGCTCAGTTTTCTCACTGAAAAGTAATGATGCTGGACAAAATTTCTAAGGCCCCTTCCAGTTAAAAAAATACTGGTTTCTTTCTTTTTTTTTTTTTTTTGGACACTAGAGTCTTGCTCTTCAAGAGATTCTCATGTCTCAGCCTCCCAAATAGCTGGGATTACAACCATGCACCACCATGCCTAGCTAATTTTTGTATTTTTAGTACAGATGGGGTTTCACTATGTTGGCCAGGCTGGTCTTGAACTTCTGGCCTTAAGTGATCCGTCCGCCTCAGCCTCCCAGTGCTGGGATTACAGGCGTGAGCCACCATGCCCAGCCTTTGTTCTTTTCTTTAATTCAGGCATTCTCATGTACCGTGAGAATACTAGCAAGTTCATGAGATACATGGACTTCAGAGTTAGACAGACTTGGGTTTCAAATCTAACTTTATCATTTACTAACTCTTTGAACCTAGGCAACCATTTCATGTGCCTGTTTTGTTATCTTCTTCTTCTTTTTTTGGAGAGAGTCTTGCTCTGTCACCCCTGTTGGAGTGCAATGACACAATCTCGGCTCACTGCAACCTCCGCCTCTGGAGTTCAAGTGATTCCCATGCCTCAGCCTCCCGAGTAGCTGGGATTACAGGTGTGCACCACCACACCGGGCTAATTTTTCTCTTTTTAGTAGAGATGGGGTTTTGCCATGTTGGCCAGGCTAGTCTTCAACTCCTGACCTCAAGTGATCTGCCCACCTTGGCCTCCCAAAGTGCTGGGATTATAGGTGTGAGCCATTGCGCATGGCCAGTTTTCTTATATTTTATACAAGGATCATAGCTGCTATCTATGGTCTTTGTGAAGACAAACTGATTTATATCTAAAGTCTAACAGAGGCTGGGCATGGTGGCTCATGCCTGTAATCCTAGCACTTTGCGAGGCCGAGGCAAGAGGAATGCTTGAGACTGGGAGTTCAAGACCCCTGTCTCTATAAAAAAATAAAAACAAACAACTAAAAACCCCAGCAACAATGAAAGTCTAACACAGGGTTAGCTCAATACAAAACCATTATAGCGACACCATGCCCTGTGCTTTTTTTTTTTTTTTTTTGAGACAGGGTCTCACTCTACCACCCAGGCTGGAGTGTAGTGGTACAATCACAGCTCACTGCAGCCTTGACCTCCTGGGCTTAGGTGATCCTCCCACCTCAGCCTCCCAAGTAGCTGCGATTACAGGGATATGCCACCATGCCAGACTAAGTTCTTGTATTTTTAGTAAAAGTGGGGTTTTGCCATGTTGCCCAGGCTGGTCTTGAACTCCTGGGCTCAAGTGATCCGCCTGCCTCAGCCTCTCAAAGTGCTGGGATTACAGGTGTGAGTCACTGTGGTTGGTCTTTTTTTTGCGGGGGGGGACTTGCTCTGTCACCCAGGCTGGAGTGCAGTGGCAATGATTATAGCTCACCACAGCCTTTAACTCCTGGGCTCAAGTGATCCTCCTGCCTCAGCCTTCCAGTAGCTAGGACTACAGGTGTGCACCAAATGAAGTCTCACTCTGTCGCCCAGGCTGGAGTGCAGTGGCGTGATCTTGGCTCACTGCAACCTCCACCTCCTGGGTTCAAGCAATTCTCCTGCCTCAGTCTCCCAAGTAGCTGGGATTACAGGCATGCATCACAAAGCCTGGCTATTTTTTTTGTATTTTTAGTAGAGATGGGGTTTTGCCATGTTGGCCAGGCTGGTCTTAAACTTCTGAACTCAAGTGATCCACTCACCTTGGCCTCCCAAAGTACTGGGATTACAGGCGTGAGCCACCACACCCAGCCAAATTTTTGTAGAGATGGGGGTCTTGCTATGTTGCTCAGGCTGGCCTCAAACTCCTGATCTCGAGCTATCTGACTGGCCTGGCCTCCCAGAGTGCTGGGATTATAGCTGTGAGCCACCCACCTGGCTCATTATAGCTTTCTTTAAGGCACTTAGCAGTATGTATCAAAAGCTACACAAATGTGCATTCTTTCACCCAGAAAATTCAGTTCTGGCAAAAAAAAAAAATTGAGAAAGAAACAAAAGCAAAAATATAACAATGTTCACATAGTGTTGCTCTTAATAATGGTAGAAAACTGGAAAATGAAAGCAAAAACATAATGTTCACAATAGTGTTGCTCTTTATAATGGTAGAAAACTGGAAACAGCCTAAATCTTAAAAAATAGAGGACTGAGTAAATAAAATACAGTAGGTTATTACTGTGGAATACCACACAGCTATCAGGCATCATGTTGGAAAAGGACATTTAATCAAATGGAAATTGCTCATATTTTGTTAATTAAAAAGCAAGTCAGTGTCTTTGTTCTTAAAAGAATTAAGGAGTTTTTTCTTTTTATATAAAACAGTTGAGTTTGTAATTGATAATGTAAATAATTAACATCATTCTAATTTCATGAGTATTTGATCTACAATAATATATTAACTGATTACAAAGAAATTCAGAACTAAATAAGGGTTATTTAAGCAGTAAACTGTTCTGTGTGATAATTTGGACCCACATTTAAGTTAACCCCCAAACACAGCAATGTGTGGTAAGAAGTTTCTGGTGGATGTCATCAAATGAAAACTCTGCAGGGGAGCACAGCTGATATTGTGGAATGGTGGAAGGTATCTCTTAAAAGAATATAGAGTTTCTATGGAAAAGGAGATTAAATAAGATCACGTATATATACAGAGTTTACCATACAGTAGGTATTATGGTGGCTAGAAAGCATTTATTAAAATGTAAAACAAACAAACCAAAAAAACCCCACAAAAACCAAAAACATTGCTAGAATGAGTCCTGATAAGTTAACAGGTGAAATTTACATACACGTGACAGCATTTCCTATATCAAGAGTGAATAAAGTGTTCAGTTTACAGTTGGAAGTGTCACTGCTTCCTCTTCAAGGGGAAATTCTGGTGTCTCCTTCAATTGTTCTGTGGGCTTCATTACAGAGAGTGGACAAAGAGGCTCATGCAAGGGGCAGCAGAGGCAGGTGGACTCCACTGGTGAGTTCAGTGCCAGCTGAGTACTGACTCAGCAGTGGGCCACTCCCTCTTGGAATGGAAAAGAAATTTCACATTGCTCTATGAGGCCTTCAGGAGGCCCTGAAGGATGGGAAGGGTGGGTGGTGGTGGGTGGGGAAGGCTCTAGTCCCCATCTCCATTTCCAGCTGATTGACACTGTACTTCTGTGTAAGTCTGGTGTCAAGAAAAAGTTTTGGCACTTAAAAACATGTTTGGGCCCAGGTGTGGTGGCTCATGCTTGTAATCCCAGCACTTTGGGAGGCCGAGGTGGGCAGATAACCTGAGGTCAGAAGTTCGAGACCAGTCTGGCCAACATGGTGAAACCCTATCTCTACTAATATTACAAAAACTAGCTGAGTGTGGTGGTGGGCACCTGTAATCCCAGCTACTCGGGAGGCTGAAGCAGAATTGCTTGAACCCGGGAGTCGGAGGATGCAGTGAGCTGAGGTCGCTCCACTGTGTTCCAGCCTTGGCAATGTAGTGAGGCTCCATCTCAAAAAACCCCCCCAAAAAACCATGTTTGGAAGCCAGCCATTAAATTTGAGGAGGAGAGGGAAAATGGGGAAGTAGGTGATACAACTGAGAAGCAGGAAGAAAAAGAATAAAGTCAACCTTTTTGAGACTGCCCTTTATTTGTTCTCTACTGTCTTCTACAGCCCTGAGTCTTCACTTGGTCTTTGCTCATGGTGCAACGTCAGCCAGGAATTCACTAGACAAGTCAGCAGAGTCACTAGATGCCAGACATGCAGTAAGGAGCAGAGGTTTGAGTAAGACTGCATTTCTGCTATTGGGAAGGCACGGGAGAAATACATCAACATGCTGTGGCACAGCCCGGCTCACATCTCATAACAAAATGGAAAGCCCTCTGCTGTCTTTTATACTCATTCTAAAACCTAAATCCTACTACTCTTCCACGTGGCTTCTCCAGCCTTTTCAGTCCCTGTGGTGTTTACTGACTCACTGAACTGACCTCTGCCGTCTCTGGACTTCTGTAGTGTCCAGTCACATTCTACATACCCTAAGACACTGTGCTCACTAAGCACTTGGAATGATTCTTAGGTATGTTTTTTATATTCTATTTAAATTATAAACAACAGAAGGGCAGAGACCATCATATTTCTGTCTGTACCTGCAGTACTTACTGAAGGCATTCAATAAATATTTGAATGGAAAAAATGGAGTGGTACTGGAAAAAAAAAAGAAGTTGGTGAAAAGAATAGGAGAAGAGTTTAAAAATGCACTAAAAAGTAGGGAACAAAAAATTACTATAAAATGTGAACGAAAAAAAACCCTGTAATGTGACATGGGATGTATTTAACAGTCTCTGTATTTGTGGCCATTTGTAAGACAGCAAATATGACCAGAGGTAAGTCAATCTTGGTTTAGGAATAGATAGAATTCCTCAACATCTTTTCCAGTTTCATGCTTCTGGAGCAAAACTACCACGTTTTGGAACTGGAAGAGACCTAGAAATCACAGAATCAGCTCCTCTCATCAAAGGGAGAATACGCTGATGGCCAGCAAGATCAAGTGTCCATTCCAGCACCCAGTCCGTACACCCTGAGCGGGCCTAGGGCAGGTGCCACATGGAGAATTGTCTTTACTAATTCACACTGTAAGGAAACACAGTTTGAGTTTCCAGGTGTTCATTCATGTCTATATAAATGTCAGTTCATTAAATGGCTTTACAACAGACCTTCTTCTGAGCTGGCTTTAACCAGTTGATGATCTGAAATTAGCTAATGTTAATAGTGTTTTAGAATAAACACAATTCATCTACCACTATTAAAGAGAACTACTGTCTCATCAATAGAAAGTTTATTAAAACTTTGATTAATACAAACACAAAACTTGAAACAGTTGATTAAAAATAAAGACTTTGGTTTATCTGTGTTTTCTAAATGTTAACATATGAATACATTTAGAAGTTTTCAGCTGGGCGTGGTGGCTCACGCCTGTAATCCCAGCTCTTTGGGAGGCTGAGGCAGGTGGATCACTTGAGGTCAGGAGTTTGAGACCAGCCTGGCCAACATGGTGAAACCCCATCTCTAATAAAAATATAAAAAAATTAGCTGAGCATGGTGGCAGGCACCTGTAATCCCAGTTACTCGGGAGGCTGAGACAGGAGAATCGCTTGAACCTGGGAGGTCGAGTTTGCAGTGAGCAGAGATTGGGCCATTGTGCTACAGCCTGGCTGGCAGAGCGAGACTCTGTCTCCAAAAAAAAAAAAAAAAAAAAAAAATATATATATATATATATATATATACACACACACACACACACACATATATACACACACATATATATACACATATATATAAAAGAATTTCAAATATATATAAAAGAATTTCAAAACTTCTAAATATATATATTAAAAAGGAATTATGTATATATTTAAAAAGGAACATAAGGCATTCCCACATTTAATACCTTTGCTCTTCCCTTATACTTAAAAACATCAATTTTAGATTGAAGAGGAAGAGAGGAATACGCTTATTTCCATACCCTTGTCTAAGATCATTCACTCTGTTCCATAAATCTTTGAGATTTCTACCACCACTGACTTAAGAACTATGATTCATCCGGGTTTAAACCAGTAGCTAGTGACAAAAGTCAGAGGTAGCTGGAATCCAGATCTCACATTTCTCTTTTCGGCAATTTATTGCTTGCTTCATGTTCTAACTGATGAAAATGGCCTCTCTTTGATTAAGAAGAGTGTGCCTAGCAAATCATCTCAAGATTTGGATTTGGGGCATTACCACTTTATCTTCAAAAAGAGGACCACAAAGAAGGTTACAGAGGCTGCAAATTTATCTGATCATGCCTTGCTGTGTAGTGTTGCCTCATGAGGTGATGAAAGAGGACTAGAAAAGGAGTTAAAAGTAGGCCTGTGGGGGTGCAGGAAGGTAGTTCCTGGCAGCTGCAGATTGGTGCCACCCAACCAAACTCTGTGAAGGGACTGTGATCTGTGTAGCCGTGGTCACAGAGGTTCCTGGGCCCTTGAGTGCCATGACTGAGAAACTGAGTTCTTCATTTATTTAATTTTAATATAACTTAAATTTAAATAGCCACATGTGGGAGTGGCTACCGAATTGGAGCTCTGTCTAGATATCTGAGCTAGATGCTTTTAAAATGTAAATCACTGTTCTTATAGGTTAGTATGAATTTATCTAAATATTTGAGTGTCTACTGAGTGTTAGAAACTGGTGATATAAAGTAAATTCAGCATGGTTCCTCCTCTCAGGGAACATGTACTCTGGTGGGACAGAGAAATAAGTGAATAATTACATGACAGGGTGTTAAAGTGTTCCAGTGAAACAGAGGGATGAGTGGGTTATGATAGAATCACAGAGAAGGGGTCCTGGCAGGCTAGTGGTATCCAGGAGACTTCCTAAGACAAAGCGAGGCCACGCTGACTCTGACAAGGACGTGAGGGGCAGACCGCAGACACAGCTAAGCACCAAGCTGAGCACCGATGGGCTGTGCAGGAAGAGTGAACGGCTGTGCGTGGCTGAGGCATAAACCAGAGACAGGGAAGGTGTGACATTAGACCAGAGGTGTCTGCAGGCGTGTGATCAGGGGATGCAAATTTTATTCTGTAAGTGCCAGGGAGCCTTCCGAAGGTTTTAAGCAGGAGTTACAAAGAGCGGTGAGTGCAAGACGGAATTTGGGGAGCCAAGAAGAAAGTCAGATAGACTGAAGAGACGGTGAGAAAGAGAGACCAACTGACGTTAGTAATATGAATATTTCTTATTGTTATTAGTGTTTGAAAAACCTTTAGTAGCAAAATTATTATTGGTATTGCTTGGAATGGAGTGGAGACCGATGAGAGGAGAATTAAAGAATAATTCCTCAGATTCTACCTTGGATGGAGCCAGCAACTAGGATAGCAAGCAGAAGATGAGAAGCTAGGGGGTATGTGTGCATGCACGCAGGTGTGTGTATGTGCATGTGTGTAGCTAGGGTGTGAAGCTGGGGTGTGTATGTGTGTGTAGCTAGGGTGTGTGTGTGCACGCATGCATGTGTAGCTAGGGGAGGTGTGTATGAAGCTAGAGTGTGTGTGTGCGCATGTGCGCGTGTAGCTAGGGTGTGTGTGTGAAGCGAGGGTGTGTATGTGTGTGTGTAGCTAGGGTGTGTGTGTGCACGCACACATGTGTAGCTAGGGGAGGTGTGTATGAAGCTAGAGTGTGTGTGTGTGCATGTGTGTGTGTAGCTAGGGTGTGTGTGTGAAGCTAGGGTGTGTGTGTGAAGCTAGGGTGTGTATGTATGTGTGTGTGTAGCTAGGGTGTGTGTGTGCGCGCGCATGCGTATGTAGCTAGGGTAGGTGTGTGTGTTTGATTTGGCAAGTGGGTGAGGGAGAAGGGAGGGAAGAAGAGAATTTCATTTTACCTAAGTTGATTTTGAGGAAGGGCAGTGGAGACCCAGCAGGCAATGACGTATACAATACTGACATCGCAGATGGGGGCTTGAGATGGATGTGGGAAGCATTAGCATATAGGTGGATGTTGACATCAGGAAGGATATGAGATCTTCCCTCTCCACAAGGGGCAGTAGGTGGATGATGAAATCTGGAGAATACTATTAGAATTTTCTTTTTTGGAGTTTTGTCTGTTGGTATTACTATTACAAAAAGAACAATCCTAAGTATGAGTGTGTGTATATGTGTGTGTGTATTTTAGAAGAATCTATGCAAAATGTTTTTCTTAACTTTATTTTTTTGTTCCCCAAACGAGAAGATATTAAGGTAATATAAGCTGGAAAACTTGCTGACTTGTTTTAACCCCACATATAATTTAAGACTACATATATGTGTGTGTGTGTGTATACATATATGTATTTTTTTTTTCTTTTTCTTTTTTTTTTTTTTTTGAGACAGAGTCTCACTCTGTTGCCCAGGCTGGAATGCAGTGGCACAGTCACAGCTCACTGCAGACTTGAACTCCTGGGCTCAAGGAATCCTCCTGCCTTAGCCTCCCAACTAGCTGGGACCAGAGGTATGCACTACTGCATGTGGCTAACTTTTTAATTTTTTGTAGAGACAGGGTCTTGCTATGTTGCCCAGGCTGGTCTCAAACTCATGGGCTCAGCGATACTCCTGCCTTGGCCTACCAAAGTGCTGGGATTATAGACGTGAGCTAACATGCCCGACAAAAATTTTAGTGTTCTATAATTATAGCCACTATATTGGTCTTTACTAATAGAAAGTAATCTATTATTTAATTTCCTGCAAACCAAATTAATTTTAATCCTAGCTTTACTGGTTGAAAAATGGGAAGAGATTAAGCAACAACTGA
Organism: Homo sapiens; assembly: GCF_000001405.40. Taxonomy (NCBI): domain Eukaryota; kingdom Metazoa; phylum Chordata; class Mammalia; order Primates; family Hominidae; genus Homo; species Homo sapiens. The sequence continues at coordinate 12,479,618 of NC_000018.10, forward strand.
AGCAAGATAATCAGTAAACTGCATCAGACAGCATTAAGCACCCTCATCTTGGGAGTCAAGCTGGGTGAACTGGGGCCTCACCTCAGACTCAGAGCTGTCCAGTTCGGCCAGAGTTGGGGCTCTGAGGAGCTTCTTCCGCTGTGCAGGCACCTGCTGTGAGGTACTTAACCCGTTTTCTTTTGTTTGTGATGTCAAACCTCCATTCACCATAGATGACTCCACAAGATTCTTTGTAGATTCAGGGGTAGTCACATCTGGTAAAAAAGCAAAAGCTTACCTTTTCTTGAGCCAAGAAAGGTTATCTGTGTTGGAAGCATACCAGGTAACAGAGCATTTCATACAAAAACACAGAGGCTTGATTCAGTAACACCTTGCCTATGTATAGAAAACTTCTTCTGGTTGGATATTAACTGTCAAATTCAATTAAAGGAAACTTTAAAATGAATAATTACATATTCATACTTGTAGATTAGAATTTAGACTTAAAAGGAATCCTACAGATAACTGACTCACAACTTGTTTATTTTCCAGATGAAGAAACTGGGGCTGAGAGAAGCTAGTTTACTTCACAGCCTCTAAGGATCCAGTGATGTATGGATGAAGAGAGGACACACACAAAGCCTTACCAGACACATGGCTGTAAGATCTGAAAAAGTTTTGGTTTGAAAATAAAAATGGCTAATAATCTATATTCATATAAACATATTTAATGTGAACACAAAAAGTCTGGGATACATTTCCTCTGATGAGTCTGATTTATATTATTAAGAGCTCAAATTTGGATGAGAAGGCAATACAACAAATGACAGACAATGAAGCAGTCTATAGTGTGGTGTGGGGGATGGTTTGGGTCTCTACTGCTATCTAATCTCCTTTCATCTGTAAAATGAGGATACTAACAGACGTGGGCTTGTTGTGAGCATTAAACAGGTTAATAATTGCATATAAAATTCTGTGCCTAGTACAGGCAGTGAACAATAAATGTTAGCAATTATTCATACTGATTTTGATCTCTATTGGTGAATAAATAAACTAAGGCTCAGATGGATTCGGCAAGTGGCACCATGGTGTCATGCCACAGCTGATCCATGAGTCTTTGTCAGTACTGACTCTGATGGCCTGCTTTTTGGTACCATAGCCTGGAATCCTCCAAGGCAAATGGAACTACTTTTCTTCAGTATTTCAAATGAAGAGTTAAAAATGGGCTAAATTTAGTAACTATAAAATCGGTACATTTATAAGTGAAAAAGAGCAGTTACCGCATGATGTAATTTATAGACCAGCACACTCGACTGCTCTTTGCATGCAGTCTGTGAGGCTGCCGTAGATGGGGCAAAGGGCATGCTAAGTACTAAAGTGAAAAAGACTGACTGATGCTCTTTTAGAGGGGAAAGCACTGTAACTGAGGTTACTATAAAAAACAAGAATGTGGCCCGGCATGGTGGCTCACGCCTGTAATCCCAGCACTTTGGGAGGCCGAGCCAGGAGGATCAATTGAGGTCAGGAGTTTGAGACCAGCCTGACCAACATGGTGAAACCCCGTCTCCACTAAAAATATAAAAATTAGCCAGGCGTGGTGGTGGACGCCTGTAATCCCAGCTACTCGAGAGGCTGAGGCAGGAGAATCAAAGTGAGACTGTGTCTCAAAAAAAAGAACAACCCCCGCCCCCCGCAAGAATGTGCTGTTTACAGTAGGATATTCCCCCCTAGCAAGTAATATTTACACACCTTAAGTACGAGAGGTAGAGCTCCAGGAAACACTTGGTATATAAGTGTGTTCTAGTGCAGCTTTCCCTGACATTATTTATAAAAACCATGTAAATTATTTCTTATTACAAATGATATATATCTTATTTAATATTTATAATTTCTACTTATTTTTGAAGGGTTTGAACAAGCTAGAAATAATGGAAGGAAAAGAAAAAGAAAAAAGGGAAAGAGAAGGGAGGAAGAAAGGAAAGAAGGAAGAACAGCTGTCCATTAATTATCTTTTTACATAAAATTTTTAATTGAGAACTTGACAACACATGCATTTCTTTTACTGTTACCTTCCCAGGCATTAAATAGCTAGAACAAATAAATAATTGGTGATGGTGGTGGGGAGCACTGAAAGGGACAAAAGGCAAAAAGCAGCAAGTTTTTATACAAATTATAAAGGTAAAAATCTTAAATCTTTCAATAAGGAGATAAGAGAAATAGAATTGTTGATATTTTGTAGGAATCTTCTAAAAGGAGATATAATGAGAAATAGAATTGTTGACATTTTGTGGGAATTTTCTAGGAGAAAGCACAAGTATTTCAAACGCACACACCTTCCACCTTTCCTAACCACGTTCTCACAGAGGCTCCCACCGCTGACCTGGCAGCAGGTCACTTTCTAATTACTATAATTGGAGTTATCATAATAAGAGAAACACAACCAGCTTCTCATGCTGGCCCCACATTTCCAATCGACAAAGCCAGAGTTTCCCTAAGAATAGCACTGTATGCATACCACTGCACAGAGGAACACTCAAATAGTTTTGGCAGTTATTTATTTTTTATTTGAGACAGTCTCGCTCTGTCTCTAGGCTGGAGTGCAGTGGCGCGATCTCAGCTCACTGTAACCTCTGCCTCCTGGGTTCAAGCGATTCTCCTGCCTCAGCCTCCAGAGTAGCCGGGACTACAGGCATGTGCCACCACGCCCAGCTAATTTTTTTGTATTTTTAGTAGAGTCGAGGTTTCGCCATGTTGGCCAGGATGGTCTGGATCTCCTGACCTTGTGATCCGCCTGCCTCAGCCTCCCAAAGTGCTGGGATTACAGGCATGAGACACCGCACCAGGCCCATATTTATTTTAATGTGCTGCAAAATAAATAAATAAATAAATACTTTTTGCTGCAGAAAAAAAATACTGTATTTTAAGATCCATGATTTTATTGCTTAAGAAATGTTTAAAGTTGTTTATGGCAGATTAAAAATTTTTAATAGTACCGGGGCACTTAAGGCTGGCAGAAATTCATAAAGATGGCATATGAACTGAATTTTAGGGAACACTGTCAAATGCCAGTGGCTGCCTTGAGTTCAGTTTATTCTCAATGCAGGGGATTTGAGAAATTGTCCAATAGCTCTGTAATTGCCTGAACCCTGTGCTATGAGATTGATAATTATTATTTTAGCTAATTGACTGAGACTACTGAAAGAAAACATCTGTACTAAATTCAAAGCTTTGAGAAAAACTGAATTAATAAAAAACGGGTTATGTAACAGCCAGGTTTCAAGATGATCTAAACACTTGAGTGATTTTATCTCATACCACAGACTGGCAAAAGACTTAATTGCACTTTTTTTTTTTTTTTTTTTGAGACAGGGTCTCATTCTGTTGCGCAGGTTGGGGTGCAGTGGCACAATTATGGCTCACTGCAGCCTTGACCTCTCGGGCTCAGGCGATCCTCCCACCTCAGCCTCCCAAGTAGCTGGGACTACAGGTGTGCACCACCACGCCTAGCTAATTTTTTGGTATTTTTTTGTGTGTGTGCGTAGGAGACAGGGTTTTGCCATGTTGCCCAGGCTGGTCTTATTTTAAACTCCTGGGCTTAAGCAAACTGCCCACCTTAGCCTCCCAAAGTGCTGGGATTATAGGCGTGAGCCACTGTGCCCGGAAAACATATTTTTAAGAAGTTTGATCACTTATAGTTTTCTGTTTGAATGAATAAATTATCATTTTTACTTTAATGTATCAAATGAGAAAAGCAAAACACTTGGATAGGCTTTGTATTTCTTGTACATAAGATGGCATTTCTTAAAAAAAAACTGGTGATATTTATATGTAAGCAAAATATTTAAGAGGTGAAATATTTAGATATGGCTTTAGAAATCACATACCTTAGGTTTAGAACCTAAAATGCATACCCATGATATTAAATATATGTGTCTGCTGCCTTATTTAGTGTGAGGAAATGTGACTGGCATATAAATTATATATTTAATACCTGTATAGGAAAAATAAGTTATACTTACCATAAGTGATGTTGAATAGGTTAAGATTTTCACTAAGAATTAATATTTCTAAGATATACTTAAGCAGCAGAATATTCATCATTATCTTGTACTTAAGTTCAGAGTTATCATCTACACTATATGTTTACAATGTTTCTCACTAGTTTGTTCATTTTCTAACTCAGAAAATGCACTCCAATCTTTGCATTTAAGTTAGAAGAATGAATCAATCTTTTCTATTTATAATTTGGGAAATTTTAATTAATAGTTAAAATGCAACAATGAAAAACATAAAAGCAGCACAAGAAATCAAGAATGAAGCATTAGAAAATCACGAAGTACATGAAGACATGAAATAAATTATAGCAAATGATAAGCAGTGAAACCAAATAAAAATTCTCTGCTACCCTTTTACACTAAGAAATTTAAGTACCAAGAGTTTTCTTTCCAAACAGAACCCATCGTATAGGCTGCAAGAACACAGAACACACAACATACCTATAGATGAGGTGTGTAAGCATGCATACTGTCAAGATCAGCAATGTGTACCTAATTTAGATTAGCCAATGGTCAATGTGTTTAGGCAGCCAACCACTCGCTTTCTTATTACGGTCCAACTAATGGAAGCATCTTTTGTAGATATTCAAAAAAGGTAGAGTATCTGTAATGTATATTGCCAACTTTTGGGGATTAGTAGTGACATATATATTACTATGTTCCTGTGTTTATTTTCCAGACCAAATTTTTTACAAGGTCACTTTGCAAATGGCTGAAAAAATAAAAATTCCAAATGAATAAAGAAAATAGAAAAAGCTCTTCAGTGGTCAGTCAAAAATAGTAAGTGAGTGATTGTAAAATATTACAGTCATGCCTGAGACCTACACAAATAAGCAAAAGATTTAAAAACAGTTGGAAACTAGCTTTGTAGCTGGAAGATACTCAATAAATATTCATATACAGAATATACTAGAACTCTTTAAATATGAATTTGTACGTAAGGTATGCCAACAATTCTTTGTTATCTTAAGAGGCATTCTATGGCATTTAAAAGAAAATCCCAAAAGAAAATATTTGTGCCAACATCTCATCTCATTTTATATTTAAAACAGTAGCTTCCAAAATTAAAAACTCTAACTTGCAAAATATTTTATTGGGATTAAGTTGGCTTTGAAAATTCACCTGGCTGGGTGAGGTGGCTTACGCCTGTATTCCTAGCACTTTGGGAGGCCAAGGTTGGTGAATTGCTTGAGCCCAGGAGTTTGAGAGCAGCCTGGGCAACATGGTGAAACCCTGTCTCTATTTCCTAAAATAAATAAATAAATAAATAAAAGAAAATTCACTCATATATATTTAAAGTTTTAATTTATAAAGGGTTGATTTTATAGCTCAAATTTAGTTATTTCACTATTAATCTCTGTTTAACAGAAGGGTCTAAACTTGTACTACAAATCTGAGGCACATAATTATATATTACAACCAAAGCCATTACAATGCTCTTGTATTTTTATACTCTTTTTTTTTTTTTTTTGAGACTGAGTCTCGCTCTGTTGCCCAGGCTGATGTTCAGTGGCGCGATCTCGGCTCACTGCAACCTCCGCCTCCTGGCTTCAAGCAATTCTCCTGCCTCAGCCTCCCAAGCAGCTGGGACTACAGGTGTGTGCCACCACGCCTGGCTAATTTTTTTGTATTTTTAGTAGAGACGGGGTTTCACCGTGTTAGCCAGGATGGTCTCCATCTCCTGACCTTAAGATCCGCCCACCTCAGCTTCCCAAAGTGCTGGGATTACAGGCGTGAGCCACCGCGCCCGGCCTGTATTTTTATACTCTTAATCAGCATTCAAAGTCATTCATGACTAGGCTCTATCCACTGAGCACAAAGATACAAAAGAGTTCTTGCCCATCAACTGAGGTGCTGTCATCTGAAGTAGATAACCATTTTAAGTTTAGTTACTTAAATAACTGAATGCTTTAGAGAACAGGAAGTAGATGTGTCAGAATTTTGTTTCTATGAAGTTTTTTTCTATTCTCTTAGGGCAAAGGTCTGCTGTAGGCTTTAACCTCATTGCTCTAGAAGAGCCTGGACAGTGACAGCCGCCATTAAGATGGGCACCATCTTCTAGAACCATGAGTGTGGTGTGATGGTTCTTCCAAAATTGCTTAGGAGAAAACAGATTTACTGTAGTCTTGTATCTTTTTTACATATATTGTTTTCAAACAAGCAGAATGTTTTATTTTACTGACCACGGCTTAGCAGAAGCCTTTCAATTTTCTTTTTTAACATGTTTGAACAAGCAGATGAATGAAATGTATTTCACAGAAACCACAAAACCCACGTCAGGTGTAAAAGTGTTTTTGTTTTTTTTACCTGACAAGTCAAAACTGTAAGACATGCTAAGTGGCCGCATTGCTGAAAAAAAGAAAACAAACAATAAAAAGAAAATAATTCAGCTGTTAGGAATATACAGAGAGGACAAAAAAGGGAACGGATTAATGAAGACCCTTAGTGGCTACATGTCAGACTCTAAGGCAGGCAGAAGCTAGTGAATGAAAATCTGAAATACATTAAAACCATGCAAGAGTCTTAGTTTCAGTTATATCACTAAGACTTCAAATGGAGGAACAATAAAAGGAAAAAGTAACTTTTTAGAAAACAAGTAAAAAATGAAAGCATGATAAAAATACAAACATTTTAAAGAATCACAGAATAAGATGTTTGACTTAAATATAGATTTTTAAAAAAGCCATGTTTTAAAACATGATTTTAGGGAACATACAACATCTTTAAAATTTCAGAGTAAATTTATCCTTCAATAATTTATGTCAGGATGAAAATTTGGCTCTCAGAATAAAGGTGAAACAGTTCATAAAAAATTCTCAGTTCAGCTAGTTCAGCAGCATCACCATTATGTGTTAATAAACTATCTATTGTAGGCCATATAACCTAGTAGTTGAAGGACAGGACAGATTGCCTGAGTTTGAACCTCAGCTCTGCCACTAACTGGGAGTGTGACCCCAGGCAAGTTACTTAACCTCTCTGTGCTTTAGTTACTTCATCTGTAAAATGGGAATAATCCTATCTTATGGAATTGTTATAAAGATTAAATAACTTCATGTAAAAAAGGTGCTTAGAATAGTGCTTGACACACAGTAAAAACTGAATATGGTGGTCCTTCCTTATCGTATTTTCACTTTCCATGGTTTTAGTTACTCATGATCCAAAAATATCAAATGAAAAATCCCAGAAATAAATAATTCATAAGATTTATTTATTTATTTTGAAATGGAGTCTCGCTCTGTTGCCAAGGCTGGAGGGCAGTGGTGTGATCTCAGCTCACCGCAACCTCCGCCTCCCGGGTTCAAGCAATTCTTGTGCCTCAGCCTCCTGAGTAGCTGGGATTACAGGTGCCCACCAGCATGCCTGGCTACCGTTTGTATTTTTAGTAGAGACGGGGTTTTGCCATATTGGCCAGGCTGGTCTCGAACTCCTGATCTCAGGTAATCTACATGCCTCGGCCTCCCAAAATGTTGGGATTACAGGCATAAGCCACCATGCCCGGCCAATTCATAAGTTTTAAATTGCATGTTTCCTGAATATTACTTTTTCTATTTTATTATTAGTAATTGTTGTGAATCTCTTACTGAGCCTATTTTATAAAATAAACTTTTTCATAGGTATGCATGTAAAGGAAAAAACATAGTACATATAAAGTTTGGTACTATCCATGGTTTCAAGCATCCACTCGGGGTCTTGGCATATGTCTCCCCCTCAGATAAAAGAAGACTACCGTAATTATCATTTATTTTCTTTCTTTTTTTTTTTTTTTTGAGATGGAGTCTCACTCTATTGCCAGGCTGGAGTGCAGTGGCTGCAGTGGTGCAATCTCGGCTCACTACAACCTCTGCTTCCCAGGTTCAAGCAATCTCCCGAGTAGCTGGGATTACAGGTGCCTGCCACCAGGCCCAGCTAATTTTTGTATTTTTAGAGAGACAGGGTTTCACCATGTTGGCCAGGATGGTCTTGAACTCCTGACCTTGTGACCCGCCCGCCTCGGCCTCCCAAAGTGCTAGGATTACAGGCGTGAGCTACTGTGCCTGGCCTATCATTTCTTAAAAATGAAATTATTATTTATTTCCTGTTGAAGCACTCTGCTTTTACAATTTATGCATATAATAACCACTAAATTGTATACTTTAAATGAGTGAATTTTATGGTATATAAATGGCGTAAAGCTCAATAAAGCTGTTAAAAAGGTTATTGCAGAGATGTGATGATTTTAGGTATTCATGACAGCGAGGATTATCTATTTTCACTGCAGTCCAAAGCTCTTACCAGTACCTTTGCATCAAAGAGAAAACATCTTTCCTGTGACACAGGCTCAGCCTTCCTAGGATTGTTCAGAAACCAGCACATCAGACACTGATGCACAGGACTTCAGATATCCATTGGCCATTCTTCCCTTCCTCTCCAACAAAGCACAGTCTTCGTTTTCCATTCCAAAAACTAAATCTACCAGGACTTCCCATATTCTCCAAAACTGCTGAAGCCAAAGCAATGCCTCACTGAATATCGTTTGCCATATCCTTTCTTCTGTTCTTTTAAATCCTCTTCATATAAAGAGGGTAGAATAATTTGAGATGTTAATTATTTTTCCTTGTAATTTTTTTGTCACCCCATTTCACAAAGTTGGCCCCTTGGTGAAACTCTGTTGTCACCAAAGATAACCTTGCCTTCCTGGCTTTTGATTTCTGGAAGCCTGAGGTCCTGGTGGGGATTATGCCCAGTGGGGAGGGCCTTTGTGGTTGGAGACGGACACACTGCAGAGCAGCAGTAGCTTCGGAAGTACAGGCATATCAGGCACAATGTCTCTCTAGTTGCTGTTTTCCAGGGAGACAGCCTCTAGACTTCTAATACCCCAATTTAATGGAATGTAAATATGTCTCAGTGTGTATTTTAGCAGCTGGTTTTAAAGGAATAATTTTTATTTACAACCCAAAAGCTCAATATTAAAAAAAAATGACGTGAAGGAAAAGTACTTATTTACATCCCAAGCACACATTAGCAAGATGTCAGAATCATATGTAGATGTTTTTAGATATACACACGTCAATAAAGGGGATATGCATGTTAGATGTGGCAAATAAATCAACTATTATTTAACAATCATACTTACTGTTCAAGGACTGGGAAATAATATTTTAAGTATTTTCATCCTAATGTATAGTATGTTTTAAACAGGCATTTTACTGTGTTTTAATTATCTCATAGGAAATTGATTAGGGATTTTGTGTTGATAAGAATAATCTTCCTTGGGTCAGGCGCGGTGGCTCACGCCTGTAATCCCAGCACTTTCGGAGGCCGAGACGGGTGGATCATGAGGTCAGGAGATTGAGACCATCCTGGCTAACATGGTGAAACCCCGTCTCTACTAAAAAAAATACAAAAAATTAGCCGGGCTTGGTGGCGGGCTCCTGTAGTCCCAGCTACTCGGGAGGCTGAGGCAGGAGAATGGTGTCAACCTAGGAGGCGGAGCTTGCAATGAGCCAAGATCGCACCACTGCACTCCAGCCTGGGAGACAGTGCGAGACTCCGTCTCAAAAAAGAAAGAATAATCTTCCTTGAACTTATCTCGGAAAAGTTTTCTAAAAAGTAAAGAAAAAAAACATCTTCCACTCACCATTCAAAAAACCGTACTTCTAAACTCCTATATTACCTACTCTAGATTGTCCTAATTATGTATAGCAAATAAAGTATTACATATTATCACAGCACTCTTCCATCTTCTCTAATATCTTTTTATTCTGCTCTTTTTTTCTCTAGCACTTGAATATATCTTTTGAAATAAGGCTGACTACTGTGTTAAGAAGGGGATGCAATTATTTCTTGGGAGATGACATTTATATATTTTCCAATCTCTATATCAAAAAGAGGACAAAAATTGAGGATGTCAATTAAGATGTTTAGAAGAAAACAAATGATCAGAGACATGAACAAAGACTGATGTACAAGAATAGTAATTTCAGACTTACTAGGAAAAAATAGAAAAAGCTTGTGAATCAGGAAAATAGGTAAATAAAACCCAATTTAGCCATCTGTTAGGAGATCACATCCTTATAAATCGTATTTGGAGTCATATTTAATGACATAGGAAGATGGTCATGCCAAATAAACCATTAGATGCAGATAACAAAGTACTGTATATACACAGTTTTCATCCTCATTTTGTAATGCACAAGTAAATTCACAGTGGATGCCTCCGGCTGTTGTTATTATGGGTAACATTTTCATCTTTAAACATTCAGGCATTTTTGCCATTGCTGCATTGAGCTCCTACTTGCAATTACATGTAGGGGAAAGTGATACAAATATTTAGGGAAACTTTTCTTCAAGTTAATTCTGCCAATATTATCAGAACTGAACTCCCCAAAGCAAAACTGTATAGTAAGAACCAATGTAGTTCTGTAGAAAAAATGACCAAAATCCCTTACTTTACAATTAGGGTTTAATATCCATTTGAACTCGGAATTCTAGAAGTAACACTCTCACAGAACAATATCTTTCTGTAACAGCTCAATTCTGGTGGTTGTGAAATACCAATTGTCAAGGTTAAAATAAAGACATACTTAACATAAAAATGTTATTTAATTATTCTAAAGTAGGGTTCCCATTAGCAACTACATATAATTTTAAAAAGTGAAACTGAAGAATATGGCTTGCTATGAGAGATTGAATCACTCATCAAAAAGCTCCCCAACAAAGGCAGGTTCAGGACCAGATGGATTCACTGGTGAATTCTACCAAATATTGAAAGAAGAATTAATGCCAATCCCTCTCAAGCTCTTTCAAAACACTGAAGATGAGAGAACACTTCTAATTTTGTTTTACGAGGCCAAAACCCCCAAAATTACAGGCTAAAATCCTTAATGAATATAGATTCAAAATTCTGAACAAAATACTAGCAAACTGAATCCATCAGCACAATAAAAGGATCATACATCATGACCAAGTGGGATTCATCCCTGGGATGCAAGGACAGCTTAACACATGAAAATCAATTAACATGATACACCACCGTAACAGAATAAAGAATAAAAATCACATGATCATTTCAAATGCAGAGAAAGCATGTGACAAAATTCAACACCTTTTCAAAATAAAAACACTCAACAAATTAGGAATAGAAGGAAATTACCTCAACATAATAAAGGCCACATATGGAAAGCTGACAGCTAACATCATACTCAATAAGGGAAAACTGAAAGCTTTTCCTCCAAAATCAGGAACAAGGCAAGGATGACCACTTCTATATTCAACATAGTACTGGTAGTTCTAGCCAGAGCAGTTAGGCAAAAAAAGAAATAAAAGGCATCCAATTGGAAAGAAAGTAATAAAAGTGTCCCTGTTTGCAGATGACATGATCTTACAGATAGAAAACTCCATAAAAATTTTTTTCAATACACTAACAACAAAAAGACAATCCCATTGACAACAGCACCAAAAAGAATAAAATATCTAGGAGTAAATTTAATAAGGAGGTAAAAGACTTATATACAAAAACTATGAGACAGAAACAAATGGAAGAATAATATTCATGAATTGAAAGACTTACTGTTAACATGTGAATACTACCCAAAGCTATATACAGATCCAATAGAATCCCCAAGAAAATCCTAATGGTATTTTTTACAGAAGTAGAAGATAATCCTAAAATTCCTATGGAACCACAAAAGACAATGAATAGCCAATCAATCTTGAGAAAGAATAACAAAGCCAGAGACATCACACTTTCTGATCTTACAATATATTATAAAGTTACAATAACAAAAACAGCATGGTACTGGCAAACAACAGTGGAACAGAACAAAGAGTCCAGAAATGAACCCACACATATACAGTCAACTGATCTTTTTTTTTTCTTTCTTTCTTTCCATGGAATCTTGGTTCACCCAGGCTAGAGTGGAGTGGTGCAATCACAGCTCACTACAGCCTTGATCTCCTGGGCTCAAGTGATCCACTCTGAAGCTTTGTCACCAGAAAGTACATTTAATTATTTCAACCCATGAGAGTACTCTGTACAGCCCAGTGCTGTACTAGGGACACAACAACGAACAAGACAGACATGGGCCCTGTCATCACGAAGGTCACACAACAGAAGGGTCAGGATTAAACAAGGAAAATCAATATGGAATGGTGGAAGAATTCAAGACTGGAAGCAGGAGGACAATCAGTGCTGCTGCGACAGATGACAGCCTCGGCTGGGATAGTGGCTGCTGGGCTGAGAAGAGTAGAAGATTAAAAAGATCCAGAGGAAGTAAAATCAACAGGGGTTGGCCATCGGGTAAGAGTCAAAGATTATGTTAAGGTTTCTACATTGGGAAAACAAAATGCAATGGTTTGGGGAGAGACAGGATGAGTTCACTTGTGGAAATATTGGGTTTGTCTTGCTTGTAGGATATGATAAGGCTCTATCTAGCAGACAGCTGGACGTATGAGTCTGCATTTTTACAGATCTGCAATGTAGACTGTGAGCTGGAAGGTAGTCAGAAACAAAAACCATGGAAGAGGGTATGGTTGCTTAGGGAGAACAGAAGCCAGGATAGAAACTTTGAAGTCCAAGAGTCTGAAAAAGGCAGAAGAAGAGATCAGAGGAGAAAACTAGCAGAGTGGGGGTCACAAAACCAGATCCTTTCCTGTTAAGGTACCACTATAGACCGTTTTCGTAAAGGCAGTTTCTCTGGATTCTTTGGGCATTTTTAGTCTTACAAACTGAAAGACAGTCGTATAAATAAAAATGTTTACAGACATCTTATAATATGGCCTTCCTATAAATCAAAATCAATATGTGCTTGTAGTATACACTAAAAAATAAAAAATAATAACTGTAAAGGAAGTTTAGAAATAAGTTAAGTAATATCCGGTAATAACATGCTTTCATGACATAATATTACGGGTATCTTTAAACCCATAATAAACAAACATAAGGTAAAACTGTACATCTATCATCTATATTTTTAAAATATAATACGTTATCTTTGTATATGCAATACAATTTATAAAGTATTTTTTTACCATAATCCTATTTAATTCTTACATAAAACTCATAATGTAGGTTAAGAGGAACTTTTATCCCCCTTCTGCCAATGAAGAAAATGATGCTCAGAGAGGTAAAGAGACTTTCCTAAAACCTCAGCCTAGAGACTGGCAGAGCTCTTTCAATTACGGCACGATGTTCTCATATAGTTCAGTATTAGATAGGCGGAAGGATTTCCCACCCTATAAATTTCAAGTAAGTGTGAGGGGGTATGTATATGAGAGAGTGAGAGGGGGTATGTATACGAGAGAGTGAGAGGGAGAACAAGTGAGTGAGATACAGAGAAATGAACAAGGAATGAGAACTCTTTACTTTCATGGGGCTGGGTGTATAAAGATCCTTTTCCCAGGGGATGACTCTAGACTGAGTACAGGAAGCAGTGGACTCACCTAATCTGCTACGTCTAATCTCCTCTGGTGATACAGGCCGCAGCTTTCTTTCTGCTTTAATTTCTTCTAATATTCTTTCATGGAGGCTCCGTGGCCGTGGTGGAGTTGGTTTCAGTTTTCTGGCTGAGACCTTGAAAGTAAGAAAAATGGCTAAAGACTTCAGTAATTAAGTAATTTTTACTGAAGTCTAGTCATACAGTACAGTATTATAAATTACATTTCATTGACTGGAACACTGCTTGATAAAAGATTACTTTCAAGTCATTAAATATTAAGGTTCCTAAAGCAATAGGGAGATTACTGGATATCAGAGTGATTTGGTTATACATTCTCAAATTGTATTTTATTGCTTACAGGAGGGGTCTCACTCTGTTGCCCAGGCTGGAGTGCAGTGGTGCAATCTCAGCTCACTGCAACCTCTGCCTCCCGGGTTCAAGCGATTCTCGTGCCTCAGCCTCCCGAGTAGCTGGGATTACAGGCGTGTGCCAACATGCCTGGCTAATTTTTGTATTTTTAGTAGAGATGGGGTTTCACCAAGTTGGTCAGGCTGGTCTCGATCTCCTGATCTCAAGTGATCCACCCTCCTCAGTCTCCCAAAGTGCTGGGATTACAGGCATGAGCCGCTGCACCTGGCTACACTTTGAATGTCTAAGCTCAAGGGGTCCTTCTGCCTGAGCCTCCCAAGTGGTTGGGATTCCAGGCGCATGCCACTGAGCCTGGCTTGCTCAACTAATTTTAAGCAGTTATAATTATGTTCCCTATATGCTAGCGTGATAGGTAATCAGTTGCAATGCAGGTTATTACTACTGTTCTTTTTTTTGTGTTTTTGTTTTGTTTTGTTTTTTGTTTTTGAGACAGGGTCTTGCTCTGTCACCCAGGCTGGAGTGCAGTGGCACGATCATGGCTCACTGTGGTCTTGACCTCCTGTGCTGAAGTGATCCGTCTACCTCAGCCTCCTGAGTAGCTGGGACAACAAGTGTATGCCACTGCACACGGCTAATTTTTTTTTCTTTAATTTCTTTGTAGAGAGAGGGTCTCTCTATGTTGCCCAGGCTGGTTTTGAATTCCCGGGCCCAAGCAATCTTCCCATCCTGGCCTTCCAAAGTGTGGGGATTACAGGTGTGAGCCACCTCCCAAGTGCTGTGAACACCCCGCTCTACTGTTTTTAAAACTAACATTTTTTAGTAACCACCCATAACCTTCTTAGATTGTTATTATCTTCATTTTATAATTGAGGAAATAAAGGCTCTGGGAGGCTGATTAGCTCCCTCAGAGATACGTGGCTGCTAAATTGTGGAGCCAGTGTTCAAGTCCAGGTTCACATGGTCCATGCTCCTTCTGTTCTACCATGACCTACCATCCTACCATGACCACTCTGGCCTGGGAGACACAGTGAGACTGTGTCTCAGAAACAAAAATAATATAATTTACAGCTGGGCTTCATCTTCAGAGTAAAAAGCTCAGAGAAAAAACCTCGGCCGGGCACGGTGGCTCACGCCTGTAATCCCAGCACTTTGGGAGGCCGAGGTGGGCGGATCACGAGGTCAGGAAATCAAGATCATCCTGGCTAACACGGTGAAACCCCGTCTCTACTAAAAAAAAAAAAATACAAAAAAAATTAGCCGGGCATGGTGGCAGGCGCCTGTAGTCCCAGCTACTTGGTAGGCTGAGGCAGGAGAATGGTGTGAACCCGGGAGGTGGAGCTTGCAGTGAGCCGAGATCGCGCCACTGCACTCCAGCCTGGGCGACAGAGTGAGACTCCATCTCAAAAAAAAAAAAAAAAAAATACAAAAAAAAACAAACCCATCTCTACTGAAAATACAAAAAAATTAGCCAGGCGTGGTGGCAGGTGCCTGTAGTCCCAGCTACTCGGGAGGCTGAGGCAGGAGAATGGCGTGAACCCAGGAGGCGGAGCTTGCAGTGAGCCGAGATTGCATCACCGCACTCCAGCCTGGGCGACAAAGTGAGACTCTGTCTCAAAAAAAAAAAAAAAAAACCCTCCTAGGTAGCCCTCTTTGCCTTCTTTAAAAAAGATTTATAAAAAGGATCATTAATTATGCTTTAGTTGTATACAAACTGAGAAATACTATTCACTTTCTAGTTACTTTATGTACACTGTTTTGAGAGGCTTTGGTGAGCACTGGCTATTGAGCCGGGTAAAAAAGAAATAAGGAACAGAAGAAACACAAACCAATGTTCCAACAGATTAGAATATTCTGAGTCTATGGTTGCTAGAAAGAACTCTGTTAACAGAGGAACATGATAATTAACATAGAAATGGATGTACAGCAGGTGGATTTATTATAAAATATGTCAATATGACAATTTAATCAAGGAGGGGTAGGTTGCATCCTATAGTAAACTGGAAGGACAATCCATAACAGGACTATCCAGTAATATATTTAGCTGTTATCTAGGAGGTATATGACCAGATTTTGCACCATGACCCAGGTTGTTTTGAGTAAAAGTATCCTAAGACAGCCTTGTATTAAATAATTTTAAGATTTTTCAGTGACTTAAGAATATAATTTACAAGGCCAGCTGTAGTGGCTCATGTCTGTAATCCCAACACTTCAGGAGGCTGAAGTGGGAGGACTGCTTGAGGCCAGGAGTTTGAGACCAGCGTGGGCAACATGGCAAAACCACATCTCCACAAAAAATTTAAAAAGTTAGCCTGGGCATGGTGGTGCACACCTGTGGTCCCAGCTACTTGGGAGGCTGAGGTGGGAGGATCACTTGAGTCCCAGGGGTCACTCCAGCCTGGGTGACACAGTGAAACTCTGTCTTAAAAACAAAAAATATAATTTACAGCTGGGCTTCATCTTCAGAGTAAAAAGCTCAGAGGAAAAACCACCTAGGAAAGCTGAGTTCTAGAGATGACACCCTAGAGTAGAATAATTCATTATGATATCTCCAATCTAGAGAACTATGTCGAATTACATACTGGATTTAAAGGAGGTCTGGATCTGATGAAGTCGAGGATGATTTCATGAGCACTCTTTTTTAACCGAGGGGGAATATCACCATTCACCTAAAAGGAGACAAAAAGCAGAAGATTCATGTGACTATATAAGACTATCATGAATTTCTGGGTATAGCTGTTATCTCAAATATGCCATAAAATTAGTGAAGTGTAATTACCAAGGATACATTTCAAATCAATAAAGTGGGGAGTAAATGGCTGAGTGATTCAGAGGAAAGACTGTGAAATTGAAGAAAATCCAAGTTTACTTTAATTCTATCACTTTGTGAAATTTCAACAAAAAGTTTCTAAAATTATGAATGTAAATGGAATAAATAATACTTGAACTTATTCAGTATTTTATGATTTAAAAAACTTTTTACCTCTTATTTTCCTCCTTGTAAAAAAAACCTAGGTAGGCCGGGAGCAGTGGCTCACGCATGTAATCCCAGCACTTTGGGAGGCCGAGGCAGGCGGAACCCCTGAGGTAGGGAGTTAGAGACCAGCCTGGCCAACATGGTGAAACCCTGTCTCTACTAAAAATACAAAAATTAGGCTGGGTGTGGTGGCTCACGTCTGTAATCCCAGCACTTCGGGAGGCCGAGACGGGCTGATCACAAGGTCAGGAGATCGAGACCATCTTGGCTAACACGGTGAAACCCTGTCTCTACTAAAAATACAAAAAATTAGCCGGGCGTGGTGGCGGGCACCTGTAGTCCCAGCTACTCAGGAGGCTGAGGCAGGAGAATGGCATGAACCCAGGAGGCGGAGCTTGCAGTGAGCTGAGATCACATCACTGCACTCCAGTCTGGGTGACAAAGCAAGACTCCGTCTCAAAAAAAAGAAAAATAAATAAATAAAAATAAAAATACAAAAATACAAAAATTAGCCAGGCATGGCAGCAGGCGCCTGTAATTCCAGCTACTTGGGAAGCTGAGGCAGGAGACTCGCTTGAACCTAGGAGGAGGAGGTTGCAGTGAGCCGAGATCACGCTACTGCACTCCAGCCTAGGCAACAGAGCAAGACTCTGTCGCAAAACAACAACAACAACAAAACAAACAACAACAAAAAAACCCCACAAAAACCTAGGTAATAGAAAAAAACCAGGGATAAGATTCACATTTTGTAAATAAAACTAAAGCACAGAGCAGAGGATATCTGCCTCCATCCACAAAACTTTTAAGTAGAAGAGCTATTGTGGAGGACCAGTCTGTCTCTGATTCTACTCTAATGTCCTCTCTTTTTAATGCAATGTGTTAAAAACAATTTTTTTTAGAAATTTTTTTTTTAAACCCAGAAAACCACAAGAAGCAACAACTTAAATTCCCATTCTGACCACTTAGAAGGCACAGTCATGACCAGTTTGTCCTGTTTGTTTCCTGGTCTTGTTTGACAAAATAGAACCTCAATGGCCACTCCTATGCCCTGTCCCTTCCCCAGACGTGACCACATATTGAGTTCAGAGTGTGTGGCAAGCCTGCTGGGGCCTACTCAACATCCACTCTCCTCTTCCTCCCTATGCTAGTCCTCCCTCTCCCCCAGTCCTGAATGAGGGCAGGATGGCCCAGAGCAAGCTTCAGGAATAACTGCTGCTGCTTGAGCCAAGCCAGGCATATGACTGCTAGTTTAAGGAGGGTGATCGAGAAGCAGAACCAGTGGCCTAACCTGGCACCACCCACTACTTGTGGATTTCATATTATGTAGATTAAAAAAAACCTTATTTCATAAAACAGTTTAATCAGACTTTTCTATTACTCACTAGTCTACTACTGAATAACATGTATCTTTCTGGCTAATTTTCACATGCTTTCTTTGTATCCTAAGAGCAGGAATGAGAATGGATTAACTGAGGCCAACCCTATACGTTCCATTCCCAAAACAAGCACATTAACTGTAGTCTCCTCAGTAGTCAGAAGCTGTATCCTGGGTCCCAATTACAGATGTGGGACAATGCTCCTGAGGGAGGCAGCAGGCCATTATGGACCTAAGTCAGTACGGGTGGAGGAAGCTCCCTTATCCAAATGCTTGGGACTAGAGTGTTTCAGATTTTTCAATATTTACATTATACTTATCAAAAAATCTGAAATGTTCCAATGAGAATGTCTTTTGAGTATCATACTGGCCCTCAAAAAGTTTGCTGGAGCACTTCAGATGTCCAGGTTTGTGACGCTAAACCTGTATAAGGATAAGTGGTTGTGTGAAAACCATTTTGCTGCTGGGTCAGTTAAATTATTTTCCTGTAAGTAAACAAGCTCTCTGAAGCAAAATGAGAAATGATTCCTGGATGAACACAAATAGTAGATGCTTAAATAAATAAGATCAGTTATAGAAATTTGGTATTATTTTTGAGCAACAATGCCTTAAACAAGCAAAAAACTTTTTTGTATTTTACTTAGTAGAGATGGGGTTTCACCATGTTGGCCAGGCTGGTCTTGAACTCCTGACCTCAGGTGATCCGTCCACCTCGGCCTCCTAAAGTGCTGGGATTTCAGGTGTGAGTCTGGGCGCCCGGCCCAACAAAAAACTTCTAACACATAAAATGATCTCCTCTGAAAAATTTAAAACGTCTACCCTGTACTCAATCTTGTTTCTGAAATAATTTTCTTTTTTTGCGACACGGGCTT
Organism: Homo sapiens; assembly: GCF_000001405.40. NCBI lineage: Eukaryota > Metazoa > Chordata > Mammalia > Primates > Hominidae > Homo > Homo sapiens. The sequence continues at coordinate 12,498,658 of NC_000018.10, forward strand.
GTTCTATGACCCAGGTTGGAGTGCAGTGGCGTGATCACAGCTCACTGCCGTCTTGACCTCCCAGGCTCAAGCGATCCCTCCACCTCAGCCTCCTGAGTAGCTGGGACTACAGGTGTGAACCACCATCCCCAGCTAGTTTTTAATTTTTTGTAGAATTGGGGGTCTATGTTGCCTAGGCTGGTCTTGAATGTTCAGACTCAAGCGATCCTAGCACTTGGCCTTCCAGTGTTGGGATTACAGGTGTAATCCCAACTGCACCCTGCCCATTTATTTATTTATTTATTTTTATGGAGATGGGGTCTCACTAAGTTGCCCAGGCTACTCTCAAACTCCTGGGCTCAAGCAATCTTCCTGCCTTGGCCTCCCACAAAGGGTTGGATTGCAGGCATGAGCCACTGTGTCTGGCCTTTTATTTTTATCTTAAATAAAACAGAACCATTAATGATGACATAAGACCACAGCTAATAATCTACAAAACCAAGTTATAGTTTAGTGACTGATATTGGTCCCCTAATGAAATTTCAAGAAGTGTGAGGTTAGGGCCAAACATCCTTCTTTGCATGTTGATACCTAGTTGTCCCAATATCAATTGGTGAAGAGACCTATTCTTTCTCTATTTAATGGTCTCGGCACCCTTGTTGTAAATGGATTGAACATAGGTGTATGAGTTTGTTTTTGTACTCTGAATTCTGTTTTTTATATCCTACACTGTTTTGACTACTAAATCTTTGTTGTAAGTTGTAAAATGGGGATGTGTGAGTCCACCAACTTTTTCTTTTTCAAGATTATTTTGATTATTTGGGATTCCTTGAGATTCCGTAAGAATTTCAGAATCGATTTTTCCATTTCTGCCAAAAAAAAAAAAGTCACTGGAATTCTGACAGAGAATAATGTTTGACCCTTACCTTGCACCATATATATAAATTAACTAAAAAAACTGATCAAAGACTTAAATATAAGAGCTAAAACTATTTATAAGTGTCTCAGGTGAGAACATAAGGGAAAATCTTCATGAACTGGATTTGGTAATGAATTCCTAGATATGACACCAAAATCACAAGCAACAGAAGGAAAAATAGATAAATTGTATTTCAGCAAAATTAAAACCTTTTGTGCATCAAAGGACACTATCAAGAGAGTGAAAAGACAGTCTGCAGAATGGGTGTTTTTCTATACTTGCAAATTATCTATCTGTCAGGGGTCCACCATCCAGAATATATAAAGAACTCTTGCAACTTAACAGCAGAAATACAAACAATCCAATTAAAAAATGAGTACAACACAGCCATAAAAAAAGAATGAAATCATGTCCTTTGCAGCAACATGGATGGAGCTGGAGGCCATTATCCTAAGTGAGCTAACTCAGAAACAGAAAACCAAATACTGCATGTTCTCACTTATAAGTGGAAGCTAATAATGGGTACACATGGACGCAAAGATGGAAATAGTAGACACTGGAGAACTCCAAAAGTGGGGAGGTTGGGAGGGGGGTCAGGGTTGAAAAGTTACCTATCAGGTACAATGTTCACTATTTAAGTGATAGGTACGCTAGAAACCCAGTCTCTACCAGCATGCAATATACCTATGTAACAAACAGGCACATGCACACCCGCATCTAAATTAAAATGTAAAAAAATGAATACAAAATCTGAACAGACATTTCTCCAAAGATATACAAATGGTTCACAAGCACATGAAAACATATATGACATTGTGAATCATCAGGGAAATGCAAATCAAAACCACAATGAGACATCATATCACACTGTTAGGGGAGTTACAATTAAAAACAAAATGAACAACAGCAAGTGTTGGCAAGGATGGGAGAAACTGGGCCCCTCATACATTGCTGGTGGGAATATTAATTGGTGCAATTGCTGTGGAACACGGTTTGGTAGTTTCTCAATAAGCCAAACATAGAATTACTATATGATCCAGCCACTCCACTCCCAGGTATATACCCCAAATAACTGAAAACAGGTATTCAAACAAAAATGCGTACACTACTATACACTGCAGCACTACTCATGCTAGCGAAAATGAAAGAATCCAATTGGAAAGAACCCAAATGTCCATTTGGGTCATGAATAAACAAAATATATCTGTATAGCCATAAGAAGAAGTAAAGTAGCTCGCTGGACACAGTGGCTCACGCCTGTAATCCCAGCACTCTGGGAGGCCAAGGAGGGCAGATCACCTGAGGTCAGGAGTTCGAGACCAGCCTGACCAACATGGAGAAACCCTGTCTCTACTAAAAATACAAAATTAGCTGGGTGTGGTGGTGCATGCCTGTAAACCCAGCTACTTGGGAGGTGGAGGCAGGAGAATGGCTTGAACCCTGGAGGCGGAGGTTGCAGCGAGCCGAGATCACGCCATTGCACTCCATCCGGGGCAACAACAGTGAAACTCTGTCTCAAAAAAAAAAAAAAAAAAAAAAAGAAAAAAAAAAAGAAGGAGCAAAGTACCTCAGCATGCTACAATATGAATGAACCTTGAAACATTATGCTAAGTCAAAGCCAGACACCAAAGGTCATATATGATGAGGCAATATGCATGAAATATCCAGAATAGGTAAGTTCACGGAGACAGAAAGCATATTTGTGGTTACCAGGGGATAAGGGGAGAGAAGAATGGGAGTGATGCTTCATGGATACAGGGTTTATATAATAAATGGGTACATGGGTATATATAATAAAAAAGAAAACTGGAAGAAAAAAGTCAGACTTTTTTTGTTTGTTTGTTTTTGAGACAGAGTCTCGCTCTGCCGTCACGCTGGAGTACCAGTGGCGCGATCTCAGCTAACTGCGACTGCGCCTCCCGAGTTCAAGCAATTCTCCTACCTCAGCCTCCCGAGTGGCTGGGACTACAGGCACATGCCACCACACCCAGCTAATTTTTGTAGTTTTAATAGAGACGGGGTTTGACCATGGTGGCCAGGATGGTCTCAATCTCTTGACCTTGTGTTCCGCACGCCTCGGCCTCCCAAAGTGTTGGGATTACAGGCATGAGCCATGGCGCCTGGCCCAGGTGTGGTGGCTCATGCCTATAATCCTAGCACTTTGGAAGGCGGAGGTGAGAGGACTGCTTGAGCCCAGGAGTTCAAGACCAGCCTGGGCAACATAGCAAGAACCTGCCTCTACAAAAAATTAAAAGGAATTGCCATATGTGGTGGTGCACACTTGTAGTCCCAGCTACTCAGGAGGCTGAGATGGGTGGATTGCTTGAGCTGGGGAGGTTAAGACTGTGGTGAGCCGTGATCATGCCACTGCACTCCAGCCCAGGCGACAGAGCAAGACCCTGTGTCAATCAATCAATAAATGTCTTTTATTTACCACAGGAGAAACGTAATTATTTATGCTAGCAAACATTTTCCATTTTGGATGCACAGTTCTTTGTCATTCTATCACACACCATTACTTCCCTAAGCCTCATCTAGGGTGCTTATAACATACAGATTCCTAGACTCTAGCTGAGGACTGTTAAATCAGCAACTTCGAAAGGAACCTATAATTCTTAGTATCAAACAGGTTGACTACTATTTAGCACAATTATTTTTTCTGATAAAAAGAGAAAGGTTCTTGCAGTGTAAAACTCTGCTAAAAACTAAGAAAAACAAAAAACAAAAAAGATTTAGCAATATCAAAGATGACAGTTAAAATACATTAATGATAAATCAAATAGAAATGTTAATTATCTACTAAGACTTATTTTAACACTGATATGAATTTTTGAATAATTCCTTCTGGATAAGGAGGAAAATCACCTAAGATTAACATTAAGTGCTCCCCCAATCAGAAAGGACAAAGTTCAAATAAGTACACATTTTTGAGAAAGATAACATTACCCAGTATTGGCAATAGGAACGGTCTTGCAAAACTAGTAAAAATGTAAATTCGTACAACCCTTCTGGAGAGAACTCTTGCAAAATATTAAGTACTAAAATTTAAAATATACATTATAAAAGAAGCAATAAAATGTGCATTATATTGATCTATTCATCTCACCAATAAAAATTTAAACCATGGGGATAATTGGGTAAGATGTTTGCATTTGGATGTTCATCATAATATGGATTAAAACAATGAAAACTGGAAACCATCAAATATCTATTAATAGGGGGCTGGGTACACAAGCCACGGCACACACATACAAGGAAATACCCCATGTGGGTGGGGTGCGGTGGCTCATGCTTGTAATCCCAGCAGTTTGGGAGGCTGAGATGGGTGGATCACCTGAGGTTAGGAGTTCGAGACCAGCGTGGCTAACCTGATGAAACCACATCTCTACTAAAAATACAAAAAAGTAGCTGGGCGTGGTGGCAGGCACCTGTAATCCCAGCTACTTGGGAGGCTGAGGCAGGAGAATGGCGTGAACCCGGGAGGCGGAGCTTGCAGTGGGCCGAGATTACGCCACGGTACTCCAGCCTGGGCAACAGAGTGAGACTCTGTCTCAAAAAAAAAGAAAAAAAAAAAAAGGAAATACCCTGTGTGTTCCTCCAGATGCTATCAATCTTTCATCTTCTTTTAAACATTCTTAAAAGAAACTCATACTGTTTGCTCACTGTCACTACTGCCTCACCTACTACCATAAAATCTGGTTTCTCTCTTTTACTTTAATAAAAGGATCAAATAATTTCCATGTTGCTAAATCTGTTAACCATTTCACAGCGCGCATCCGACCTCTCTGAAACACTGCCTGCTCTTTGCAGCTGTGCCTCCATTTCCCCTGACTTTCCAGCCTTCTCTCTGGCTATGCCTTGTCCGTCTTTATTTTGCCAGATTCCTCTACTCATCCTTCAGCGCCGAGGCTGCACGGGTTCGGTCCTGAGTTGTCTTTTCTTCTCACCTTTCCAGTTTCCTGCATTCTGTTCTATCCTCTAATGATGGCGAGTTGTTTTTGTTGTTCTCATGTGTCAGATCCCATTGCTGCTTGATCTTTGGATATGTTGGGTTTTTTTCCCCCTACTTAGCTGCTTCCCTACAGGTTATCAGTGGCTGCCAAAATACTGGAAGCTTTGAGAGAACAGAGACTGTAATACGTCCTTCCAGAGTCAGAATAAGGTCTAGCACATAGAAAGTCCTTAACACATATATGTTAAATTAAAATAAAATTAAGAAATACAAACAGCTAGCACAGATTTTTAAATGTTTAAAAGCATGAAATAAATGTAGATGTTAAAAATGAAAGAATATTTTCTTTCAGTTAAAATGGTCAACCCCAAAAGACACCCAGTTTGTGCAAGGATGTGAAGCAATGGACAAAACTATTCTGTTATAAATAATCATCATCACAGTATTTCTGAGGGCAACTAGGGAATATGTACATAGCACAGAGCACTGGGGTCAGAGAGAATGAGGCTGACCCTCAGCTCTGCCTTGTAACCAGCTGTCTGAACTTGGGAAGTTACTACTGAGCATCTTTAAATTTCAGTTTCCTCATCTGTAAAGTAAATCAGATTTGATGAAAAGTAAATAAATATAATATTTAGTTGAAATGTTTAGCTTATTAAAATTAACAAGCAGCTCAAATAGCCACTTAAACCAATTTACTATAAAACCAAGTGACGTGGCTGGGCATGGTGGCTCACGCCTGTAATCCTAGCACTTTGGGAGGCTGAGGTGGGCAGATCACCTAAGGTCAGGAGTTCGAGACCAGCCTGGGCAACATGGTGAAGCCCTGTCTCTACTAAAAATACAAAAATTAGCCAGGCGTGGTGGCATGCGCCTGTAATCCTAGCTACTTGGGAGGCTGAGGCACGAGAATCACTTGAACCTGGGAGGTGGAGGTTGCAGTGAGCCAAGATCACGCCACTGCACTTCAGCCTCGGCAAAAAGAGTGAGACTCTGTCTCAAAAATGAAAAACAAAAAACCAAGTGATGTTTCATAAGAACCTTCTAACATAAAATAACTTTGATTAAATTTCCTCAAAAATGTGGATAGAATTCATTAATCCATCCTATAACTATTTAGTGAGCACAGTATTCAGTATTTGGTTGCATGTCAGGCCCATGTTCTTGTCAAAGGGGATAAACAGTGAAAATAACTAAGTTATTGTCTTTGTAAGGGAGACAGACAATAAATCCGGAAATACACTGCAATGTCAGCTAGTGAAACACGAGAGTAAAGAGATGGAGAAGACTTTTCTAATGTGGGAAAACTTGAGCACAGGCCTGAAAAGTAAAGAGGCAAATTATGTGGCTATGAGGGAGAGGAGAGCTCCTGAGAGAAGGAATATCCAAGGCAAAGGCTCTGTTACAGGATCACACTAGGCACTGCTGAGACACTGGCAGAGATCAGGGTGGCTAACAAGCAGAACCCTGCAGGGAAGCATAGCAGAAGATGAGGTCTGAGAGGTAACCTGGATCCAGCCGTGTGGGCTGTGCCGGCCACGGTAAGGACATGGAGTTTCTTCTGAGGGTGATGAAAAGCCAGTGGAAGGTTCTGAGTAGAGCAATGACATGATCATATTTTTTACTTAAGAGGCCTACTTGGTTGTTTTTGGGAAAAATAGATTGAAAGGGGCAGGGTGAAAGCAGGAAGGCCACTTAGAGGTTACTGTCATAGTCTGATGAGAGATGATGGTGGCTTGGAATAGAAGATATTTTGGCCAAGTGCCGTGGCTCATGCCTATAATCCCAGCACTTTGGGAGGCGGAGGCAGGTGGATCACTTGAGCTCTGTTAGGAATTAAAGACCAGCCTGGGCAACATGGCAAAACTCCATCTCTACAAAAAATACAAAAAACACTAGCTGGGCATGGTGGCGCACACCTGTGGTCCCAGATACTCAGGAGGCTGAGGTGGGAGGATCACTGGAACCTGGGAAGTCGAGGCTACAGTAGAGCTGTGATCATGCCATTGCACTTTAGCCTGGGTGACAGAGCAAGACCCTGTCTCAAAAAAAAAAAAAAACAAAAAAACTCTCAATTGGAGATGGAGAGAAGTGGTCAGAATCAGGATATATTTTAAAGGGAGAGCTGTCAGAATTTGCTAATGAACTAGATGTTCCGCATCTAGGAACTTAAGGATTTCATGGTGGACATTTAAAAAGATTTACATACAAGGATACACAAAATATGTTGCTTATAAAGGGACACAAGGTGATTTGTTTAATAAACTCCGGAATAGCCATAAGCTAGAAACGATATAGCCATTTAGAAATGATAATATTGAATATATAATGACATGGAAAAAATAATCATGATATGTTAAGCAAAACAACCAGTAATAAAACAAAGCATTCTATATTAACTCACTTTGACCAAATAAAGTGCATAGAAACAAGGCTAAAGGTTATTGATCAACATGTTAACAAAATTTCTCTCTGGGTTATGGAATTACATGTTTGTAACTTTCCTTCTTTAAGCTTAATGTACTTTCCAAATTTTCTACAATGATCAAGTATTACTTGTATAAAAATAAATAATTTTTAAAATTTAATATTAAAACTATTTTCAACAAATGCAATTATGGATGAATAACCATTTGAGTCCATTAATAGTTTTTTGTTTTTCTTTTTTGAGATAGGGTCTCACTCTGTCGCTGAGGCTGGAGTGCAGTGGCTCGATCTTGGGTCACTGCAACCTCCACCTCCTGGGTTCAAGCGATTCTTCTGCCTCAGCCTCCCGAGCAGCTGGAACTACAGGTGTGCACCACCACGCCCAACTAATTTTTGTATTTTTTGGTACAGACAGGGATTCACCATGTTGGTCAAGCTGGTCTTGAACTCCTGACCTCAGATGATCCACCTGCCTCGACCTCCCAAAGTGCTGGGATTACAGGAGTGAGCCACATGCCCGGCCTGACAGCTTGGTTACTTACCATCACTTTTCGCAAGGTGTATCTTTTGCAGCGAATGTCATCCATTAACATCTCATAAGGGGTGAGCTGATATTCAATGGGCAAAGGGTTGTACTGCCGCTCTTGGACCTTCTTAAGTTTTACCCCATTCCTCAAATCCCTCATCACCTGTACCCAGAATCGTGCCTGAAAGAACCAAGGATAGAGAGACATCAATGAATAAATGTACTAGTTTCTTCTAAACAGCTAGTCATACAGAATAAATGAAGAGCTTGGATTACAAAACAATGAGTAAACCAACAAAAAACTATTTTAAAAATTAGATTTTGGGTACTAAAAGATGGGTGGAAAGCAAGTAGAGAATCCACAGGCTCTACCTGCTGAGGCACATGGGTTTAAACCTAAGCTCCACCACTGTGGTAGGCTTCATTAAGGGCTCAGGTTCTTCATGCTTTCCTGTGTCTATGCCGTTATGTGACTCTGCTCACTAAAGGGGATTATATTTCCCACACCCTGACTTTGGGTTTGGCTATATGATTTGCTTGGCCACTGGAATAGTGGTGGGTGTGATAAGACCAAGGGCTTCAAAAGCATATGTACAATGGGCTTGTCCCTTGTGTTTCTATTATGGCCACGAAAATGTCAAGCCTGGGTTAGCCTGTGGTCCCGGGATAAAGATGAGATACCTGTAAAGTGGAGCTACCACAGGGGATCTGGAGACCCATGAGTTAGTAAGTGCTTTTGCTTTATGCGGCTGTGATTTTGTAGTGGTTAGTTACACGGTATTACTGTGACCACAGCTGACTGAGATAAGGCCACTTGCCAGCTATTTGACACGGAGCAAGTTGCTGCACCTTTCTGAGCTGTAGTTTCCTCATCAATAAAGAAAGTGGTACTTTATCACTTGTTGAGAAGATCAGAATCAGTAGATGGTGTTCTATACATAGAAAATACTAAAAAAGGCTGGGTGCAATGGGTCACACCTGTAATCCCAGCACTTTTGGAGGCCAAGAAGGGTGGATCACCTGAGGTCAGGAGTTCGAGACCAGCCTGACCAACATGGTGAAACCCTGTCTCTACTAAAAATTCAAAAATTAGCTGGGTGTGGTGGTGTGCGCCTGTAATTGCAGCCACTCAGGAGGCTGAGGTAGGAGGATTGCTTGAACCCGGGAGGTAGAGGTTGCAGTGAGCCCAGATCGCACCACTGTACTCCAGCTTGGGCGACACAGTGAGACTCTGTCTCAAAAAATAAAAAAAAAACATAAAATAATACAAAATCTATTTATATTTGTATTATACTTTAACTCTTTTGTTCTCCTGCCTATAATGTGTCAAAGTCTCTACTTGAGTGAAGTCCATCACAATATTTAGCTAAAAACCTGTAACTTGTTAAAATTAACAAGTGACATGGCTGAGCGCAGTGGCTCATGCCTGTAATCCCAGCACTCTGGGAGGCTGATGTGGACAGACCATGAGGTCAGAAGATCGAGACCATCCTGGCTAACATGGTGAAACCCCGTCTCTACTAAAAATACAAAAAATTAGCCGGGTGTGGTGGCACGTGCCTGTAGTCCCAGCTACTCAGGAGGCTGAGGCAGGAGAATCGCTTGAACCTGGGAGGCGGAGGTTGCAGTGAGCCGAGATAGTGCCACTGCACTCCAGCCTGACGACAGAGTGAGATTCCATCTCAAAAAAATAAAAAATAAAAAAAAAATAAAGTGACACAATAGTTACTTAAATATATTTGCTGTAAAATCAAGTGATATATTTCATAAGAATCTTCTATGTAAAATAACTGATTAAATTTCTCAAAACATCCTCAATAACGATTCATAATTTTAAAAAAATGTTGGGTTTGGACAATAAGAAGCTACCAAAAAATATAAAAACCATACCATTTCCCATCCTCTTGTTCCAAAAAGGATTTGAGGTACTTATGGTGTACCATTAGATGCCTCCTAAAATATTCATATTTAAAAAGATTCTTAGATTCTGCCATTAAAGATGTTCTAAAATAATACCCCTAAAATATCCATATTTCTCTCAGGAATGCTTTTGTCCCAACTTCCACATTTCTCTTATTCATTCCTTTAAGATGCAGTTCAAATATCATCTCATCTTTTAAAAGTCTCCCTTTGGGCTTTAAATTAGGAGACAGGAGACAGTTACCCACATTAGAAACTTTTGCTATAATTTATAAAAGGATTCAAACACACTTGGTTTTTTTTTTTTTTTGAGACGGAGTCTTGCTCTTGTCGCCCCATGTTGGAGTGCAATGGTGCAATCTTGGCTCACTGCAATTTCTGCCTCCCGGGTTCAAGTGATTCTCCTGCCTCAGCCTCCTGAGTAGCTGGGATTACAGGTGCCCGCCACTATGCCAAGCTAATTTTTTGTATTTTCAGTAGACACAGGTTTCGTCATGTTGGCCAGGCTGGTCTTGAACTCCTGACCTCAAGTGATTCAGCCGCCTTGGCCTCCCAAAGTGCTGAGATTACAGGCGTGAGGCCCTGTGCCTGGCCCACACTTTGTTACATAGTCGGTTTTGTGTGCATGATTGTTTGGTTAAAAAATTTTACATACTACTTTTCAGAAATTAAAGTCACAGTTATTATATAAAATAACAGACAACTGTCATCATATGCATTCCTGGAGATTATAATTTATCCCTTATCCCATTAGGGAAATTCTGAAACTAGAATCTGCTAGTAAAGACATTCTAATTCTCTCTTAACTCTTTGCTCTTTTCATTCTAATCTTTCTGGGTAATTCACTTAGTGGTCTTATGAGGAGGAAGCTGGTGATCTACGCAAATATAACTCCCTCTGGAGTTAGTGCTTCTCTTGTCAGGGATGACACTAGTTTTCAAATGAAGGTGGCTTATAGTAAGAAATTAAATTTTTACTTTAAGTTTATACTAGCTGTTTGCTAACTTCTGAACACTGGAAGTTATTTATCTGGTTTCAGTGGCTGGGAAAACCAATTTAAAATTTATTGGCCAAGATGATATACACTTAGAACAACACTATCCAAGTATTCTTCATAAAGGAAAATCAATAATCAATTTTATTCTAAAATGACAAATAATACCAGCTTTTAAGACAATGTAGGCAAGTATTTTTGTTTTGTCTTGAATGTTACAAATATCTTGAAGATATCTATCAATAAATTAAGAATATTGCAAACAAGAAACAACCCAAATGACCAGCAACAGATGAAGAGATAAACTGCGATATATTCACACAATGGAATACTTCTCAATACTCTACAGATACAGACAGCAACATGGATGAAATCTCAAAACAATTATGAAGAGTGAAAGAAGCCAAACCAAAAACAGTACATACCAGCTGGGTGCGGAGGCTCATACCTGTAATCCCAGCACTTTGGGAGGCCAAGGCGGGCGGATCACCAGGTAGGTCAGGAGTACGAGATCAGCCTGACCAACATGGTGAAACCCTGTCTCTACTAAAAATACAAAAATTAGCTGGGTGTGGTGGTGCGCACCTGTAATCCCAGCTACTCAGGAGGCTGAGGCAGGAGAATTGCTTGAACCCAGGAGGCGGAGGTTGCAGTGAGCCGAGATCACGCCACTGTACTCCAGCCTGGGCGACAGAGCAAGACTCCATCTAAAAAAAAAAAAAAAACTAAAAAAACAGTATATACCATATGATTACATTTATATAAAATTCTAGAAAGTGCAAACTAGTCTATAGTCACAGAAAGCAGATGACTAATTGCCTAGAAACTGGGGAGGAGGGAGGCAGGAGGTAGGATCATAAAAAGGTATGAGGAAACTTTGGGTGTGATAAATAGGTTCATTATTTTGATTGTGGTGATGGTTTCATGGCTGAATATATATATGTACAAAATATATGTCAAAATTTATCAAGTTATGCATTTTAAATATGTGCAGCTTATTGTATATCTATTATATCTCAATAAAAGTTAGAAAATAATGTGACAATTAAAACCTAATATGGTCAAAAGCAACCCATTCATATGATAATGGCATGATTTATCTAGCATTCTTAACCTAAAAAGTCAGAATCCTAAAATGTGCCTTCCCCCAATACCTGGACTTCAACAATCTTCTTTTTTTTTTTTTGAGACAGAGTCTCCCTCTGTCGCCCAGGCTGGAGTGCAATGGTGCGATCTCGGCTCACCCCAACCTCCACCTCCCAGGTTCAAGCTATTCTCCTGCCTCAGCCTCCCAAGTAGGTGGGATTACAGGTGTGCACCACCACACCTGGCTAATTTTTGTATTTTTTAGTGGGATAGCTGGCCATGTTGGCCAGGCTGGTCTCGAACTCCTGACTTCAGGTGATCCGCCCACCTCAGCCTCCCAAAGTGCTGGGATTACAGGTGTGAGCCACCACACCTGTCCTTGGACTTCCACAATCTAACACACTCCACAACATTCACTGTCTGTACCCAAGACTGTCATGCCTACCAACTCTAAGTTTTATATGACAGCAGGGATTTTTGGAGTCACTAGGATTTAGTACTATGCCTGAAAAACTGTAGATATTCATGTGTCACATGAATAAACCACATTATCTGTTTTACAAATCTGTCTTCTGTTTTAGACTGAGTTTTATTGGGAGAGAGAGCTCATATTGTTTATTCTGCATTCCCGGAGTCCTCACACAGGTAACTGTTCACTGGATAAATAAATGTACAACACTGTTAGTTTCACACTTAATTCTGAAAACATAGCTTAAACTTTAATTTATACACAAGAATATGTTAAGGCAGGGGTTTGCAACCCCCAGTCCACTGACTGGTACTGGTCTGTGGCCTGTTAGGAAGTGAGCGGCACAGCAAATGAGTGGTGGATGAGCAAGCGTTATGCCTGAGCTCTGTCTCCTGTTAAGATCAGCAGCGGCATTAGATTCTCAAAGGAGCACAAACCCTACTGTGAACTGCACATGTGAGGGATCTAGGTTGTATGCTCCTTACGAGAATCTAATGCCTGATGATCTGAGGTGGAACAGTTTCATCTTGAAACCACCCCTCCACCCCCAATCCTTGACATTGTCTTCCACAAAACCAGTCTCTGGTACCAAAAAGGTTGGGGACTGCTGTGTTAAGGTATTAACATAATTGGAAATATTAATATTTTAAAACACTACAATTCTCAGAGACATTGGGGGTGGTTTTAATAAAACCAGAAAGCTTTTTAAAATGGGGAATAGATATTTCCTCAAATGTAAGACTAAGCATTCAAATTTACATATCAATTCATACTACAGTCCTTAATGACGAGTATTTTATTTTTTATTTTTTTGAGACAGAGTCTCACTCTATTGACCAGGCTGGAGTGCAGTGGTGTGATCATAGTTCACTGCAGCCTCAACCTCCTGGGCTCGTGTGATCCTTCTAACTCAGCCTCCCAAGTAGCTGGAACCACAGGCACATGCCACCAGCCCGGCTAATTTTTTTATTTTATTTTTTAATAATAATAAAAATCCTCCTATTTTAGTGATAGGGTCTCACTATGTTGTCCAGGCTGGTCTTGAATTCCTAAGCTCCAGCAATCTTCCTGCCTTGGCCTCCCCAAGTGCTGGGATTACAGAAGTGAGCTACCATGCCTGGCCAATAACTAGCATTTTTAAAAATATTATACAGGTTGGGCAAGGTGGCTCATGCCTGTAATCCCAGCACTTTGAGAGGCCCAGGTGGGAGGATCACATAAGGTCAGGAGTTTGAGACCAGCCTGGCCAACATGGTGAAACCCCGTCTCTACTAAAAATACAAAATTAGCCAGGCGTGGTGGCACATGCTTGTAGTCCTGGCTACTTGGGAGGCTGAGGCAGGAGAATCACTTGAACCCAGGAGGCGGGGGTTGCAGTACCCGGGAGGTGGGGGTTGCAGTGAGCTGAGATCGCACCATTGCACTGCAGCCTGAGCAACAGAATGAGACTCTGTCTCAAAAAAAAAAAAAAATTATACTATTTCTTAGACAGTAAACAGATCAGAAAGCATTTCCAGCTCTTACCCAGTCAGCGTTTTTCAGCTCTTCCAAGTCTGTGCTAGATTCATCGCTCTTTTCCATTTCTTGAATCTTCTTAAGATTCTACAGGTTAAAATAATACAGGCATAAACATTTCATTAAGTTATCTTCTCAAATTAAAATTCCTAACATATCTTCAGATAAGACATATATTCAAGTACCAGTGAAGGAGATGGTACAGAATCTATTGCTCCGTAAACTCTAGGGCCAATTAAAATGGAACCCTGAGGATCCATTTTACTGAGGATGGACGGAGATTGCTCACTCTAATTTCCTTTCAGGCCCTGCCAACACAACTTTCTTTTTCTTTTTTTTTTTTTTTTTAACTTAAGCTCTCTTCTTTTCATCTCTACTACAAATCCATTACTCTAAACACCATCATATTTTGCCTGGGCTTCTGAAGCAATCTGATCCCGGATGCTCTCCTTTCCTCACCCCATGGCTGGTCTCTTTCATTGTCTACTTTCATTCTTCCTTTCAGATATCACACTCAACAGAATCATCGATTCTTCAGAGAAGCCTTCCCTTCCTCCCTGAATAAGTCAAAATCCTCCTATTTTAAAATTTTATAGCACCATTATACCTCTAACAGCTCTTATCAACATTGTAATTTTACACATATTAGTGCCTTCCCTCTAGACTTCATGAGGCAGAATCCCATCTTCAGAGGCCACACAAGCACTGGCACTTGCTGATGCTCAATATATATTTATCAAGTAATTTGATGAGTACATTTTAATTGATAAAAATGCCTCAAACTGCATCAATTCAACACTTGCAACTTTAAGAAAATCTTGGTTGCTAAAATATATTCACATATTAATTCTAAATTTATGATACAGCAATTCTACTTACAGTAATTCAACCCTAATATATTTACTTTTTGCTGAGCTATGTGCCTGCCTGCACTTAAACTGAGTTTTAAAAAAATTTTTCCCTAATCCCCACGTTGATCAAAAGACTGTTTAAATGCACTGTATGAAATCTAGCTTGTTTTATATGAGAATAATGAATACTTAACTTTATTTATTTATTTATTTATTTATTTATTTATTTATTTATTTATTTATTTGAGGTGGAGTTTTGCTCTTGTTGCCCAGGCTGGAGTGCAATGGTGCAATCTCAGCTCACTATAACCTCTACCTCCCGGATTCAAGCGATTCTCCTGCCTCAGCCTCCCGAGTAGCTAGGAGTACAGGCATGCGCCACCACGCCTGGCTAATTTTGTATTTTTAGTACAGACAGGGTTTCTCCATGTCGGTCAGGCTGTTCTCAAACTCCTGACCTCAGGTGATCCACCCGCCTCGGCCTCCCAAAGAGCTGGGATAACAGGCATAAGCCACTGCTCCCGGTCTGAAATATTTATTTTTAAGATTTATTTATTTATTTTTAGAGACAGGGTCTTCCTCTGTTGCTCAGGCTGGAGTGCAGTGATGCAATTACGGCTCACTGCAGCCTCCACTTCCTGGGGCTCCAGTAATTCTCCCAGCTTAGCCTCCCAAGTAACTGGCACTACAGGTGTGCACCCCTATGCCTGGCTAATTTTTGTATTTTCTACAGATAGGGTCTCACTATATTGCCTGGGCTGGTGTCGAACTCGTCAGCTTGCGATCCCCTTGCCTCAGCCTCCCAAACGGCTGGGATTATAGCCTTGAGTCACCACACTTTACCTCATCTCCTACTATTTCTTCCCACTCCAGCCTTATGGTATGCACACTGGCTGCCACCTTCTTCCTAGAATGCTTTACATCTCAAATATCCAGACTGAATCACCTCATATCTGTTACACACTTGTGCAAACGTCACCTTCTCAACGGGGTCTATCTTGACCAAATTCCAAGCCCCATCCCCAGCTACTAGCAGTTACTCTAGTTTATGTCTTTTTCCATAGCTCTTCCTACCTTTTAGTGGTCTACAGAATGTACTTATTTCATATGTTTACTGTCTACCACCTCCTGCTGGATTCAGACTTTAGGAAAGAAGAATTTTTTTTTTTTTGTATTTTGTTCACTGATGGGATTCACAAATCTCCAGAATAGCCTTGCATAGAATAGGTGCTTAGTAAATATTTCTTCATTAAGTAGATTAAGACACTTTCAACCATGCATGTTTAAATACTTAAACCTATTTAATAGCCCTTACCAAGTCAACTTTAGTAAGAGGAAGCTCAATCAGAGGGAGTAATATTCAGAGAAAAATCTATGTTCTCCTCTAAATTCAGAATCCCCTAGGGAAGTTGGGGAGCGGTATCTTATCTGCCACACAGAAACACATGCTCTGCGTTTTAGGAAAATAAATCTTCAACCCAGGCTCACATTACATTTAAGTGTCTCATTCAGCCAATAGGTGGATGAATAAATAGGTAAAATAAAATAAAGAAGAAAAAGAAATGCATTTCTAATACCATACAGAAGAAAAGAGGTAATTATAGTATTAAACAGGTCAACAAGATTCAACCAGCATCAAATAAGCTGGTTTGGAACCTTAGCGCCTGAGAAAATCAAGTACGCATAAATGGACCAACCTTCTAACAACCCTCCTTTCCTTAGACATAATGGAATGTGGGGTGGGGCTGACACATGCCCACTTGGAAACACGTTCTTTCTGCCATATTCTCCCTTGTCACCCAAAGGCTGATCCCACAGAAGCAATATACTGCTTACCCAGGAGCTTATAAACCATAAAAATATGAAAAAAGCTGAAATCATGATGAATAAACTCATCTTTATAAGCCCATACTTTTTTCTTTTTTTTTTAAATTCCAGACCAGGTGCAGTGACTCATGCCTATGATCCCAATATTTGGGGAAGCTGAGGCATGAGGACTGCTTGAGGCCAGGAGTTGAAGACCAACCTGGGCAACACAGTAAGACCCTGTCTCTCCAAAAAAACCAAAAAATTAGCCGGGTGTGGTGGCGCTTGCCTGTAGTCCCAGCTACTCAGGAGGCTGAGGTAGGAGAATCACTTCAGCCTGGGAGGTTGCGGCTACAAGTGAGCTAAGATCACACCACTGCACTCCAACCTGGGCGACAGAGAGAAACCCTGTCTCAAAAAAATAAAACAAAATATTAATAAAACAACAGATAAACATGACATATTTTCCTGGAATTAATGTAATGAAAGCTGTGGTAAGCTGCCCTCTGTTTCAGGAACAACGTCCTCTTCCACTAGTGGCTAGAGATGTCTGCTAAAGGCTCACTACTTAACCCTCCTCAGGAACTGCCCTTTAGCCAAAGGAAGCTGCTTTGTCAAAGTTACATCCTCCCTAGAGTAACCTATATCCAGTCACTGGTCTGTGAGGAAGTACAAAGATCAGGCCTCCTTGCTTCAATTTGGGACATCTCTGAAGAACCACCCCTAGCTGCTGAGCTCCCTGTGGGATCGGCTGAGGCCTCTGCTGCATCTGCATCACATTTCAACATTTCCCTCTGCTCAATCCTGCTTTCCTTATTCCTTATAGGTGTTCCCAAAAGCATGCCCCAATAAAACCTCCTGAATTCAAATTTTACCCCTAGGAGTCTCCCAGGGAAATCCTAGGGGAGCTTAATCCACAGCATGAAACATTAAAAAAATATTACAACAGACATCTCAGACAAAACTTACATGAATTTCAAAAGTAAAATCCACTATGTCAAAGATATTTTAACTTGCACTAGACGAGCAAGTCTTCAGTGGACAGCATTAATTTTTCAAGAAAGCCTCCCTGCTCCTTCCTCTGATAAAGATCCTTCTGTTGAGAAATGCATCCCATACGGTTTGAGCAGGGCTGACCCAGTACCTCACTTCCTATTTACAAGCGTAAGAACATGACCTAGACCAGCCAGCACAGCCTATCTCCTGGCCACTGTGACTGGTTACTAAGTGGGTATATGACTCCAAATCTTCCTCTAAGACTTTTTTGCCCCAATTAACAGAAAAGATTTGCTGCCAGAGTTCTAAATTGATAGAGTGTGAGAATAGGGCTGCAGACGGTAGTAAGAGACTGTCCTGGAAAGGGTTGGAGAGGAAAGGGAGGGAGCATGCCAGCCCTAATTACAGCCTTTGAGATTCTGGATCCAACTATGCCTAAAACTAGCTGTACCCTTAGACTTCCTAATTATGTGAGCCAATACATCTCTCCCCTACTCTGCCCATGCTTATTTGAGTGGGTTTCTGTCATCTGCAACTGAAAGTTACGATTTAATATGTCCTTAATAGTCTACAAATATGAGTTCATGCTTTTATGTCTTAGGGGTACTTTGGTAGAATAGTGTGAGAAGCAGCAAAATATATTCAATCCAAACTCTTTTGCTTCAATGCCCCCCAAAACAGGGCCCCTTTTCCACCCAACCTTAATTTTTACTATTCTCCGACACATCCCTGACTAAATGTAGTCAGGAGGGTGTCACTGTTAGGCCTGCCTACATCTCTACCTTTATTTGTGCTGTGATCAAATCCCTCACTCATTGCCACTAAGAAAAACTATCTGTTCTTTATAACATTGAAGACAATTGAAATGGTCCAAGAATTTCACATTTCTTTGTTTTTCTGAACAATAGCACAAACTGTAGCTCAGATACTTTCCAGCTGCGTGACTTTGGGGAAATTTTTAAATTGCTGTAATCCTGTTTGATTTTCTCATATATTAAAGTGCAAATAATAATAGCTATCTTTTGGATTTTATAGAAGAAATATACCAGAAGAATACAGATGAAACACAGCATTCAGTTCAGACCATATTGAACATTCAGTAGGTATTAGTTATTATGTCAATGAATACCTATGAGGATTTGATTGTGAATACTTTTACTCCATCACAAAAATATTTTATACTAAGTGAATTTGTTTTGCAAAATGATACCTCTCCTTAGCCTCTTCATCAAATCAAAATCCTGACTCAGCAATAAATCAATGTAGATAGCTTAGAATCTATAAATACTGTAATCAAACAAGCTTGATCAAATATGTGGCTAGAAAGCTCAATTTTTCTAGTTAGCAGTAAAAACAAATGAGTTATTTGAAAGTAAATTACAGATTTTTCTTGTTTTAGATTCAAGCTGTCAATTATACTTTAGCTTCTGAATGATTTTTCTTTTTTTTGCTTGCAGAAATGTAATAACAGATGTCAACCTGTGCTTGAGATATGGTGAGAAAGTTCTAATTGGGAGAACCCACATGGCAATTACGCTTCCCATTTCTGACATTACCATTCTCAAGCTGGCAATTAGAACTGCTCAATGCCAACATTTTCAGTTCCTGGCAACTTAAAAAACAAAATCTACTCTGTGAATCAGAAGTATGTCAAATGCTCAGAGAATAATTTTAATCCATTTGTGTAGGTTCAACATCAGCTCACATATAAGTACCCCTTTACTAATTAAATCCTTCTTATTCACATATATGTTCATATATTAAAATAATAATGTATTTTTTATGACAGCATTTTAATGATCACCATTTCCACCATTTAAACTATCTTATTTCCCTATGCCATGTGTACATGTTTTCAGTTAGACATTTTTAAATGCATTATAATAAGGAATATATTTCAAAAATTCCTTGAACAAACTTTTAATTAATTGTTGAGACCGAGTCTCACTCTGTTGACCAGGCTGGAGCAGTGGTGTGATCATGGCTCACCGCAGCCTCAACTTCCTGGGCTCAAGCAATCCTTTCACCTCAGCCTCCTGAGCAGCAGGGACTACAGGCATGTACTACCACACCTGGCTAATTTTTGTACTTTTAGTAGAGACAGGGTTTTGCCATGTTGGCCGGGCTGATCTTGAACTCCTGGGCTCAGTGGTCTGCCCGTCTTGGAGTCCCAAAGTGCTGGGATTATAGGCGTGAGCAACCACACTGGGCAACATTTTTAATAACTCAGTTAAAATATGCTAATGTAGGCCAAGTATGATGGCTCACAACTTTAATCCCAGCACTTTGGGAGGCTGAAGCAGAAGGACTGCCTGAACCTGGGTGTTGGAAGTGCAGTGAGCTGTGATTGCATCACTGCATTCCAGTCTGGGCAAAAGAGCAAGACCCTGTCTCACACACACAAAAAAAAAAAAGAAAAGAAAAAAGCAACAAATTACTGCCAGGCACAGTGTCTCATGCCTGTAGTCCCAACTACTCGGGAGGCTGAGGTAGGAGGATTGCTTGAGGCCGGGAGGCAGAGGTTGCAGTGAGCTGAGATTGCATCACTGCATGAGATTACCCCAGCATAGGTGACAGAGCCTGACCCTGTCTCAAAACAAAAACAAAAACAAAAACAAAACAAAAAAAAACAAAGAAATTACTTACATAAAGAGTATTAAATACATTTCATGACTGACATTATTTCACAATATTGTCTATAATAAATTAAAAAATGAATATCAGCCACACAGATTATGAGCTATGACTTTTTAATTCAAATATATTTTATCTGAAAAGAGGGAAAGAAGATTTTATCACATTGACTAGTCCCAAATTAATATTTCAGAAATTAGGGTACAAAAACCCAGTAAAAAGTTATAGCAGTTGTTCTGATAACTGGAAGTCTCCCATGCAGAGTTAATGGATAAGTACTAAAGAATATGATTTATATTTGTGTCAAACTTTATGGTGCATTCTTAAAGATATAACACGCTTCTCCTCCCTGAGGGGTGGATGGTGGCCAAGTAACAACTATAGCAATTATGAAAAAAGTCAAGAGCATTTTATTGAATAAAAAATGTAAAATGTTAAACTATAAATTGATATTCTGTACTACTTAATTCGAATTTATATGGTTCACTACAGAAATTAGAAAAACTATAGATGAAGTCATAAAAATGAAAGCAATTCATTTCTAGGTTCTAGGAAAGGAATTCCTAGAATTCCTCTATTCTTCCAGTATTTTTTGTACCTATACACACATGTGCACACACGCACGCACACACACACACGCAAACACTCTCTCTCTAACAAATGTCTCTGCTCTATACAGCTGGACTGACTCCGCTCTACATAGCTGGACTGACTCTGCTCTACATAGCTGGACTGACATTATCTGCTAATACACATTCACCTTTTCTGTTTTTATACTCATCAGCTCTTCACACCTATAGAAATGCAGTGATGATGATAAAAATGACCATTAAAATATCACAGACAATATTACAAATTATATCACAAAGTTATTTTCTTAATAAATAAAGACAAATTAATAAGACCAATGGCTCATTAGAAAAATGAACAAAGGAAATGAACAAGCAATTGACAAATGATTCTTAAGTACATGAAAAGATATCTGATCTCATTTACAATAAGACAAATGCAAATTAAAATTGTTAAGATACTAATTTTCACTTATCACTGTGAAAACACATTGTCAAGATGTAGGAGAATAGATAGCCTCACACATTGCTAAGGACAGTATCAACTACTAAACCTCTAGGAAGGACAATAGTGTAATATTTTATAAAAATTATAAATGCACATTTCCTTTGACCCAGCAAGTCTACTTCTAGGAATCTACCTTACACTTATGTTCACACTCAAGAAAAATAGGTTAAAAATTATCCATGACACCACTGTTTGTAATAGAAAAAGAATGGAAATTACTTAGTAGCTGTCAATATAGGACTAGTTAAACTCATTACACCATACCCACAAAATAGATTATAAAGGCCTACAGATGTGAAAGCTATTTACTGATATGAAATGATCTCTAAGACATATAATTAAATAAAAAAGGAAAGTTTAAAAGTGAAAAAAGGAAGAAAATACTGATATGCGCTTGTTAGTTATACATAAAATCTCTCTGCAAAGATAAAAAAGAAATTAATAATATTTGTTGCCCATATATAGGGAGAGTGTGAGTAGTAGACAAAAATAGAAGGGTACAATTTAATGTAATATTTTTACAACTCCTGGGTTTTGAACCACGTGAAATTTTTTGTTAAAAATAAATTAAGTTTTAAAAGCTGCAGGATCTGAAAGGTGGCAGAGTTCTTCCACGAGCTTTCAGTAAAATATTCTTGTGAAACATTTTAACAGGGAGAGCAGCGCTAAGAGCAATGACAGGAGGTCAGAGAGAGATTTACTCCTCCCTGATGAGACACCAGTGCTCGGCATGTTACCAACACTCAAAACAAAAATAACAAATCAAACAGAAAAAAGACAGACAGCAGCAAGGACCCTAAACATTACAAATGATGAATGATCTCATTAAAACGAACACATGGCACACTTACAAAAAGACATCTGGTGGTGGATTTTCTGTCAAAAAGTGGTATGTTCACCACTTGGAGGGATATAAACCTATTTTAGGTCTAGAAAGAAACTTCCAGCCAACTTAAATGCCAGAATTTTATTATTGGAGGTGTTGGCATGAGGTGAGGAATAGGCAAGGAATATGAGAAAGCTGATTAAAATACCCTTCAATCTGTGAATGAGACAGACGTCTTGGGGCTTTTTCTTTGCAAGGCTATTCAAGCAGAAAATAAGTTGAAGTCATGTCACAAACAGGTGTCCCAGTGTGAGTTAGTTAACATGCAATTGGCCCTATGACACTGGCGGATTTGGCTACTGGCTTGATAAGAGATTGGGGGGTGGAAAATACTTACATTTGATTTTTCAACCAATTTACAGACTATAAAATGTGGCTATAAGATTTTAAAAACAGACAAAACCATTTCATAACAGCCTAGTCATTTTAGAAAACACTGTTTTTCCCCCAGCAAAAGAAGATACTTTATATACATGAATATAGTTTTTCATTTTAGGTAAAATATTTTTTAGTTTTATTTAAGATAAACCGAGCTCAATAATTTCATCAAGTTATGATTTCTTGCATAGGGCTAACTGAAATAATATATGTACAGGCATACCTCATTTTACTGCCTTTCGCTTTGTTGTACATAGCAGATACTTTTTTTTTTTTTTTGGACACAGTTTTACTCTGTCGCCTGGGTGGGGTGCAGTGGCACGTGATCTCAGCTCACTGCAACCTCTGCCTCCCAGGTTCAAGGGATCCTCGTGCCTCAGCCTCCCGAGTAGCTGGGATTATAGGCGTGCACCACCACACCTGGCTAATTTTTGTAGTATTAGTAGAGATGGGGTTTCATCATGTCGGCTAGGCTGGTCTCGAACTCCCGACCTCAAGTGATCTGCCCGCCTCAGCCTCCCAAAGTGCTGGGATTACAGATGTGAGCCACCCCATGCCTGGCCAGATATCGTGTTTTTACAAATTGAAGGTTTGCAGCAACCCTGAGTTCGGCAAATCTATTGGTGCCATTTTTCCTAGAGTATGTGCTCACTTTGTATCTTTCTGTCACATTTTGGTAATTCTCACAATATTCCATTTTTTTTTTATTAAATCTGTTATGGAGATCTGTGAGGAGTGATCTTTGATGTTACTATTGTCATTGCTTTGGGGTGCTCATGACAGTGTCCATATAAGACAACAAACCTAATTGATAAATGCGTGTGTTCTGACTGCTCCGCTCACTAGCCATTCCCCCATCTCTCTCCCTCTCCTGGGGCCTCCCTATTCCGTGAGACACAATGATAATTTAATTAGGCCAATTAATAACCCCACAATGGCCTTTATGTGTTCAAGTGGAAGGAAGAGTCATAAGTCTCTCACTTTAAATCAAAAGCGAGAAATGATTAAGTTTGGTGAGGAAGGATGTCAAAAGCAAAGATGGGCTGAAAGCTAGGCTCCTTGCACCAAACAGCCAAGTTGTGAATGCAAAGGACAAGCTCTTAAAGGAAATTAAAAGTGCTACTCCAGTGAACATGAATGATAAGAAGGCACAACAGCCTTAATTCCTGGTATAAAGTTTTAGTGGTCTGGATAGAAGATCAAACCAGCCACAACATTCCCTTAAACCAAAACCTAATCCTAAGCAGGGCTCAAACTCTTCAATTCTATGAAGGCTGAAAAAGGTGAAGAAGCTGCAGGAGGAAAGTTTGAAGCTAACAGAGATAGGTTCATTAGGTTTAAGAAAAAAAGTTGTCATCGCTCGATAAAAGTGCAAGGTGAAGCAGCAAGTGCTGAATGTAGAAGCTGCAGTAAATTATCAAGAAGATGTAGCTAACTGATGAAGGTAGCTACATTAAACAACATATTTTCAATGTAGATGAAACAATTTAATATTGGAAGAAGATACCATCTGGGACTTTCATAGCTAGAGAGAAATCAGTGCTTGGCTTCAAAGCTTCAAAGGACAGGGTGACTCTCTTGTTAGGGGCTAATGTGGGTGATGAAGTTGAAGTCAATGCTAATTTACCATTCTGAAAATCTTAGGGCCCTTAAGAATTATGTTAACTCTACTCTGTCTGTGCTCTATAAATGGAACAACAAAGACTGGATGGCGGCACATCTGTTTACAGCAAAAAAGATTCCTTTCAAAATATTACCACTCATTGACAATGCATTTGGTCACCCAAAAGCTCGATGGTAATATACAAGATTAATGTTGTTTTCATGCCTGCTAACACAACATCTATTGTACAGCCCCATGGACCAAGGAATAATTTTTACTTGCAAGTCATATTTAAGAACTACATTTTGTAAGGCTATAACTGTCATAGACAGTGATTCCTCTGATGGGTTTGGGCAAAGCACATTGAAAACCTTCTGGAAAGGATTCATCATTCTAGATGCCATTAAGAACACTGGTGATTCATGAAAGGAGGTCAAAATGCAACATCAACAGGAGTTTGAAAGAAGTTGATTCCAACCCTCATGGATGACTTTGAGGGGATCAAGACTTCAGTGGAGGAAATAACTGCTGATGTGGTGGAAACAGTCAACAGAATAAGAAGTGGAGCCTGAAGATGTGCCTGAATTACTGCAATCTCATGAGAAAACTTGAACTAATGAGGAGTTGTTTCTTATGGATGAGCAAGGAAAGTAGTTTACTGACATGGAATCAACTCCTGGTGATGATGCTGTGCACATTATTGACATGACAACAAAAGATTTCAAAAATTATATAAATCTAGTTGATAAAGCAGCAGGAGGGTTTGAGAAGATTGACTCCAATTTTGAAAGAAGTTCTACTGTGGGTAATGTGCTATCAAACAGCACTGTATGCTACAATGTATTCTGATTTTTCAGAAAGGGCCAAAGCCACCCTAACCTTTAGCAGCCACCACCTTGATCAGTCAGCAGCCATTAATGTCGGATCAAGACACTTCACCAGCAAAAAGATTACAACTCACTGATGGCTCAGAGGATCACTAGCATTTTGTAGCAATAAAGTATTTTTATTCTTATTTTTTTTTGAGACATAGTCTCACTCAGTTGCCCAGGATGGAGTGCAAAATGGTGTAATCACACCACATGGCAGCCTTGACCTCCCAGGCTCAAGCAATCCTCCTACCTCAGCCTCCTGAGTAGCTGGGTCTACAGGCATGAGCCACCATGCCAGGTTAATTTTTTTAAAAACTATTTTTTGCAGAGATAGGATCTCACTACATTGCCCACTCTAGTCTCAAACTCCTAGGAAGAAAGTATTTTTTAATTAAAGTATGTATTTTTTTGATGTAATGCTATTGCACATTTAATAGACTATAATATACATAAAGATAATTAATTTTGTATGCATTAGGAAACAAAAAAATTTGTATGACTTGCTTTATTGCAATATTTGTTTCATTGCAGTGGTTTGGAATCCAACCCGCAATATCTCTGAGGTATGCCTATAAATCACTTAACAAAGTTTCTCTATATGTATTGGATTATATTGTGTAAAATATACTCATATAATACTTTGAAAAATTCATAAGCCATGCTTATATCCAATTCATTGTTTTACCCCATAATTGTAATGTCTGGTCAAATATTAGCAGCTAAAGATAAACTGGCTCTAATCTGGGCATCTATAATTCATCCTCCCATCCTAGGATTTCATTAAATTTGGGGTAAGATTTAACCATTCAGAAGAATTTGGCCGATGAGGTTTAAACCAAAATCCCATGTAAGTGAGAATCATTTAAACATTTAGAAAATCACAAATTGGCAAAATACTACTTTTAAACAGCATAGCTATTTATACTGATGGGGGGAAAAATGTTTTCTTTTCTCTAGGAAAACTTTAGAAATATTCTGGGAAATGAAAGATCAAAGAAGTCAATTTACTTCTTCAGTATAACAGATTGGAAGGCAAAGATGAATAATTTAACATTTAAGTTTTTCACAGTAAAATGCCGGGATTATAAGGCATGAGACACCGTGCCTGGTGAATTGTGCAGAATTACACATTAAAGTAATAACAGGCAAGGCACAATGGCTCATGCATGTAATCTCAGTGCGTTGGGAAGGTAAGGTGGCAGGATCACTTGAGGCCAGGAGTTTCAGACCAACCTGGGCAGCATAGCAAGACCCCATCTCCACAAAAATAAAAATAAAAAAATCAGCCAACCATGGTGGTGAACACCTGTAGTCCTAGCTACTTGAGATGCTAAGGCAGGAGGAACACTTGAGCCCAGGAGCTAAAGAGCTATGATCACCCCACTACACTCCAGCCTGGGCAGCAGAGTGAGACCGTGTCTCTCTAGGAAGAAGAAAAAAAAAAAGTGGCCAGGCACGGTGGCTCACGCCTGTAATCCCAGCACTTTGGGAGGCCGAGGCAGGCAGATCATGAGGTCAGGAGATCGAAACCATCCTGGCTAACACGGTGAAACCCCGTCTCTACTAAAAATACAAAAAAATTAGCCGGGCGTGGTGGCGGGCGCCTATAGTCCCAGCTACTCAGGAGGCTGAGGCAGGAGAATGGCGTGAACCCGGAAGGCGGAGCTTGCAGTGAGCTGAGATCATGCCACCGTACTCCAGCCTGGGCGACAGAGTGAGACTCCGTCTCAAAAAAAAAAAAAAAAAAAAAATAATAATAATAATAATAATAACAAAGGCTATTATTAAAATTTTAAAAATAAGGATAAAAATTGTTTATCGTGATGCTAGTTAGGTAGAAATGGGAGTTAAAATATATAATACATTAATATAGAAAAAACAAACCTGCTTGTGTTATACATTTTTTAAAATATCAATATTTAATTCAACACTGTTGTCATTTCATCTGTTTAAGAAAATTATACCCCTGAAATTCTTTTCTCTTGCTGCTTTTAGAAAAAAAAAGTTTCACATCAAGCATTTATGGGGGATTGGAGTGGGAAGGAAACAATAAATGAACCTCATTAGTAATTAAAATCAGATCCCATGTGTATAGAACTTCGTGACTATACACACGGGAACCTGCTTCCTCGCTCACACCAGCTTCATCTGGATTAAAAAGCCCCCCAGTAGCCACAGATTTACCAAGATTTCTGTTTTAAAGCAAAAACTATCTTTAAAACAAAGGAGTTCTATTTCTTGAAACCTGAAGAACTAAAGACTAGCTTTTAGTATGTTATAACTCCATCTACTCATTCCTAGCATCGTAAAGATCTTCCCTAGGATGCAGTTCATCTTCTTTGCCATGATGCCTTGCTCATTAGGGGTGTTACAGAGCTCCCTGAGCAATGAGGCTTAGAGATCATCATATGCTCAGAAACTCACTACCTGGAACACAAAGGTTTCCAGTAATACATGCTAAACAAGGGATGAAAGCAGTACAGCAGTCTAGGGTCAGAATACTGAAGATACACACACACACACACACACACACACACACACACACAGAGATGTATCTGATGCCTGCAGAAAGCCATTCAGAGCATGGGTAGTCACAAAACTATAGACTCTTCTGGTGCATCTTCCCATCAGATGCTTGTATAGTATCCCTGCATAGTACCCTCTGAGACAGTGGTCCCAGTGTTTGAGAAGTCACTTCTCCCTCTGCCCTTCTACCTTGCTTGCTCTCATCTCCTGGCCTTCATGTGTGCTGTTTACTATGCCTGGAACACATTTTCCATCCACTATTTTGCCTCAGCATTTGGGTCTCAGCTTCGAAGTTACTTCTGGGAAGCTGTGCATGGTCCCTTTGGTGGCTTCCACAGCACCCTGCACCCACTGGCCACGGCCCTTCTAACACGGTGCTGGATGACATGCTCCTACACTGTCCTCCTTACTCTCTTGAGTTCTGTGAAGGCAGAGATCATGTTCATCTCATTCACCATCGTACCGACAGTGAGAAAGGCAGTAAGAGTAGCACTTAAAACATGGCTTCTGTGAGGACTCAATGAATATTAATGCACATAAAGTCAGAACAGCATTTAGCACAGAGTAAGTATGGAATAAACGTTAGCAGTATTAATCATAGTAGCACCCATTATATGGAAGACATTTTATTTTTTTTAATTTAATTTTTTTTTTGAGAGGAGTCTCACTCACTGTCGCCAGGCTGGAGTGCAGTGGCATGATCTTGGCTCACTGTGACCTCTGTCTCCTGAGTCCAAGCAATTCTCCTGCCTCAGCTTCTCGAGTAGCTGGGATTACAAGCACATGCCACCACGCCTGGCTAATTTTTGTATTTTTAGTAGAGATGGGGTTTCACCATGTTGGCCAGGATGGTCTCAATCTCTTGACATCGTGATCCACCCGCCTCACCCTCCCAAAGTGCTGGGATTACAGGCGTGAGCTACTGCGCCTGGCCACGGAAGACATTTTAAATAACTTGCATGAATAAAATGATTCTCCCAACTGATCCTAGTTCCTCTGACAGCCAGCATCTCTCCATTCACTAGGCTTTGTGATGTCTCCATATGGATATTATGTTCTGTCAAGTCTTCTTCAAAATCCCAAGCTCCTCCACTGTTTCTTCTGTATTAAGGTTTGTAGACACCTCACTCACATCCTGACCTACCTCAAGATCAACTTTTATTGTCTATCATTTGTACAAAGTTAAAAATTAGGTCTAATTTTAAGTCCTTTTATCATCACAGGCAGCTACTTTATTAAGGTTTGTTGAACCGTGCTTCAGTTTTTCTATCTACACGAGTGAGGCAGTGAAGGGTAATACTACCAAACTCACAAGAACATCACAAGGATTAAAGTACTAACATAAACAAAGGATGAGATACCCAGGGTTTATATATAAGGATAGGCCTTTCGGTGAACATGATGTAGGTTGTCTGGGCTTAGAGCTGCTGCAGAAGGCTTTGGATCTTTCTTCCCCCAAGTACATAAATTATATTAGAAATATTTTAAAAATTAATGAAAATAAAGCAGCATTCAATTTCAACCCCCAGCCCTCAGGTTCCCACTTCTGGAGAGCAGAATGAATATGAAGAGGCAGCTGTGTGTCCAGGAGCCCCAGGTGTGCATTAGCTGTGCACCATTCCTGTGCTGCTCCTGGCTCCTGATAACTCCATAATCGGCATCTTAAGGTTGATTCTATTCTCCTCTGTTTCTTCTTGAATAAAAATATGTTGGCCAGGTGCAGTGGCTCACGCCTGTAATCCCAGCACTTTGGGAGGCCGAGGTGGGTGGATCACGAGGTCAGGAGATGGAGACCATCCTGGCTAACACGGTGAAACCCCGTCTCTACTAAAAATACAAAAAATTAGCCGGGCGTGGTGGCGGGTGCCTGTAGTCCCAGCTACTAGAGAGGCTGAGGCAGGAGAATGGTGTGAACCTGGGAGGTGGAGCTTGCAGATTGCGCCACTGCACTCCAACCTGGGTGACAGAGCAAGACTCTATCTCAAAAAAAAAAAAAAAAGTTAAAGGCTTAGAAGACTCCAACTCTAATATTTATTAGGTTAAAAAAACTTAATCTCATTGATGGAGGCCCCAGTGTTACCCTAAGCTGAGGAGGCAGCAAAGGAGACATACCTAAAAAGACTACAAGAGATACTGTCTTGGGTCCCTAAATCTATGACAGGACTGACAGTACAAACATGGTCCTTGCCCTTAAGAAGTTCACAGTCTAGTGGGAGATAAACGTATACAGTAATTACAACACAGTGTCACTGTTGTAAGTGACAGAAAGATGCCAGAGTGGAGTGCTCATTGAATGAACATAGAGAAGAAAGAATGACTTCGATTGGAAAAAGCATTTCAGAATAGTAGATAGACATTTGAGTTAGGTCTTAAGGAGAAGCAGGCATTTTCTAGGTAGCGAAGAGGGGAAAGGGACATTTCAGGTAGGTGCAGAGGCCCTGGACATTCAGGAATGAAGGAAGTGTAGGCAACACCAGCACACATAGGGCAGGGATGAATGGTGAATGAAGAGCCTGGAGAGGTCAGAACTGGGTCAGATTGTGAACAGCTGCCCTGTCATGCTAAGGGGTTTACACTTTCCACCTACAAGTATCAAGAAGTCATGAAAAGGGAAGTAACATTAGAGGGTTTGTCATGGTCCAGGCAAGAGATGTCAAACCAATGCGTGAGGCAAGGTAAGGTAGACACAGTGAGAACACGAGGGAGGCTCTGCATTTTGGAGATAACTGAAGAGCATCAGGGGACCAAGATGCAAGACAGATGGTGAGAAACCAGACCTACAATAGCTAAACCACAGATTCTTTAATTCATTTAACAATGATCAAATATCTACGGAGTCCCCATTACACTGGGATATAACAGTGAATTAGAGAGAAAAGGTCTCTGCCCTCAATGAGATTATATTCTTGTGGCAGACATCAATGAATAAGAAAAGAGACCAACAAAACAACTACAGACCATGATGGCTGCTAAAAGGGAGATAATAGGGCAACGCGATTAAAATGAAAACAGCAGGCTGGGCACAGTGGCTCACGCCTGTAATCCCAGCACTTTGGGAGGCCGAGGCGGGCGGACCACGAGGTCAGGAGATCAAGACCATCCTGGCTAACATGGTGAAACCCCGTCTCTACTAAAAATACAAAAAATTAGCCGGACGTGGTGGCGGGCGCCTGTAGTCCCAGCTACTCTGGAGGCTGAAGCAGGAGAATGGTGTGAACCCGGGAGGTGGAACTTGCAGTGAGCTGATATTGCGCCACTGCACTCCAGCTTAGACGACAGAGCAAGACTCCGTCTCAAAAAAAAAAAAAAGGGCAGTATGTGCTGAATATATAAAGGTGTCTGGGGTGGCCTGAGGAGATGTCCTTTCAGCTGAGGTATGAAGGGTGTGAGTGAAAAAATCATACTTGAAAGGGTCAAGGAAGACAACACTTATAAGAAGCGTTTAATATGTCAAGAAACTAAGCACCGCAGGTACAGCCACACTTGAGAAGAGTGCAAAGATCATTATAATCAGATAATCAGAAATGACAACCCACACCTGTAGAGCCTACTGCTGAAGAAATCCAAGATGAGTTAACTGTATTAGACATCTTATCTCTCAAAGATCAAAATGTTTGAAATATTCTACCTTAATTTGGGTGATGTTTATGTGTATGAATGACACAAGAAAGTGCAAGAGGAAGAGAAAATTTTCATCACTTTGAGTACATAATCTAGAGAACAGAGATTAGGACATTAAAAACCTATTTTACATGCCTTATAAAGTTCTTGCTGCAATATCATGAACACATGCTATACAATGCACAATTATTTTCACTGTTCATTCACTGATGACTAATGTTACTGTATTACGAATTTATTCTGTACAAGGATTTTCTACCAGTAGATTGTGAAAATAATTTTATTTTTAGCCTATACTGACATCAATATAGTAGTAATGTCAGTATTGAATGTTACAGCTAGCTTACCAATTTTAAAAAGTTAAATCTGTGTTTTTAAAAGGCCTACAGCATCCTCAATTTTGATTAATTTATCTACAGCATTGAACTGCTTTTCTGTAAAATCTATCTCAAATTTAAGATATAAAATAAAATAGTATACAATAATTTCATAGAAAATTCTACCAGGAATGCACTTACTTATCTATATACACTTTGCCTACAACGTAAGACTAATAACAAAAATGAGGAAAAGCTTGTTGAATAAATAGAACAAAAAATTTAGTCACGCAAATTTTATTTTCTGCATAAAATTTTAAGACTAGACGGAAGCTTAACATGTCTTGCCTCCTCCCCGATTTTTATGTTTTTAGAGACAGGGTCTCACTCTATTACCAAGGCTGGATGGAGCACAGTGGTGAGATCATAGTTCACTGCAGCCTTAAACTCCCGGGCTCAAAAGATCTTCCTGTCTCCGCCTCCCAAGCAGCTAGGATTCCAGGATTCTATGATCTTGCTATGCTTCTCAGGCTGGTCTCAAAACACCTGGTCTCGGCCTCTCAAAGTGCTGGGATTACAGAAGTGAGCCACTGAGCGCCAGGCCTTCCTCCCCATTTTTAAAGATGAGTAAACAGAAGTCTTGCAAATGCTATTTGATTTTAAGAAGTTACATGAATAATGAATGGTATGATTCACCAATAAAGGGGCTTTTACAAAGGTCAGTGGTAATATAAATATTTCAAATTATGAAATAAATAAAAAATGAGTTATTTGCTTTAAAGAAAGCTTTCAAAAAATTCTTTTAAAACAGTGTACTCTTATGATACATCAAGTTTCTACTATAATATCATTATACCCCTACTATGAAACAGTGTATTACTGGAGAATTTGGTGAGCATACTGCACACTCTCAACGTGGAGGCAATGATGGCTAGAGCATGCTAGGAACGTATCAGAAAAAAATCAACTGACTTTCTAGTCTTAAAATTATTTTATCTCAGTCTTTGACACTTCTATGATACTCTATCTTTTCTCATTTCACATCTCCCTCTTTATTTATTTGTTTATTTTATAGATAGGGTCTTGCCTTGTTGGCCAGGCTGGTCTTGAACTCCTGGCTTCAAGTGATCCTCCTGCCTTGGGCTCCCAGAGTGCTGTGATTACAGGCATGAGCCACTGTGCCTGGCCTCCCTCTTATTTCATACCTCAACTTTACATGGTACCCCCCCATCCCATTTATGTGCATATGCAGGACCATCATCCCCTAACACCAGCATGTGCATGCCCACACATTCTCTCATAAACTCTCTTCTCTCCAAAGCCAAATCTTAGTCTTTCTGACTCACATATTCTCTCTCCAGAACTGCTCAGAAACCTACATCAAAGTATCTACCTCCATTTTCTTCAGAACTCTCTCTTTAGTTTCATCTAATAATGCATTTTATGTGACACTCTTAGAGGAAAATAGCAATAACTTCTATGTAGTGGAACACCTTTGCCGGACTGAAGGGTATGATGAGGATGAAAATGCTGTTATCAGCAGCACTGAGAACTTACTTCTATGTGAATCTCTAATCTCTCTAAGCCTCAGTTTACTAATTTGCAAAGAGTCACAGGATTGTTACAAGGATCAAATGGAGTAAGGAAGAGAAGGCATTTTATAAAGGAGCTGTATGAATATGACAGTAAAGTAGCAGGGGTTAAAGTTTTAGGTAATGATAAATAATTTTATTTAACAATAACAAAACTGGGGACTGATGATCAAAAAATTACCTGGACCACAATAGATTAAAGGATACTACCATTAATATAATTTCATTTTCTCCAATAAAAAATTTTACAATTGAAACTGCCCCCTCTGCACAGCACAGGCTCACCAGCTACCCCTGCAGTATGGCTCTGGAATATGGTGGTGTCACTGGCAGCAGGGCAGGGTGGCTCTTCTTTCATACAACCTGATGCACTCGATGGATTGCTTAGACAGTGCCTCCAGCTATACTTAACTTACAAGGATATCAAATTTCTTAGGAGACACAGTAATGTGTACTTATTTTCAAGGATATCACATTGCTTAAGAGACAAAGTAACAGCAGGCCTACCCAAATCTTTATCATTAAAAGAATGACCTTAAAGGAGTTCATTGGTTGTTTAAGAAGAAAATCATCACATCATGAAAGGGATTAGAATATAAACAAATTTGCTTTCTAAATAAATAGATGATGAACCAGATACTGTGCTTTATAAAGTAGCCAGGTTCAGTAAATGCACTTAACACTTTACAGAACAAGTATAACATTGGAAAACAGATGGTAGATTTTATATTTTAATAAATTGCCAATTTGCCATATAAGAAATTTAGTATAATTAAAGTACTTTTGGACTATCAAATCAGACACATTATCAGTAACTGAGCTCAAGTGTTCTGACACTATGCTTCCACCCCAATTTATATGCATTCATGCACACACATATACACAGATATAAGGTAGTTTGAAAAATTGTTGATACTCAATTTTTAATTTCGTTGAATCAGTCTATTGTTTCAAAAATTCCACTTGGTACACACTAACTCATAGGTATAAAGAATGATTCTTAAAATATATTAAGTATTTTGGGATCTTCCGAAAAAAGTCAAATTAACAAATAGTATTTATTAGTGTGAAAACAGTATTTTTGAGAAAAGGCTGAAACCATTTACATACATAAACTAACATGTATAAAAATGTTCTATCATTTCAAGAAAACCTTATACATTGCAGAGGTGAAAGAAACTTACATTCCTGAAACCTGAGTGTTGATAGGCAATTTATGTGCTTTCTTTGTCTAGGAAGTCACTCAAGATGAGAGAAGTGATGACAGGAGCTTCAAAGGAAGAAGGGTGTTTCAACAAGGATGAAGGCTGATTACTGGCAGGCAGCAGAGGAGAGACAGAATATTAGCAAACCCACCTCAATCGAAACAGGGAGATGTAGAGGAGAGATCGGCTTCCCGCAGGAGGAAAGCAAGAGAAAGCACTACCCTTAGGGGAACAAGTGTTGTCAGAAGAGCCTGAGGGGACTCTTTTCAAAATGGAGTGCAGTTTCCAGAGAAGACTGGGAAAGGGTGAGATGGAGATCAACGGAGTAGAAACAGAGGAGAAGGAGATATGAAAACAGGATGGAACTAATGCCTATAAAGTCCTAGTCTTGGGGTGGTGACAGAGTGAGAGATGTGGCTGGAGCTTCAACCAGTTGTGAGGGCCCAACCTCGGTCAGCCTGGCCAGTTTCTGCAGGCACTGCCACACAGCAGTTTTACTCCACCTGTCAGCTTTTTCTTTAAATAAACTTTAATAATGTTTGAGCCTCTTTTTGAAAGTGTGTTTGCATATCTTGCAAAGCAAAATTTTAATCAAGAGCAAAAAATTTTTTTTTACATCAGATGAGTAATGTGCTGACATAACAAGGTTTAGAAAAAGGAACATCTCGCACACAAGTGTGAATATCCAATCATCACGCTTAGGAACTGCAAAAGGATCAAGAGCAAACATTTTTTAAATGCTCACTGCAGTAGAGTAGTAAAAATACTAATATTGTTCTATTTAAGCTCAGAAATAGTTTCTAAGAATGCCAGTGTTGGAAGGACTTTAAGAGCTCATTTAATTTCCTCTATTAACAAATTTGCTTTCTAAATAAATAGATGATGAACCAGGCACTGTGCTTTATAAAGTAGCCAGGTTCATACATGTACACCCTAAAAATAATGCTCTGGGGAAGGCAATCTCAGTTTTAACAAGCTGGGAAAGGTAACGACAGCCTTAAAAAGTAATCTTTTCTACTATTCGAGAAAACCTAGTTGAGGATGTGCCTTTGGATGTTCACTTTGAAGCTTTTAATCAGATCCCACTTCCTCTGGTTCTGCTCAATGAGAACAGCTAATCCATTACACACACACACACACACACACACACACACACACACAACTTATTTATTCTTCACAGAGGGTTCACCTTTTTTCCACTCTGTTGACAACTTTCCTCCTTGATCCAATTTTATAAAATTAAAAAAAGAAAAAGGCAAAGCTTTTCATTGCCCTATCATAAAAAGACAGACTATAAGCAGTACCCTAGCTAGAGCAGAGGAAGGATGCTTAGAGCTCTTATTCATATATACACAATGGATCTATTTAAGGGTGATTTATTAAGGGTGATCTGCCTGAGACATCCATCACCTACTTACTACCAGGGTTAAGTACACCTTATTGGGCAAATAGTTTAGTTTTTCCTTTTTTGCTTACATATCCAGTATGTGTTCTTCCCCAAACTGTGGGTCATGGTAAGTTTTAGCCTAGTGCTTCTGATAAACCCTGTATGTTAGTTGTAAAAGAAATGATACTGTGACAGTTAATTTTAGGTGTCGACTTGACTGAATTAAAGAATACCTAGAGAACTGGCAAAGCATTATTTTTAGGTATATATTTAGATGAATGTGTTACCAGAGGATACTAGTGTGTGAGTCTGAGTGGACTAAGTGGTGCCCTCAGTTTAGGTGGGCACCATCCATTTGGCTGGGGCCCTGGATAGAATAAAACAGAGGAAGGAAAATTGGTCTCTCTCTCTCTCCTGGTGCTGGGATATACTTTTCTTCTCCTACCCTTGGTCTTTGGACTTGGACTGAGCTGTGCTGCTGGAATAACAGGGTCTCCAGCTTGCAGACACCCTGTCATGGGACTTCTCAGCCTCCATAATGACATGAGCCAATTCCCCTAATAAGTCCCCTCTCATATATCTTGAACTCCTGGCCTCAAGTGATCCTCCTGTCTGAGCCTCCCAAGTAGCTGGGATTACAGGCATGAGCCTGCACCTGGCCCCCTTTCATATACCTATATGTCTATATATCCCATTGGCTCTGTCTCTCTGGATAACCCTGACTAATATATACCCATTACCTAACATGTACTGAGCTCTCACCTTCTGCCAGATGCTGTGCTATTTTATATAAGATCTCACTGAATCTTCACAACCACCTATGTAACACATGGTGACTCACCTTTTAAATAAATAATAAATAAAACAGTTAAATGATCAGATGTGAGTGTCACCTCTTTTCTGAGCCTTTATCCCTTCCCGGAAGAGGTCCTAACATGTTTCAGAATGGACAGAAGAGAAGAGCGACAGAAAGGGGGTGGAAAGCAAGTCACATGAGAATGGACTGAACTAGTTCAGTAGCATTTATTTCCATTTGCAAGGAATCTGTATGAAAATCTGTTTCTTAAATGGTTCACACTGTTGATATTTCAATACAATAGATTTAATTTTACCTAAGTTGCTTCTTTCCTAAATGACTTTCAGCACTCATCTAAAGGATAGTAATAAATCTTTTAAAACAATACAGCGGACAATATTGAAAATTTAGGTTTCTCTTCCAACAAATATCAAATGCATGCCAATCAAACAATGCCAATAAATATCAAAGCAGTAGTACTCACCTCTTTCGCACTCTTAATTTTGGTCAGAAATGTATGGAGCTCCATTGTTTCTGCAAACAGTGCACGACATACTGCCTGATAATGATTTGGTGCATCTGATTCAGTAGGGAGATGAGCAGCACACAACTATAGAAGGGGAAAATAAAATAATGGTGCTTGGTTACTATTTGGGTTTTTTTTGTACTTAAAAACAGACACGAGCAGAGTGCAGTGGTTCACGCCTGTAATCCCAGCACTTTGGGAGGCCAACGCAGGCAGATCATGAGGTCGAGAGTTCAAGACCAGCCTGACCAACATGGTGAAACCCTGTCTCTACTAAAAATACAAAAATTAGTTGGGCGTGGTGGCACACACCTGTAATCCCAGCTACTCAGGAAGCTGAGGCAGGACAATCGCTTGAACCTGGGAGGCGGAGGTTGCAGTGAGTGGAGATCATGCCACTGTACTCTAGCATGGGTGACAGAGTGAGACTTCATCTAAAAATAACAATAAAAACCAAAAAAACAGACACACCCCCATATCTGTATTTTCATATCAGACAGCCAGGCAATTCCCATCATCCAGGGCTTAATGTACCACAAGACCATCAGTAAGGTCTACATAATTATACGGGAAAAGTGGTCCACTAACTAACAGAGACCCAACAGCACAGATGAGCTTACTAGAATTAGCTTCTATTTGAAAATGATAGGACATATGTAAAAGTTTTGGTTGGGAACAGAAAGAGAACCACCGTTTATTGTATACTGATGACGGATCCAGTTTTTTAACAGCTACCATTTATTAAGCAATTATCATGCCAGCTACAATATCTGACATGTCGTATATACAACATAATACCATTTACTCTTCAATGTACTGCTGAATTATCCTCATTTTAATGGAAAAAGAAACTGAGGCTAAGAGGAGTCACATGACTTGTCTGTCCATAGTCACATGGTTACCAAGAGGGAGAAGGAGAAGTCAAACACAGTCAGTCCTTACTGGGTTCTGAAGCCAGGCTCATTCCAATACATGTCGAATTTTGTAACGTAGTAAAAAAAAAAAAAAGAATGTCAGGAAAACATATGGACCTCAGGGAAGCTGCCTCATCAGTAGATGGGGAGTGGAGGAAAGAGGGCAGAGGGCAATGTAAGGCCACAGGTGCTGCCTACAGCCCTAATGTCCTTTACCATACATAGTCCATAATCCCCACCCAACTACTTGTGGGTAAAAGGTGCAACTTAGTATCATGCAAAGCAATTCAGAAAAATCAAACACCATTTAATTTATCAGATTGGAAAGACATCCTATTAAGAGTCCCATACACAGGAATAATTTTATCTTTCTATAAAATAATTTTGTATCCACGTACAATCATTACATTTTAAAGTACTTCATTTGCACTAACAAGCTGTAAGTTCTCTTAATTTCTTACTAGTCAGTAAACTTGACACTAATACAATAACTAAAAATACGCATCTTATTTTAATAATTTCTATCAATTAAAGAATAAATGACATCTTTGTAGTTTGTAATAGCCTTAATAATGTGGCTTTCTGTTTTCACGTATAGTAACCATCTTACACAATCTAATAGATCACTAGCTTTTACAAAATACATTCTCAAGAAAATATCTCTAGTTTGAATAGGAAACCTTCTTCACAGTAGCAAAAAAAGCTAAAAGCTGCTTTATCCAGAAGCATTAAAAGCAGAAATCTCACAAGTTTATTACTCACAGAGCCACTAGTAAACAGAGAGTATATTTTGTGCTCAATTATTTTTATATTTAGAAAACATCTTGCAATACCGAATTGTCATTCAAGGTAATGAAAGACAACAACTGAGGCTTTACCTTATGTAACTTAACCCTAATCTTACATTCCAGTCACATAAAGAAATGGCATAAAGCCACTGGGTTTCAAAGTTTTCAACTGCTATCCACAGTAAGAAATAAATTTATATATATTCACATATTATACACAAACACATGCATATGTGCCTATTATACATACAAAAGCTTCACAAAACAAAACTTGCACATTCAATTGAATTCACAACCCATTCACTGGTTGTAAACTGCAACTTTAAAAACACTGGTGTAAAGGTAATAGCTAGGTCTAAAAAATGTTTTTTTAAATGCATATGACAATCTTACACATAAAAAATCTAAAGGAATACTACTAGAGTTCATAAGCAATTTCAGCAGTTGCAGAATACATGATTAACAAACAAAATCAGTTGTATTTCTACACATGGCCAGAGAACAATTGGATAATGAGGTCAAGAAAATCACTCCATTTACAATTGCATCAAAAATGCTAAGAAATAAATTTAACCAAGGAGGTGTAAGACTTATACACTGAAGAGTACAAAATATTGTAAAAGAAATTAAAGAAGACCTAAATAAACAGAAAGACATCTTGTACTCATACATTGGAAGACAATATAGTTAAGGCAACAACATTACCCAAAGTGATGAACAGATTGAATGCAATCCCTAACAAAATCCCAACAGCCTTTCTTTAAGAAATAGAAAGACTGATCCTAAAATTCATATGGAATTGCAAGGGGCCCCTTGCAACAACCCAATTTAGAGATCAGGAAACTGAGATTTAGACCACGTAAGTAATTTGCCCAAGGATACACAGCTAGTCAATGGCATAAATGGAACCGAAACCAGGTAGTCTCTCTGGAGCCCAAGTTCTTTTCCATTCTACTCTAAAATAAATGTAATTCCCTTTATATTAAAGGGAATAATGTTCTTAAAGTACTTAAAGCATAGAGCATGGTATACAGTAAGCATGCAACAAAATCATTTTTATAGTTCCAAAAAAAGAGACATCAGGGGTTAGGGGGACAAAATTAGGTTATATGACCTTGGACAAGTTATTTAACATTGCTGGGTTTCCATTTATCTCTAAAAAGAGAGGACTGGTTTATGTAACCTCTTATATAAATCTGTCTCTCCTCTTTGCTCTACATATAAACTTCTAAATTAAACTGAAATACTGAGGTTTTTGAGGGAGCAGTCTTGGATCTTTGGGTATCCTCTGCTTACTGTAGCTGCCCTTGTCTAGTCTAATGGCTTTAAATGCCACCTATAGGCTGGTAACTCCTCAACCCCTATTCCAGGCCAGCCCTTTATGTTAACCACTTATGGCTATGTACTTAGCATTTCCACTCAGAAGTCACAAAGACAGCTCAAACAACTCTGAGAGTCATCCTTTTTTCCCCCCTTAATATAGG
Organism: Homo sapiens; assembly: GCF_000001405.40. Classification (NCBI taxonomy): domain Eukaryota; kingdom Metazoa; phylum Chordata; class Mammalia; order Primates; family Hominidae; genus Homo; species Homo sapiens. The sequence goes on from NC_000018.10 coordinate 12,538,704, forward strand.
GTCTTGCTATGTTGCCCAAGCTGGTCTTGAACTCTTGGGCTCAGGCAATGATCCTGCCTCAGCCTCCTGAATAGCTGGGATTACAGGTGTGTGGCACCATGCCCAGCTGAGAGTCATCCTTGATTATTCTTTATTCCCATACCACTCATATCCAATCCATCAGTAAGTCTTGTTGTTTCTACCTTCAAAATATACCACCTGACAGTTCTCTACTTTTCTCCATCTCCTCCACCATCATCATGGTCACAGCTACCATTTTCTTTCATTAGAGGACTCCTAACTTCCTCTCTCACTAGTCTACATGGTTCTTCTTCACCTGACAGGCAAAATCTTTTATAAATATAATTTGGATTATGTTCATCCCCTGCTTAAAAGCATCCAATCATTCATTCAAACAATATTCACCAAATGCCAACTACGTACCAGGCACTGTGGCAGAAAGAAACACAGTATTTGATATGGTTTGGCTGTGTCCCCACCCAAATCTCATCTTGAATTCCCATGTGTTGTGGGAGGGACCTGGTGGGAGGTAACTGAATCATGGGGGCAGGTCTTCCCCTTGCTGTTCTCATGACAGTGAGTAAGTCTCATGAGATCTGATGGTTTTATAAGGAGGAGTTTCCCTGCACAAGCTCTTTTTTGGCCTGCTGCCAGCGATGTAAGACATGACTTGCTCCTCCTTGACTTCCGCCATGATTGTGAGGCCTCCTTAGCCACGTGGAACTGTGAGTCCATTAAACCTATTTTTCTTCCCAGTTTTAGGTTATGTCTTTATCAGCAGTATGAAAAAGGACTAATACAGTATTGAACAAGTCAACATCCCGTTCCTCTCAAAAATAGTAATGGGTATCTCAGACCCTTAAACATACACATACACACACACGCACACACACACACACACACACACACACGTTGGGAATAACAGCTACTATTAAGAAAAATAGGCCAAGTGTGGTGGCTCACACCTGTAATCTCAGCACTTTGGGAGGCTGAGGTGGATCACCTGAGGTCAGGAGTTTGAGACCAGCCTGACCAACATAGTGAAACCCCGTCTCTACTAAAAATACAAAAATTAGCTGGACATGGTGGCGAGTGCACCAAGTGCCTCAGCTACTTGGGAGGCTGAGGCAGGAGAATTGCTTGAACCCGGGAGGTGGAGGCTGCAGTGAGCCGAGATCACGCCACTGCACTCCAGCCTGGGCAACAGAGAGAGACTCTGTCTTAAAAAAAAAAAAAAAAGAAAAGAAAGAAAAAGAAAAAGAAAGCAGATGAGAGGTAGAAAATGAGGCCAGTGGTGGGGAGGGGCAATAATGTGGAAAGAGTGGTCAGTAGGTGGCACCAGAGCAGAGAGATCAATGAAGATTGGAGTGAGCCATGCACAGACCTAAGGAAAGAGTGTCCCAGGCATGGGAGGGCCAGTGGCTCCCACTGAACTTAAAACCCAAACTCTTCAGTGTTCCTCAAGTCCTTCGTCATCTAGCTCACACCTACCTCTCAAATCCCATTTGTGGCTTTTCCTTCCACTTTGTTTTGGTAATCCTAGACTTGTTTCTTTAAAACACACCAATCTTTTTGCTGATTCCTCACTCCTCCAGGTGTTGATTTCAATGTCACCTGCTCAGAACGTCTTCCCTGTTTGTCCTTTCTAGATGAACTACCCCCCTCTAATTTCTCTGTTACTTTTTTTTTGAAATGGGGTTTCACTCTTGTTGCCCAGACTGGAGCGAAGTGTTGCGATCTTGGCTCACTGCAACCTCCGCCTCCCAGGTTCAAGCGATTCTCCTGCCTCAGCCTCCCAAGTAGCTGGGATTACAGGCTTGCACCACTATGCCCGGCTATTTTTTGTATTTTTAGTAGAGACGGAGTTTCACCATGTTGACCAGGCTGGTCTCAAACTCCTGATCTCAGGTGATCTGTCCACCTCGGCCTCTCAAAATGCTGGGATTACAGGCGTGAGCCACTGCACCTGGCCTCTCTGTTACTTTTTAATCACTGCATTCTGCATTTTCTTCTTAGCAATTGTTAGGATTTAAATTACAGTAGTTCCTCCTTATCCACAGTTTCACTTTCCATGGCTTCAGTTATCTATGGTCAACTGCATCCAAAGATATTAAATGGAAAATTCCAGAAATAAATAAATCCTAAGCTTTAAATTATATGCTGTGCTGAGTTGCATGGTGAAATCTCACACCATCCTGCACTGTCCTGCCTGGGGTGTGAATCACCCCTTTGTGCAGCATATTTGCTCTCAGCCTCAAGCGATCTACCTGCCTTGGCCTCCCAAAGTGCTGGGATTATAGGTGTGAGCCACCAAGCCTGGTCTGCATACCACAAACTTTGATAGGTCACGCATTTGTTATTATTCAGTTTATTTCCACTGTGATTTCTTCTTTGACTCTTGGGGCATTTAAAAGTAGTTTCTTAATTTCCAAGTATATGTGGAAATAATAAAATCTTTTTGTTATTCATATCTGGCTTAATTCCACCATGGTAACAGAACATTTCCTATGTAATTATAACCCTTTGAAATTTGTTAAGACTTGCTTTAAGGCCTGGAATACGGAGAAATTTTTAATTGTTCCATGTATACCTGAAAAGAATGTGTACTCTGCAGTGGGTGGGTGGCATGTCCTATTAAGTCAGGTTTGTTATTCTCATTATCCAAATATTCTATATTTGTACTGATACTAAGAGAGGTATTTTAAACCTCCCTCTATGGTTGTACATTTGTCTACTTCCCCTTTTAGTTGTATTTGTTTGAATGTTGTTCAATGCTACTGTTACAGGCTATGTTACTAGGTGCACATAAATTTATGAATGCTATTTCTCCTTAGTAAATTGAACTTTTTATCAGTAAGCATCCTTTTTTATCTCTAGTAATGCTTTTTGCCTTTAGGTCCATTTTATATTAAAATAATGTCTGTGATACTTTTCTTTTGGTTAGAATGTTATATTTTTCCATTCTTTTACTCAAGCTTTCTATGTCCTATTTATAGTGTCTACTCAGTAAACAATGTATGATTGGATTTTGTATTTTTAATGCAGTCTAAAAATCTGTGTCTTTTAAAAATTAGAGTATTTTAGGCTAGTACAATCCACAGAAATACAGTGTGAGCCATGTATGTAGTTTTAAATTTTCTAGTAGCCACATCAAAAAAAAATAAAAAGAAACAAGTGAAATTAACTTTGATAATATATTTTAGTTAACCCAATACAATAATATATATTATTGTAATACTTCAAATTATAGCCAATACAAAAATTATTAATGAGGCTTTTTTTTTTTCTTTTGAGATGGAGTCTCGCTCTGCTGCCCAGGCTGGAGTGCACTGGCATGATCTCGGCTCACTGCAACCTCTGCTTCCCGGGTTCAAGTGATTCTCCTGCCCCAGCCTCCCGAGTAGCTGGGATTACAGGCATGCAGCACCATGCCTGGCTAACTTTTTTGTCTTTTTAGTAGAGACGGGGTTTCACCATGGTAGTCAGGTCTCGAACTCCTGACCTCAAATGATCTGCCCACCTCAGCCTCCCAAAGTGCTGGGATTACAGGCATGAGCCACCGCACGCAGCCAACAAGGCATTTTACATTCTTTTTTTGGTACTAAGTGTTTGGAATCCAGTATAGATTTTGTACTTTCAGTCCACGTCAATTTAGACTAACCACATTTCAAGTGATTAATAGTCACATGTGGCTAGTAACTACTGTATTGAGCAGTATAAATTTAGACCATTTACATTTAATGTAATTACCAATATATTTCAGTATCAAATTACCATCTTCTATTTGTTTTCCCATCTGTTCTATATTCCTTTTCAATTCTTTCCATCTCTTCTTTTGGATTACCAGTAATTTTCTTAGCTCCACCTGCCCCCTTCCCTATTGGCCTGATATTTACAAATTCTTTTATTTATTTTTAGTGGCTTTTCTAATAAAGGTTAGGCTTTAGTGGCTTTCCTAATAAAGGTTAGCACTAATAAATTAGTGCTTTAACCTCTTCCCAATGCCAAGGTCTTAGAACACTAACTCCACGCTACTGTTATACATTTTAATTCTAAATATATTCTAAATCATGTAAGACATTATTATTTTTTGCTGTTAATATTCATTTAGATTTATTTTCATGTTTATTTTTCTTTTTTTGAGGTGGAGTCTTGCTCCATCGCCCAGGCTGGAGTGCAGGGGCACAATCTTGGCTTACTGCAACCTCCGCCTCCCAGGTTCAAGCCATTCTCCTGCCTTAGCCTCACAAGTAGCTGGGATTTCAGGCATGCACCACCATGCCCAGCTAATTTTTTGTATTTTTAGTAGAGATGGGGTTTCACTATGTTGGCCAGGCTGGTCGTGAACTCCTGACCTCAAATGATCCGCCCGTCTCGGCCTCCCAAAGTGCTGGGATTACAGGCGTGAGCCACCATGTCTGGCCCATGTTTATTTTTCTTTGCTCTTCAAATATTCTGCATCTCCTAGTTTCTACCAGACATGGACTGCCTTCTGCCTGATGTATACTCTTTGGTATTGCCTTTAGTCAAGGTCTGCTGGTGACAAATTTTCTGTGTTTGTCAGATAAGATATTTTACCTTTTCTTAAAGAAACAAAACAAAAAAAGATCTCACTGTGTCACCCAGGCTTGAGTGCAACGGCACCATTACTGCCCACTGCAGCCTCAACCTCCTGGGCTCAAGTGATCCACCATGCCTAGCTGATATTTTACCTTTATTGTTGAGACATTATACTGGATAAATAATTCTAGATTTAATGTTAGAACTTTGAAGATAGCATTCCACTCTGTCTTCTAACATTACTCTCCCCCTGACTTACTTTGTGAAACGGGTATTGGAATGCCTGCCCAATCTACCTCACAGTGTTACCCTAAGGCTCCAGTAATAGAAGGGGGATATAAAGGCACTTTTCAACTACAATGTACCATATTAAAACATAACAAATTATTAGATTACTTGAAATAAAAGACTATCCGGGACAAAAGTTACACATTAAAGAGCGTCTTGCTTGCTAAGAATTGAAAACAAATTGTTTCAAGTTCTTAAACATCCTATTATTTGTATTAATTAAACTTAGTTTCACATTTCTACTTCAAACAAGGAGAAAGCAGTTACAATTCTTCAGATAATTCTTGTCTTCTCTTCCAACAAAGTAAACAATGAGTCAATTTATGAATTGAGGTTTTTAACCTGCTAACCAAACCACAAACTCATATCTGCACTACACGATGAGGAATCATGGGTTTTATAATACTTTAAAATTTCCGTTTACTTGTAAAATGTTTCAGCAATTATTTTTCTTCTCATTCAGCTACATGGAACATTCAGAACAGTCACAGATGTGGAGAATTTTATGGGTCAGTTTTGATTAGCATGGAAACCAAGAAACAACAGGTGAGGTTGTGATATTCTCCAATAAAATTTCTAATAGAATTGGTAGTCTTCAGTTTTCCTTCAATCTATAAAACCTTAAAAAAATTTTTTTTCTTTCTTTCTTTTTTTTTTTCTTTTTTTGAGACAGAGTCTCACTCTGTCACCCAGGCTGGAGTGCAGTGGTGTGCTCTCAGCTCAATGCAACCTCCACCTCCTAGGTTCAAGAGATTCTCATGCCTCAGCCTCCTGACTAGCTGGGACTACAGGTATGTGCCACCACACCTGATTAATTTTGTATTTTTTTTTTTAGTAGAAACAGGGTTTCCCCATGTTGGCCAGCTAGTCTTGAACTCTTGGCCTCAAGTGATCCACCTGCCTCGGCCTCCCAAAATGCTGGGATTACAGGCATCAGCTATCGCGCCCAGTCGTTTTTTTTTTTTTCCTTTTAAATAGAGACGAGGTCTCACTATGTTGCCCAGGCTGGTCTCAAACTCCTGAGCTCAAGTGATCCTCCCACCTGGGTCTCCCAAAGTGGTGGGATTACAGGTGTGAGCCACCATGCCCAGCCAAAAACCTGTCCTCGTAAGCACCCTTTTAACTATTCATTTTTCATATAATGATAGCAATAAGTTAGGGAACCACAGTAGCTCAAATTAAAAAATAAAAGGTATCCATTCAAACTTCTAAATGTCCAATAATTTTTTTATAAGTTAAGATATTTAATGTCATTGAATAAGAATTTTAAAATTCCAATTACTCTCTGGATCTCATCTTCCAAACCTGTAGTTTAAGACAGCAATCTGGCTATGACATGTTACATTACTGGTGCCAGGGTTGATTTTATGGATCTAGTTGGTTAGGTGGGTGTTCCTTTCCTCTTTCACCACTCCTTATGTATACTTCCCCCAACACACACACCACCAAAATACTGTTAGCTCACTTTCAGATGTATGAGTGGTTTTGCTACTTAATGTAAAATGTTTTACTCTTCATTTTTTCAATCACTATTTATCAATGGTCTTCCACAGAACAAGCTGGTCATTTGTGGTCTGCAGAAAGTTTAATTGGCCTTTAAGTGTGTTTACATGTTTTTAAAAAATAAACCTTAACATCTAGAAAACATAACATAAATAAAACACATCAAATTTCTATTTGTTTGTGTATTTATATATATGTATTTTATGTGTAGAGCCTGCTGATTTAAAATGAGAAGCACTACACATCTTAAAAGAACTAAAGAATATATCTGAATTTCATAAGAATAATAACTTGTATAGTTCTTTCCAGAGTCCTTGAGAGTTGTACCATCTAAGGAGGCCTAAGGAACAGGGGCACTCAGCACACCTGAAAACTACCACTGTCACAGTGCTTCTATATTCCTGTCTCTGAAACACCTTTATGAAAAGTTGGAAAATAAGAGATACACCATTGACACTGCTTATAAAACCTAGTAAATATCATATATAAATAACTGAAAACAGAATGCTTTTATGGCTAATTTGACAGATCTGTTTGATGTTAATCTCTGTACATTTGGCATGGTAGAAATTATGACCTTCAAGTACATAGCAAAATTTAAAAGAGAAAAATTCAGTATAACCAACCAAACTTGCTTCATTACATATAAATACCACTAAGTAGGTCAAGAAAACCTAAAACAATCAGCTGTGACACTTGAGATGCAAAATCTTCATGTAAGTAAGTGGATCACAGTTGTTTTTTACTCTAGAAAAAGGAAATACAGAGGTCAACTGAAGATATAATGCCCAGTCAAGCTGATACATGACATGTAATGATAAGGGGTATATAATATCTAAAAGCGGTTTCTTGAGTTATGATTCAATCATAAATGTCCATGTTCAGGCTGCTGACAAATCTGGGAACTATTATTAAATGCCGAATCACCGTTCTTTATTATTATTATTATTATTGAGACGGAGTCTCGCTCTGTCACCCAGGCTGAAGTGCAGTGGCGTGATCTCAGCTCACTGCAAGCTCTGCCTCCCAGGTTCACGCCATTCTCCTGCCTCAGCCTCCCAAGTAGCTGGGACTACAGGTGCCCGCCACCACGCCCAGCTAATTTTTTGTATTTTTAGTAGAGACAGGGTTTGACCGTGTTAGCCAGGACGTTCTTGATCTCCTGACCTCGTGATCCGCCTGCCTCGGCCTCCCAAAGTGCTGGGATTACAGCCGTGAGCCATCGCGCCCAGCCTCGTTATTATTTTTAAATAAATGTAGATATGTGTCAACCATTCAATTTTTTAAAAAATAACAGCTTGGACACAGTGGCTCATTTCTGTAATCCCAGCACTCTGGGAGGCCAAGGCAGGAGAATCACTTGAGCCCAGGGGTTCAAAACCAGCCTGAGCAACATAGCAAGACCTCATCTCTGCAAAAAATTTAAAAATTAGCCAGGTGTGGTGGCATACACCTGTAGTCCCAGCTACTCATGAGGCAGAGGCTACAGTGAGCCATGATCACACCACTGCACTCTAGCCTGGGCGACAGAGTGAGACCATCTCTCCAGGGGGGGAAAAAAAAGAAGAAGAAATAACAACTCTTGAAAAAAACAAGTACTGCATAAAACGCTGCCTTACCTTCATGACATCTCTATATGACCGAATAGCTGAGATTTTTCTCTTTTCATCTTCATCTCCCAGGCCTTCTTCTGCAGCCTCATAGCCCTCATCATTGCTACCGTCAGCTTCCACCGTGTTGGCCATGTGATCGATAAGCTGCTCTAGGGGAGGGCTTAATTCCCTTTCTTCATTCTCCTTCAAACCATAGTCCAGTGCTTTATAAATAATAATTCCCAAAGATTCAATGACCTAGGAACATTTAAAAAAGTGGTTAATGGAGATGAATGAAGAGCTTTCTAGGACTAATTGTGAGGCATAAGATGTTTAGTATGATTTTTTCCCTCAAACCAACATACAACACATACACAAACCCTTTTTATATTCTCTTAGATTTATACTTTGTGTTAAAATTTGTATTTGCCATTCATATATAAAATATTAACCGAGTTGATTTTCCACATTTCCCAAAGGTATTTCTGAGAACAGATATAGTTATCAAAGAATATATCCTCTCAGAACTCTTATGCCAATGTTTATCTAATTAGAGATGCACAGACATCCCAAGTATCTGAAAGACTGAAAACTCACTTACGGGTAGCAATTAACTCAAGCCTAAACAACAACAAAAATCTATTCATATCCATGTATACACACTTCTCTAGTTCCATTCAATCACTGAAAACACATCTCTCTCAGACGATGCAAACAAATGAGAGACCTTTTGCAAACCCTGAATTTTCAAGGCAGCTCACAGATAACCCTCCCTACCACACACCTCCATCAATATTACTGCCGGGCAAATGAACCTCATTTATGAACAGTAGATACACCACTGTTGCATACCACCTCGACAACTGCTCCAGACTTTGGCCAATACAGGAAATCCCACTTTATTTCTCAATAGTGCCTTTCTGCTATATATTTAAAAAAGCACATATAAAACCTTTTAATTTTATTGTTCTCTCTCTCTCTGTGTCTCTCTCTCTCTCTCTAAAGAACACTGGCAGCCAGCGTGGTGGCTCATGCCTGTAATCCCAGCACTTTGGGAGGCTGAGGCGAGCAGATCACTTGAGGTCAGGAGTTCGAGATCAGCCTGGCCAACATGGCGAAACCCTGTCTCTACTAAAATTACAAAAATGAGCTGGGCGTGGTGGCGTGTGCCGGTAATCCCAGTTTCTTGGAAGGCTGAGGCAGGAGAATCGCTTGAACTGGGGAAGCGGAGCTGACATTGCGCCACTGCACTTCAGCAAAACTCTATCTCATAAAAACAAACAAACAAACAACAACAACAACAACAAACAGGCAATGAAGCCAAAGAATTAAAATTAAATCCTGACTTTTACCACTAGCCAGCTGCCTCAGGACAAATCATTTTAGTGATGACTTTTCTCATCCGTTAAATGGGGATGTCAATGATACCTCCATTTAATAAGATTCTGTTGAGACTATGCATTCACTATGCATGGAAGTACCTGGTACAATATCTGACTTATTACAGGGACTCAATAATGATCTCACTGCTCTCTCCTTCCTTTAGCCCATTCTTTTCCAATGTTTATCAGTTACTCCCAAAATAAATAAAATCTTTCATTTTCAGTATTTCATTTATAGCTGGTAATACCGCATTTTTAAAAAAGTGCATCACAAATAAAAAAGAAAGTCAGAAGTTTCTAACATGAGTTAAATACAAGAGAGTCATTGACTAGCTCTTAAAAGCCTCACTCAAAATTCTCTACAAAAATTCAAAAATTCTCTACAAAATCTGAAATCTACTTTACCAATGAAATAATATTTTCTCAACACTAGCATTCAAAATGAATATCATGCTTAAAAATTCTTAACTTCTAAGTTTTTAAACAATACTGTTTTAAAATATTTTTTACTGAAAACATGTAATATTTTCACTGGATTTACAGTCTGACCTGGCACTGTAGCCATTCTTTTCTTTCTTTTTTTTTTTTTTCTTCTTCTTTTGAGACAAGGTCTCACTCTGTCACCCGGGCTGGAGTGCAGTGGTACAATTACGGCTCACTGCAGCTTCAACCTCCTTGGGCTGAGATGATCCTCCCACCTTAGCCTCCCTAGTAGCTGGGAAAACAGGTACACACCACCAGGCCTGGCTAATTTTTTTTGGAATTTTTTAGAAACGGGGTTTCACCATGTTGTCCAAGCTGGACTCAAACTCCTGGACTTAAGCAATGGGCCTGCCTCGGCCTCTCAAAGTGCTAGGATTACAGGAATGAGCCACCACGCACTATTTTCTATTATAAAAATGAATTTAAACAATGGATCTTCTAAGTTCCAAGGCAATTGACTACTTTAGTTATCCCTCCTGGCAGTGTCCCAGGACAATCCCCACTTTGTCCACCAGCCTGTTCAGGAGAAGGTACCATTTCAGTGCTTCCCTGGCACAGGGTACACATTGCTCTCACAGCATGTACCATTCTCACCACAGGCAGGTGCTGCTTAGGGCAAGGATTTTAACTTTCAAAGACGGCAGAGCCTAACACTGTGGTGTGCATTAGAAAAAAACTTGTTAAACTGAACCTAGGGCAGTCACTTTAACTATCAGAGCGTCCCTACTAATATAATGAAAGCCTCAGAAATCAAAAAGTTAGATTACATTCAGTATATATATTTTTAAGGCTGAGAAGGTCTTGTTGCAATTATTCCCAGTGAGAAATCACAATTAACTGAGTTTTACATGATTGGATGACTCTAACCATCCATATAACCCTCCCCTTCTTTTTTTGTTTTGCTTTTTGTTTGTTTTTGTTATTGTTGTTTTTTTTTTTTTTTTTTTTTTTTTTTTTTGGAGACAGAGTCTTGCTCTGTCACCAGGCTGGAGTGTAGTGGCGCGATCTCGGCTCACTGCAATCTCCACCTCCCGGGTTCAAGGGATTCCCCTGCCTCAGCCTCTTGAGTAGCTGGGAGTACAGGTGTGCACCACCATGCCGGGGTACTTTTTGTATTTTAGTAGAGTCGGGGTTTCACCATGTTGGCCAGGACAGTCTCGATCTCCTGACCTCGTGATCCGCCTGCCTTGGCCTCCCGGAGTGCTGGGATTACAGCTGTGAGCTACCGTGCCCAATCAACCCTATCCTTCTTCCTAGGGAGGCGGGAAAAACCCTGTTATATAACCCTATCTCTCCCTCTAGAGCTGGGGGGAGAAAAATCACAAAACCATTGCAAATATCAACACCAGCGATGGCTTCCAACCATAGCAAAGACCCAAGAATCACTCAGCAAGCTTGCTCTTTTCTCTGCTCAATTACCTTGCCTACAGGAGCTGATCCATTCTTCTTCAAGAAGTCATTTTATATCATCTTTCTCTTTAATCCAACACTCTTTTCTGCCTCTCTAGGGCTCAGCTCCAAATAAAACAATCATTTTCCCACTTTCAAATGTACAAACTGATAGGAATCTCTACTTATTTTCCCTTTCTTCCTTTCACAGTGGAGGAGTAGGTCTTCTATTCCTGTTTAAAGGTCAGCCCCACTCTCCTAACCCCTCATACCCTCCAGTGCAATCCCATTTCTGTGCTCCCTTTACAAGCAAACCTCCCGAAAGGGCGGTAGCAATGCTGATGGTAGCAATGATGCCCTCATCTTTGCTATGAGGCTGCAGAAGGCCTGGAAGATGAAGATGAAAAGAGAAAAATCTCAGGTATTCGTTTGGATAGAGTCATGAAGGTAAGGCAGCAGTTTATGTAGTACTTGTTTTTCTCAAGAGTTGTTATTTCTTCTTTTTTTTCTAGAGAGACAGGATCTCACTCTGTCACCCAGGCTAGAGTGCAATGGTGTGATCGTGGCTCACTGCAGCCTCTGCCTCCTGAGTAGCTGGGACTACAGGTGCATGGTGACACCTGGCTAATTTTTAAATTTTCTGCAGAGATGAGGTCTTGCTATGTTGCGCAGGCTAGTTTTGAACCCCTGGGCTCGAGCAATCCTCCTGCCTTGGTCTCCCAAAGTGCTAGGATTACAGACATGAGCCACTATCTGTAATGCGCCCATCTCTCCCTTCCCTCCTTCCATTCACTGTTTAATTCATTCCCATCTAACGTCTTTCCTTCTGAAACCACTGAAACACAAATACTAAAATCACAAACAATCTCTATATATGAAGTTTAACCCATTCTCATCCTAAATGACTGCTTAATAGCATCCAACACAAGTGACTCACTTCTTCCGTTCTAAACACTCTGGATTCTAGATTTTCTCTCAGCAACTACTTCTCAATCTGTCTACAGATCCTTCCTCCTGCAACTGTTTAATTGATGGAGTTCCTCAGAGCTCATGCACTCTACTTTCTTCCAAAATCTCTTGCAAAGTGCTCTTATACATAGCCAATGCTATGAATACAATATGTATTCCGATATTTCCTTAACTTATATTACTAATCTACAGTTTGTCTCTGGGATGCAGGCAATATATCATATGGTCTACTTAATACTTCCATGTGAATAAGTAATAAGCACCTCAAACCATAATGTTTGTTTATTGTCTACTTTCTCCACTAAAATGTAAGGCCCATAATGCTTTGGATCTTGTCTATTTTGTTCACCATTGTGAACAAAATGCTGTATGTCATACAGCACTTGGTTCATAGCAGATGCTAAATAAATATCTCATAATTAAATTGGTAAGTTGTTTTATAACAGTAATACATCTACTTCTGAGTTCCTTTTTGTATATATAAAATAAAATATTTAGTAGAAATCTTTTCAAAAACTTATAGAATTGTATTCTTAAAAGTCTGGGTTGTGGCTGGGCGCGGTGGCTCACGCCTGTAATCCCAGCATTTTGGGAGGCCGAGGCGGGCAGATCACGAGGTCGGGAGATTGAGACCATCCTGGCTAACACGGAGAAACCCTGTGTCTACTAAAAATACAAAAACAAAATTAGCCGGGCGTGGTGACAGGTGCCTGTAGTCCCAGCTACTCAGGAGGCTGAGGCGGGAGAATGGCATGGCAGGAGGTAGAGCTTGCAGTGAGCCAACATCACGCCACTGCACTCCAGTCTGGGTGACAGAGCGAGACTCCGTCTCAGAAAAAAAAAAAAATATGGGGCGGGAGAGGGGTGGAGCAAGAGAGCTGAATAGACAGCTTTATTGATCATCAGCCCTGCAGGAACACCAAATTTAACAACTATCACAAAAACGGCACCTTCATAAGAACCAGAAATCAGTACCAGGTTTTAACTTCAGACCACCGAAAGAGGCACCAAAGAGGGTAGGAAAGACAGTCTTGAATTGCTGATGCCACCCCTCCTCCACCTCCTGGCAGTGGCCATGGGCCGCAGAGAGAATCTGTGTGCTTGGGAAAAGAAAAGCACAGCAATTGTGAGACTTTGCACCGAATTCAGTGCTGTCCTGTCACAGGGGAAAGTAAATCGGGCTGAGGCCAATGCCCACTCACAGAAGGAACATTAAGACCAGCGCTAGCCACAGAGGAATCGCCTAAATGCCTATCCCCGTAGTGGGAACTTGAGTTCTGGCAAGCCTTACCACTGCGTGCTTAAGTGCTCTGAGGCTCTAAATGAACTTGAAAGGCACTCTAAGCCACAAGGACTGCAACTCCTGGCAAGTCCTGGTGCTGAGCTGGGCTCAGAGCCAGTGGACTTGTGGGGTACATGACCTACTGAGACACCAGCCAGGATGGCTAAAAGAGTACTTGCACTATCCCTCTCCCAACGCCAGGCAGCACAGTCTGCAGCTCCAAAAGAGACCCCTTTTTTCCACTTGAAGAGAGGAGAGGGAAAAGAGGACTATATCTTGCATATTGGATACCAGCTTCAGCCACAGTAAGACAGAATAAGGGAGGAGACCACCCCTCATATTGTCTTATGCCCAATTTCTGCCTCCAAAGAGAGAAGTAAAAACTAAAAGGCAGAAATGAAATCCACAAGCAGACAGCCCGGCACCACACCCTGGGCCTGGTAGTTAAAGATCAACCCCTGACCTAATTGGTTATTTGCATAAAAAAAGCACTGTGAAGATCCCTGTCCTATTCTGTTCCGTTCTAATTACCAGTGTATGCAACCCCCAGTCACGTACCCCCTGCTTGCTCAATCAATCACAACCCTCTCACGTGGACCCCCTTAGAGTTGTGAGCCCTTAAAAGGGACAGGAATTGCTCACTCCAGGAGCTCTCTTGAGACAGGAGTCTTGCCAATGCTCCCAGCCAAATAAACCCCTTCCTTCTTTAACTCGGTGTCTGAGGGGTTTTGTCTGCGGCTCTTCCTGCTACAAGAACACCAGGCAGTCATGAGACCCCCATTCCAGGCCCCAGCTAATGGATTTCTAGGTATACCCTGGGGCAGAAAGGAACCTGCTGCCTTGAACAGAAGGAACCAGTCTTGGCAGGATTCATCACCTGCTGACTAATGAGTCCTTGGGCCCTAAATAATCAGCAGCAATACCCAGGTAGTACGCCATGGACCTTGGGTTAGACTACAGGATGAGTTGGCTTCAGGTGAGACCCAGCCCCTTCCCCGCTGTGGTGGCTAAGGTGAAAGACTTCTCGTGCTTGAGTAAAGCAGAGGGAGAAGTAAAAGGGGCTTTATCTTGCAATTTAGGTACCAGCTTGGCCACAGTGGGGTAGAGCACCAAGTAGGCTCTTGGGGCTCCCAGTAAGAGGACTTGGCTCTAGGACAGCATTTCCGGATCTGCACTGGGCCAGAGGGGAGCCCACTGCCCTGAAGGGTGAGTCCCAGGGCCTGGCAGCATTCACTAAAAACTGACTGGAAAGGCCTTGGGCCCTCAATGAACATCAGCAGTAGCCTGGCAGTAATCCCCATGGGCCTGTGGTGGTGGCCATGGGGTGAGGCTCCTCTGCCTGTGGAAGAGGCGAGGGAAGAGTGGGAAGGACTGTGTCCCATGGTTTGAGTGCTAGCTCAACCACAGTAGAACAGAATACCAGGCAGAAAAGTAGGCAGATTTCTAAGGTTTCTGACTCCAGTCCCTAGTGACCAGACAGCATCTCTAGACCTACCCCGGGGCCTGGGGGAACTTGCTGCCCTGAAGGGAAGGACAAGGGCCTGGCTGGCACCTACATTAAAACAAACAAACAAACAAAACAAACTAAAAAAACTTCAAATAAACAACCTAAAAATGCATCCTAAAGAACTAGAAAACTAGTTTCTAGAAAACTAGAAAACTCCAAATTAGTAAAGGCAAAGAATAAAGATCAGAACAGAAATAAATAAAAGTGAAACAACACAATACAAAAAATCAACAAAACAACAAGTTGATTTTTTGAAAAGACAAATAAAATTGACAAACCTTTAGCCAGACTATGAAAAAAAGACAAAAGACCTAAATAAACAAAATCAAAGACGTAAAAGGAGACATTAGAACTGATACCAGCTGGGTGCGGTGGCTCATGCCTGTAATCCCAGCACTTTGGGAGGCCAAGGTGGGTGGATCACGAGGTCAGGAGTTCAAGACCAGCCTAGCCAAGATGGTGAAACCCCGTCTCTACTAAAAATACAAAAATTAGCTGGGCATGATGGCACGTGTCTGTAATCCTAGCTACTTGGGAGGCTGACGCACAGAATTGCTTAAACCTGGGAGGCGGAGGTTGCAATGAGCTGAGATTGCACCACTGCACTCCAGCCTGGGCAACAGAGCAAGACTCTGTTCAAAAAAAAAAAAAAAAAAAAGAACTGATACCCCAGAAAGTCAAAGGATTATTAGTGTCTACTATGAACAACTACATCCCAATAAATTGGAAAACTCAGATGAAATGGATAAATTCTTAGACACATACAACCTACCAAGATCAAACCATGAAGAAATCCAAAACCTGAACAGATAAATAATAAGTAATGAGATCAAAGTGATAAAAAGCTTCCCAGCAAAGAAAATCCTAGGACCCAATAGCTTCACAGCTGATTCTACCTAACATTTAAAGAAGAACTAATACCAATCCTTCTCAAACTATTCTGAAAAATAGGAGGGAATATTTCTTCCAAACTCATTCTCAAAGGTGAGTAATCCCCTGACATCAAAACCAGACAAAAGACACATCAAAAAAAGAAATCTACAGGCCAGTATCACTGATGAATATTAATGCAAAAATCCTCAATAAAGTACTAGCAAATCAAATCCAACAACACATTAAAAAGATCATGCATTAAAACCAACCAAGTTGTTGCATAGAGCTGATAAATTTCTCTGAATAGACATAGAAATTGATTCTCCCAGTCTTAACACTTGAAAAAGTTTCATTTGTCTTATCCAAGTTCCTTTCTCAGGAAACCACCCATCAGGCCTCCCAGAGTATGAAGGAGCTGAAACTTACCAGATCACTGCACCTGGACAATGAGAGTTCAAATCCCCCACCCATCATGATTGCCTAACCGACCACCTACTTCCTGTTGACCAACTTCTTTTCCTCACCCCTCCCTAACGCTTGTTTTCCCACACATGGTTACATTTCTTCCCTGTATATAAACCCCTAATTTTAGTTGGCCATGGAGATGATTTGAGACTGATCTCCCATCTCCTCAGCTGCAGGCACCCAATTAAAGCCTTCTCCCCTGGCAATAACTGTTGTCTCATTGACTGGTTTTCTGTCCAGTGAGCAGCAGTACCTAAACAGAATCCCTGGCACTTTGGCAACAGAACCAGAACCAGACAAAGACTTATCAAAAAAAAAAAAAATTTTTTTTTGGATACTGAATACCTAATTATTAAAAAAGAAAAATAAAAAAAGAAATCTACAGGTCATTATCACTGATGAATGTTGATGTAAAAATTCTCAAGAAAATTCTAGCCAACTGAATTCAACAACACATTAAAAAGATCATTCATCCTAACCAAGTGGGATTTTTCCCAGGGATGCAAAGATGGTTCAACATATGCAAATCAATCAATCTGACACATCATATCAACAGAATGAAGGACAAAAACCATATGATTATTCCAACTGATGTTGAAAAAGCATTTCATAAACTTCAACATCCCTTCATGATAAAAACCCTCAAAAAACTGGGTATATAAGGAACATATCTCAAAACAATAAAAGGCATATATGAGTAACTCATGGCTAGTATCATACTGAGTAGGGAAAAACTAAAAGCCTTTCTTCTAAGATCAGGAACACGATAAGGATGCCCACTTTCATCACTGTTATTCAACACAGTACTGGAAGTCCTAGCTAGAGCAATCAGACAACAGAAAGAAATAAAGGCCATTGAAACTGAAAAGGAAGAAGTCAAATCATACTTGCTTGCAGATGGTATGATCTTATATTTGGAAAAACCTAAATCTGAACCCCTCCCGAAAATCTATTAGAATTGATAAATTCAGTAAAGTTGGAGGATACAAAATCAACATACAAAAATCAGTCACATTTCCATATGCCAATAGCAAACAAGCTGAAAAAGAAATCAAGAAAGTAATCCCATTTACAATAGCTACAAAAAAAAAATACCTAGGAATTAAAGTGAAAGGTCTCTATAATGAAAACTATAAAACACTGATGCAAGAAATTGAAGAGGACACACAAAAAATGGAAAGATAGTCGATGTTCATGGATTGGAAGAATCAACATTGTTAAAATGTCCATATTACCCAAAGCTATCTTACAGATTCAATACAATCCCTATAAAAATACCAATGACATTCTTCATAGAAATAGAAAAAAAAAATCCTAAAATTTATATGGAACCACAAAAGATCCAGAATAGCCAAAGGTATCCTAAGCAAAAAGAACAGAACTGTAGGAATCATGTTAACTTTAAATAATACTACAAATATACAAATAACACTGTGTCCGGAATTGGTGGGTTCTTGGTCTCGCTGACTTCAAGAATGAAGCTGCGGACCCTCACGGTGAGTGTTATAGTTCTTAAAGATGGTGTGTCCGGAGTTTGTGCCTTCAGATGTTCAGATGCGTCCGGAGTTTCTTCCTTCTGGTGGGTTCATGGTCTTGCTGGCTTCAGGAGTGAAGCTGCAGACCTTCGCCATGAGTGTTACAGCTCTTAAAGGCCCAGGGCATCTGGAGTTGTTCATTCCTCCCCTCTGGAGTTGTTCCTCCCTCCCGCTGGGTTCATGGTCTTGCTGGCTTCAGGAGTGAAGCTGCAGACCTTGGCGGTGAGTGTTACAGCTCATAAAGGTGGTGAGGACCCAAAGAGTGAGCAGCAGCAAGATTTACTGCAAAGAGCGAAAGAACAAAGCTTCCACAGTGTGGAAGGGGACCCCAGCGGGTTGCCACTGCTGGCTTGGGCAGCCTGCTTTTATTCCCTTATCCGACCCCACCCATATCCTGCTCATTGGTCCATTTCACGGAGAGCTGATTGGTCCATTTTACAGAGAGCTGATTGGTCTCTTTTGACAGGGTGCTGATTGGTGCGTTTACAAACCTTGAGCTAGACACAAAAGTTCTCCAAGTCCCCACCCGACTCAGAAGCCCAGCTGGCTTCACCTAGTGGATCCCGCGTTGGGGCTGCGGGTGGAGCTGCCCACCAGTCCTGCGCCACACGCCCGCACTCCTCAGCCCTTGGGCAGTCAATGGGACCGGTCGCCGCGGAGCAGGGGGTGGCGCCCGTCGGGGAGGCTTGGGCCTCATGGGAGACCACGGCAGCGGGGCAGGGACAGGGCTCAGGCATGGCAGGCTGCAGGTCCCAAGCCCTGCCCCACGGGCAGGCAGCTGAGGCCCAGTGAGAATTTGAGTGCAGGCAGGCCGACAGTGCTGGGGAACTCAGCGCACCCTCTGCAGCTGCTGGCCCAGGTGCTAAGCCCCTCACTGCCCAGGGCCGTTGCTGCCAGCCACTCCAAATGTGGGGCCTGCCAAGCCAGTGCCCACCCAGAACTCATGCTGGCCCGCGAGCGCCTGGCGCAGACCCAGTTCCCGCCCACACCTCTCTCTCCATACCTCCCTGCAAGCAGAGGGAGCCGGCTCCAGCCTTGGCCAGCCCAGAGAGGGGCTCCCACAGTGCAGTGGCAGGCTGAAGGGCTCCTCAAGTGCAGCGAGAGTGGATGCTGAGGCCTGAGGAGGCACCAAGAGCGAGCAAGGGCTGCTAGCACATTGTCACCTCTCACTACAATATACAAATATATATATATATATATAAAATACCACAAATATACAAATACTACAACTATATTACACTACAAAGCTACAGTAACCAAAACATCATGGTACTGGCATAAAAACAGATACACAGACCAATGGAACAGAATAGAGCCCTCAGAAATAGATCCATACATCTACAATGAACTCATTTTGGACAAAGTTGCCAAGAATATACACTGGGGAAAAGACGGTCTCTTCAATAAATGGCAGGAAAAATGAGAAAACTGGATATCCACATGCAGAGGAATGAAACTAGACCCCTATCTATCGCTATGTACAAAAATAAAATCATACTGGATTAAAGACTTAAATGTAAGACCTCAAATTATGAAACAAATGTGTCTGGAATTGGTGGGTTATTGGTCTCACTGACTTCAAGAATGAAGCCGCGGACCCTTGCAGTGTTCCAGTTCTTAAAGATGGTGTGCCCGGAGTTTCTTCCTTCAAATGTTTAGATGTGTCCGGAGTTAGTTTCTTCTGGTGGGTTCCTGGTCTCACTGGCTTCAGGAGTGAAGCTGCAGACCTTTGCGGTGAGTGTTACAGTTCTTAAAAGCGGCATGTCTGGAGTTGTTCGTGCCTCCTGGTGGGTTTGTGGTCTCGCTGGCTTCAGGAGTGAAGCTGCAGACTTTCGTGGTGAGTGTTACAGCTCACAAAGGCAGTGCAAACCCAAAGAGTGAGCACCGGCAAGATTTACTGCAAAGAGCGAAAGAACAAACCTTTCACAGCATGGAAGGGGACTCGAGCAGCGTGCCACTGCTGTCTTGGGCAGCCTGCTTTTATTCTCTTATCTGGCCCCACTCACATCCTGCTGATTGGTCCATTTTACAGAGAGCTGATTGGTCTGTTTTACAGAGAGCTGATTAGTCTGTTTTGACAGAGTGCTGATTGGTGTGTTTACAATCCCTGAGCTACACACAGAGTGCTGACTGGTGCATTTACAATCCTCTAGCTAGACATAAAAGTTCGCCAAGTCCGCACCAGATTAGCTAGATATAGAGTGCTGACTGGTGCATCCACAAACCCGGAGCTAGACACAGAGGGCTGATTGGTGCATTTACAATCTTCTAGCTACACATAAAAGTTCTCCAAGTCCCCACCAGATTAGCTAGATACAGAGTGCTGACTCGTGCATCCACAAACCCCGAGCTAGACACAGAGTGCTGATTGGTGCATTTACAAACCTTGAGCTAGACACAGACTGCTGATTGGTGCATTTACAATCCTCTAGCTAGACATAAAAGTTCTCCAAGACCCTACCCAACTCAGGAGCCCAGCTGGCTTCCCCTAGTGGATCCTGCACCAGGGCGGCGGGCAGAGGTGCCCGCCAGTCCCGTGCCACGTGCCTGCACTCCTCAGCCCTTGGGCGGTAGATGGGACCAGGCACCTTGGAGCAGGGGGAGGCGCCCCCTGGGGAGGCTCCATCTGCTTAGGAGCCCACGGGGTGGGGTGGGGTGGGGGGGCGCCGGCATGGCAGGCTGCAGGTCCCGAGCCCTGCCCCGCAGGGAGGCAGCTGAGGCCTAGTGAGAATTCGAGCACAGTGCAGGCGGGCCAGCAGTGCTGGGGGACCCAGCGCACCCTCCACAGCTGCTGGCGCGGGTGCTAAGCCTCTCATTGCCCGGGCCGGCGTCGCCAGCCGGCAGCTCTGAGTGCTGGCCGGGCGAGACTGCACCCACCCGGAACTCGTGCTGGCCTGCGAACACCACGCGCAGCCCTGGTTGCCACCCGCGCCTCTCCCTCCACACCTCCCTGCAAGCAGAGGGAGCCGGCTCCGGCTTTGGCCAGCCCAGAGAGGGGCTCCCACGGTGCAGCAGCAGGCTGAAGGGCTCCTCAAGCATGGCCAGAGTGGACGCCGTGGCCTGAGGAGGTGCCAAGAGCGAGCGAGGGCTGCTAGCACGTTGTCACCTCTCACTACTACAAGAAAACATTGGGGAAACTCTCCAGGATGTTAGACTGGGCAAAGATTTCTTGAGTAATAACCCACAGGCACAGGGAACCAAAGCAAAAATTGACAAATGGGATCACATGAAGTTAAATAGCTTTTGCCAGTGAAGAAAACAACAAAATGAAGAAACAACCCAAAGAACGGGAGAAAATATGTGCAAACTGTCCATCTGACAAGGGGTAATAACCACAATATATAAGGACCTCAAACAATTCTATAGGAAAAAATCTAATAATCTGATTAAAAATGGGCAAAAGATCCGAATAGACATTTCTCAAAGTAAGAATTAGAAATGGCAAACAGGTATATGAAAAGGTGCTTGACATCATTGATTGTCAGAGTAATACAAATCAAAACTACAATGATATCTCATTCCAGTTAAAATGGCTTCTATCTAAAAGGCAATAACAAATGCTGGTGAGGATATGGAGAAAAGGGAACCCTTGTACACTGCTGGTGGGAAAGTAAATTAGTACAACCACTATCAGGAACAGTTTGGAGGTTCCTCAAAAAAGTACCAATAGAGTCCATACGATCCAGCAATCCCCCTCCTAGTTATATACCCAAAAGAAAGGAAATCAGTATATCAAAGAGATATCTGCACTCCCATGTTTACTGCAGCACTATTTACAATAGCTAAGATTTGGAAACAACCTAAGTGTCCATCAACAGATAAATGGAGAAAGAAAATGTGGTACATATATCTAATAGAATACTATTCAGCCATGAAAAAGAATGAGATCCTGTCATTTGCAACAACATGAATGGAACTATGTGTCATTATATTAAGTAAAATAAGCCAGGCACAGAAAGACAAACTTCACATGTTCTTACTTATTTGTGGGAGCTAAAAATTAAAACAATTGAACTTCTGGAGATAGCAGAAGGAAAGGCTGAGTGTGGTGGCTCACATCTCTAATCCCAGCACTTTGGCATGCCAAGGCGGGCGGATCACTTGAGGTCAGGAGTTCGAGACTAGCCTAGCCAACGTGGTGAAACCCCATCTCTACTAAAAATACAAAAAATTAGCCAGGCATGGTAGGATGTGTCTATAATCCCAGCTACTTGGAAGGCTGAGGTGGGAGAACTGCTGGAATCCGGGAGGCAAAGGTTGGCAGTGAGCCAAGATCGCCCCACTGCACTCTAGCCTGGGTGACAGAGCAAGACTCCATCTCAAAAAAACAAAACTAAACAAACAAAACAACAACAAAAAGAACAAATAAGACTAATATTTGCTAGCACAACAGGGTGACTACTGTTTAAAATAATTTAACTGTACATTTAAAAATAAGCAAAAGAATATAGTTGGATTGTTTGTAACACAAAGGATAAATGCTTGAAGTGATGGAGACCCCATTACCCCAGTGATTATTACGCACTGGATGTCTGTATCAAAATATCTTACGTAACCCACAAATACATACACCTACTACATATCCCCACAAATTAAAAAGAAAAAAGAAATATTTAAAAATCTGGCTTAGCAAGAAAAATAGTTTGGCTATCTTTGAATATAGGTGGTCTCCTTACACAAGTTACACTGAATTTAGGTTCTTCTTTTTAAAATATAAAACAAACTAGAATAGATCAATTTTTTTTTTTTTTTTTTGAGACGGAGTTTTGCTCTTGTTGCCCAGGCTGGAGTGCAACGGCATGATCTTGGCTCACTACAACCTCTGCCTCCCAGGTTCAGGCGATTCTCCTGCCTCAGCCTCCCGAGTAGCTGGGATTACAGGCATGTGCCACCATGCCCAGCTAATGTATTTTTAGTAGAGACGGGGTTTCTCCATGTTGGTCAGGCTGGTCTCGAACTCCCGACCTCAGGTGATCCGCCCGCCTTGGCCTCCCGAAGTGCTGGGATTACAGGCTTGAGCCACCGTGCCTGGCCATTAAATTATTTTTACCAAGACCACCATCAGCACTATCATCACCTCACATCATTTTATTACTACATCTCCACAGTCTCTTATCTAAAATCTTTAAGGTTAGCTGTGTTTGTAAGTTCATAATTTTCAGATTTTTAGAAAGGTTTATTAAAGACATCCCATATATTTTGTACTTCTCCCAAGTGGGATCTGGGTCAGAATCCTATAATCAACACATTAATATTCCTATAGTGAAATATATGAATATTTACAGCTAGCAGGAAAAGAAAGACTATTTATATACATAGTCTCATATCAGTTCGGTTAAATTTTGCCACCAAATGAGTTTGGGTGCCACAATTGCAAAAGAACTTTTGATTTTCTGAGCTTTTTGAATTACACAGTAACAAGTAAGGGCTGTACAATAGTACTATCACCAGCAACATTAGTACAATTGTCTGACCTCTGGGAAGGATTGTTAATGAGATTGACAATAACAGCATCCAAGTTAAGTTTACAAAGTTTTCTTTTTGTAATCAGAAAACTAGCATTCAGTTTGATTCATTCTTTCTTATTAGTAGGAGAGCAAGAGAAATAAGAAGGATGGCACAGACTCTATATCCTACCCACATTTTCATCCACTAAAATGTTCTAACATCAGGGATTTACAACCTTGTTTATGCTATGGACCTCTTTAGTATTCTGATGAAATCTATTAATTTATTCTCATAATAATGTATTTGTTTTGTTTTCTGTTTCTGAGACATGATCTCACTCTGTCACTCAGGCTGGAGTGCAGTGGTGTAATCATGGCTCACTGGAGCCTTGACTTCCTGGGCTCAAGTGATCCTCCCATCTCAGCCTCCAGAGTAGCTAGGACCACAGGCACCTGCCACCAACACCTGACTAAATTTATTTTATTTTCTTAACATTTTATTTTATATTTTTTGTTTTATTTTATTTTATTATTTTATGTTCCAGGATACATGTGCAGGATGTGGAAGTTTGTTACATA
Source organism: Homo sapiens (assembly GCF_000001405.40). Lineage (NCBI taxonomy): Eukaryota > Metazoa > Chordata > Mammalia > Primates > Hominidae > Homo > Homo sapiens. The sequence goes on from NC_000018.10 coordinate 12,562,558, forward strand.
AACATGTACGATGGTAGTCTGCTGCACCCATCAACCCATTACCTAGGTATTAGGCCCAGCATGCATTAGCTATTTTTCCTGATGCTCTCCCGCCCCCCACCCCCAATGCCTGGCTAGTTTTTAAAAAAATTTTGTAGAGAAAGGGTCTCACTATGTTGCCTAGGCTGGTCTTGAACTTCTGGGCTCAAGTGATCCTTCTGCTTCTGCCTCCCAACGTGCTGGGATTACAGGCATGAGCCACTACACATAGCCTATAGTAATGTCTTTAAATGCATACAACACAACTTCTAAGATTATAAAATATACTAAAATATAGTTAACACAATAACAAAATTATAATATAGTTTCATGTATATGCTTCTTTATACACCCATTAAATTACATGATATTGGCAGATGCAATTAATTTTAGAGTGGTGATGAGTATATTTGAGAGATATGCAATCACTGTAATTTAACATGAAAAGATCTGTGTTTTCTATTGGTGACAACACGAATATGCTAATACTACTGTGGTTTATCACTTAGATTCACAGTTGAATGAATGTTTAATTTCAGTTACAGGGTAGCAAAAGTAACGATGCATTTTCTCCCATTCACACTCACAGATACCCCCAACCCCGATTATGAATCCCTGTTCTATACTCATTAAAAAAAAAAAAATCTGAGTTCTAGGTATATGGTGTTGATCTATACATTTATATAAGAAAGTATTATCTATGAGCATCAAAATAATACAAATTTCATACAACTATTATATTAGTCTTTTTTTTTTAAGAGATGGGGGTCTCCAGCCCAGGCTGGAGTGCATTGGCCCTTCATAGGTGTGATCATAATGTACATCAGCCTAGAACTCTTGGCATCAAACAATCCTCCTGCTTCCACCTCCCAAGTAGCCGGGACTAGAAAACTCTCATATTTGCTAAATTCATTTAGGTTCCTATGAGTAGATATAAATTAGAACATTATGAGATATTCCAATTATTCATAAAAACAAATGCAATCATGTTACCTGAATGTAAAAACTTCATCTATATAGTCCAATGAATCTTCTAAAAATAGTTGTGATACAAGAAATATGTATTGTCCTTTTCCATGTTATTGGCATCAATTGTATCTATAATCCCTTAGATCTTTAGAAGATTCTTGGGGCAAATAAAAAACCCCAAAACTGTTACCACTCAAAATAGAACAAGATACCGAAAAAGAAAAATTAAAGGAATATAAAATTATTTAAAAACTTTAGGAGTTACAGAAGAACATAAGATGAAAATATACTATTAAAGCCAAACAAATCTATTTTTATGTACAAAAGCATTCCTGAAATGTGTAAATATTCAAGAGCAAACTATTAAATTCTATCTTTTTCTAATGAACAAAAATCATACATAAAGCCGATGTAAATAGAGTATATATATTATGTTTTACATATCTTCAGTTTCTTAAACAGCTATTCTTTTCCTGAAATTCATGTTGCATAAAAGGGGCTTTTCATACTGATACAAAAAGCATAGTTTTACAATGTCAGGTTAGAACTAGCCAAGTTCATCCTAAAATTCATATGAAAAAATAAACTAGCAAAACATCCAGGAAAATTAAAGGGTCCCAGCTCTATCACATACTCAAGGATCTAATCAATGATTAGAGCAGTGTGACCCTAGAGCATAAACAGGCATACAGACTAATGGAACAGACCCAGTGGGCAAAGAAAGTTGGACTGGGTAGTGGCAGTCATTGGAAAAAAAATGAAACCAAGAAACTACTAGGAGAATAAAGGGGGCGAATTAGAGAAGACTTCCCTAACTATGAGTCAAACTCTAGAAGCCATAAGGAGAAAGACAGTTATGTTAAACATAAAACACATGTATAAGGCAAAACAAAAATTTTAAAACACCATGAACAAAGTAAAAAACAAAAAACAGTTTCTAAATCCACATGTAAGGAGCTTAGAAGTCACTACTCTATTCTGACAACAAGTAAAAAGCTGAACAAATGGAAAAATCAACAACTCTTCCTGGATCCATACAGATGAGAGCAGAGGGCAAACCAATGTCCCCAAGATTGGAGAGGCAGAGAGGTGAATACAGGTATTCGTGGCTTCCAGAGCAGAGCATTATAAGTGGAAACTGCCCTGGGAACCAGCGCCAGGGTGGGAAAAATTGAATGGTAACTGACCAAGTGCTAGGAGCTTAGCACAGCAATCCTGAGAATTAAAAAAAACTCCAGGGGACCTGGTCAGAGGAGGACCCTCACACTTGTGTATGTTTTACCGAAGAGAACTGAAAGCTCCAAAACTGAAAAGCAAAGAGAACAAAGACTGGGGAAAAACAAAAACAAAAAACAAAATGGAGTATCTAAGGACTGTGGGACAACTATTATGCAAAAGGTATAAATTATGTGTAATAGGAATAACAAAAGAAGAAAGAAAGAAAAAGAAAAGAAAAGAAAAAGATACCTGAAGGAATAATGACCAAGAATTTCCTTCAATTATTGTCAGACATCAAACTACAGGTCCAAAATTTTAAAGAACATCGAGCATGATAAATGCCAAAAAACTACACATAAGCATATCAGTTTCTAACTACAGAAAATCCAAGATACAGCAAAAATTCTTAAAGAAGTTAAAAGGACAAAAACCACACCTTACCTATGGAGGAACAAAGATAAGAATTACATTTCACATCTCAGAAACCATGCAAGCAAGAAGAAAATGGAATGAAATATTCAAAATGTTAAGAGAAAAACCTGCATCAACCTAGAGTTTTGTATTCAGCAAAATTACCCATCAGAAGTGAAGGAGAAATAAAAACTTTTCCTTTTTTTTCTTTTTTCCATTGGGAAGGAGCCTCGCTCTGTCGCCCAGGCTGGAGTGCAGTGGTGCAATCACAGCTCACTGCAACCTCTGCCTCCTGGGTTCAAACGATTCTTCTGCCTTAGCCTCCCGAGTAGCTGGGATTACAGGTGCACACCACCATGCCTGGCTAATTTTTGTATTTTAGTAGAGACGAGATTTCACCACGTTGGTCAAGCTGGTCTTGAATTCCTGACCTCAAATGATCTTCCCGCCTCAGCCTCCCAAAGTCCTGGGATTACAGGTGTGAGCCACTGCGCCCGGCCAAGACTTTTCAAACAAATAAAAATGGAAGAAATTTGTTGTCAGTAGACATGCCTTGCAAGGAATGTTAACAGAAGTTCTTGGCCGGGCGCGGTGGCTCACGCCTGTAATCCCAGGAATTTGGGAGGCCGAGGCAGGCAGATCATGAGGTCAGAAGTACGAGACCAGCCTGGCCAATATGGTGAAACTCCATCTCTACTATAAATACAAAAGTTGGCTGGGCATGGTGGTGCACGCCTGTAGTCCCAGCTACTCGGGAGGCTGAGGGAGTAGATCGCTTGAACCTGGGAGGTGGAGGTTGCAGTGAGCCAAGATCGTGCCATTGCACTCCAGCCTGGGCGACAATACAAACAAACAAACAAACAAAAAAAAAAATTCTTTAGGCTGGGTGTGGTAGCTCCCTCCTATAATCCCAGCACTTTGGGAGGCCGAGGCTGGCAGATCACCTGAGGTCAGGAGTTTGAGACCAGCCTGGCCAACATGGCAAAACCTCATCTCTACCAAAAATACAAAAATTAGCTGGGCATGGTGGTGCATGCCTGTAATCCCAGCTACACGGGAGGCTGAGGCAGGAGAATGGCTTGAACCCGGGAGGTGGAGGTTGCGGTAAGCCGAGATTGCAACACTGCACTCCAGCCTGGGCCACAGAGTAAGACTCCGTCTCAAATAAAAAATAAATTAAAAAGAAGTTATTTAGAGAGAAAGAAAATAATATGGGTCAAAAATTCAGATCTACGTAAAGAAAGGAGGAGCACTGAAGTAAAAATAAGTGATGGTAAAATAAAAACTTTTATTTTGCTTATTCTTAATTGGTCTAATAGCTAACAGTTTGTCCAAAATAATAATAGCAACAATGTATTCAATTATGTATGCTTATGTATATATCTTATTCGGGATTATTTCATTAGTACAGGGCACTCACATTACCTATCAAGAGGTAGAGTGTTATTTGAACTGGGCTTGGATTAGCTGTAAATGTATACTAGAAATTCTAGGGAAACCAATAAAGAAACTCAATAAAAGAATAAATAATTAATAACCTTCCAAAACAGAAAGCACCAGGACCAGATAGGTTCACTGGTGAATTCTACCAAACATTCAAAAAGAAATTATGTCAACCCTCTACAATCTACCTCAGAATATACAAGCAGAAGGAATATTTCTAATTCATCCTATGAGGCCAGCATTACCCTAATACCAAAAGCAGAAAAAGATACTATGAGAATACGACAGACCAATATCTCTCATGGACATAGACACAAAAATCTTCAGTAGAATACTAGCAAATTGAATCCAACCATGTACCAAGAAAATTATACACCACAACCAAGTGGCATTTATCCCAGGTATGCAAGAAATAAAACTTAGTTCGCAGATGACATGATCATCTAAGTAGAAAATACAAAAGAATGAACAAAATCCCTCTGGAACTAATAAGCAATTATAGCAAGGTTGCAGGATACAAGGTTAATATACAAAAGTCAATCATTTTAATACATATCAGCAATGAACAAGTAGAATTTGAAATTAAAAATATAATACCACTTACATGAGCACCCCCCAAAATAAAATACTTAGGTGTCAATCTAACAAAATACATACAAGATCTGTATAAGGAAAAATACAAAATACTGATGAACAAAATGAAAGAACTAAAGACACGGAGAGACACTCCACATTCATGGACAGGAAGACTCATTGTCAAGATGTCAGTTCTTCCCAGCTTGATCTACAGATTCAATGCAATCCAAATTTCAGCAAATTATTTTGCAGATATTAACAAACTAGTTCTAAAGTTTATATAAAAAGGCAAAGGACCCAGAATAGCCCACATAATATTACTCTTAACTGGTGGATCACAGTGACATTTTGGGTCTCCTAGAATCACTATCTGTTCAGAGCCTGTGTCCAGCTGTCCCTAAGAGGTCTGATTACTCCTTTTTCCCCAATATGCAGTTACACTGGTAAAAAGCCCTAAGTCCTTTGGGGAAGGATTAACAAAATATAAATTTTTGGTAGCATACCAGGATCCTTCCTTAAGGGAATTCAGCCTCCCTACATTCAATGGATTCTGGGTCTGGAAATGGCTCAAGTATGGGAATTGACTGAGGGTCATGACTCTCTGTTTTTATTAATCAAGTTTGAGTTTTGTTTACCTAACCTATAACTTTCCTGCTTATACAAATCAAGTAAGAATTTACTACGTTTCCCATTTCACTTCTAGAAATGCCATGATCAAATAACCAAAGCCATTGGTCTTTGTGAGTTGGACTATTATGACTGCTGCTTTAACTCTGCTGTTCATTTTGGTAATCATGTCTGCCTTGCCTTTGGTGACTGAGTGCCACCATTTGGCTCCTGCCACCCTGGGATCCAATTACTTCCATTGCATTAGGTTTCCCAATTCAGTGACCAGAGTTCCCACTGTAAGGTATGGCATACGTAGACGTAGAAGAGTGATCGGGGTACTTCAAGGATGCTGGGGTTCCCCTTACTAATTTATTTTTCACAGTCATGGTGAAAGTGTTTTCTGGACCTTCCCAGGGTGGGAACATAGGTGTTAAATGACAAATCCACTCTTACATGCCAATCATTTTTCTCATCTTACTACAAAGTTACCTTTGCAAGCTAATTTTAGTTATCACTCATGTATGCTGCTGTCCAGCTATACTGATTTCTTACTCTTTCCTTTATATGCTCTACACTTTCTCATCTCTATGCCACTGTTCAGTATCATTCCTATTTTCTGCATGGCCTTTCTCCTGCATTTTGTATGTCCAACTCCACTCATCTGTCCATCCTCTTGCTCTAAAGAATCTCCTCTATGATGCCTTGGTATCCCTGATTCTACCATCGCATCACAATCTCTATGAATTAATGAAAACAACTATTTTTTTCTTCAGAATCTTCATGATGTTAATTTGCATGTTTATGTGGTATATTTCACTTGTTACCTTGGATTATGGCTAATTATATACCTATCTTAATTCTCCAACAAGACTAAGCTCCTTGAAGGCAAAATCCTTCTGTAATTCATCTTTATATCTTCACATTATTTTATAAACAGTAAGGACTCAAAAGTTAATGAGTGAATGAGCCAAGATATAAATTATTTCCTCTCAGACATATATGGTTTAAAGTTAGATATGGAACTTATGAACACAGAAAGTTACTCCACCTTTGTCATTCCAACAGATCACTGTAGTGGTGATCCAGCGTGATCCAGCCTGAACAGCTCTGAAACATCCTGGAGGAACTGCTAGCCCAAGGATAAACTACATCTGGTCTGGTTAAACATCCCAAATCTACTCACCTTTCCTAATTTAAACCTGAGCCAAAAAGTAATTCTAAAATTAACCCATACTCTTAGAAATACAGGCATAACATGGCCGGGTGCGGTGGCTCATGCCTGCAATCCCAGCACTTCGGGAGGCCAAGGTGGGTGGATTACAAAGTCAGGAGATCGAGACCATCCTGGCTAACACGGTGAAACCCTGTCTCTACTAAAAATATACAAAAAAATTAGCCAGGCATGGTGGCAGGCACCTGTATTCCCAGCTACTCGGGAGGCTGAGGCAGGAGAATGGCGTGAACCTGGGAGGGAGCTTGCAGTGAGCTGAGATCACACCAATGCACTCCTGCCTGGGCGACAGAGTGAGACTCCGTCTCAAAAAAAAAAAAAAAAAGGAGCACAGGCATAACAAGGCTTGGCATTATTACACTGGCATGTGCACCAGCTGACTCATCACTTTCACTGGATTGAGGGAATGTCTAATATTTTGCCAGAAAAGCATATACCTAGTTCTTCGGACACCATCTTGAATTGGAGACAAGGGGGGCTACCAGAAAAATGACTGAAACATAAGAGTACCTGGACAGGTGACTTTGCATAGATATATACTTATTTATGCTAATTTTAGGAGGTTATTGGCCAAAACGTAGAAATGTTTAAAAACAACAACAACAAAAAAAAAAAACAAGAGAAAAGACAGCATCAGATCTAAAATATTCATCTGAGTTACTAGTCTCAAGGCAGGTGGAAAACCGTTGCTCATGTCCTATCACAGTAGCACCAGCCCCCTTGCCCCCTTGGACATTTCCAGGGCCTCTGACATTCGTTAAAATGAACATGAATTACAGTGTAAAGTTTTAGAACTAAATGAAACAAGTGGTTTTAAAGCCCAACCAATTGAAATGGGGTAGAAGAAAAGAGGGCACTAAATAAAACCACATATTCTAAAATTTAAGGCTACTACAATGTCATATCTACTTGTTTATCCTGTGTGGGGTCAACAGACACACAGATGGAACTGCTTGTTCTCTAGCTGCCAGGTCCAGCCACTGAGGGCAGCCTCACTATTGAATAGCAGCACACACACTAACACCAATGCTTCATGCAGAGCACCCACCACGTATCCCATAATCAAGTCTTCCCATCACCACGTTATTCCCCTTCATCCAGCCCCTCTTTGTGCTGACTTTGACTTCCTAAAAGTATTGGAGTCCATATTTGTCTCCTTTGCTGGCATGATCAAGTATGATTCTTCTTGGTATTTGCTAGAATGCAGCGCTTTGCTCTCCATGCAGTATGTGCTTTAAAATTTTTGTTTAACATGTGTAAATAGCAATAGATAGCGTAAGTCTTAAATGTCAAATCTGCTGAAATGGAGATGACCTATATCAAATATCAAGGTTGTGGAGCACAGCGCCTACCCTTTCAGTTGTTATCTAACAAACAGTAGCTGCTATTGCCTTTGTCGTCATGCTTCATTACCAAAATCCCCTCTTTTCCAGCTTAAAAATTCAAAAACCAAAACCAGAAAAGTTTCTTCAAGTCCCCTTGTCAATCAAATAAATGGGATTTCCTTATATCTGTATAGCACTTCATTAGGAGTATGTTTTCCTTTATACATTACGATGATCCTGGGAAGCAGACATTAATTATTCTCATTTTAAACATGAGAAAACTGAGGCAGTTAATATATAACAAAGCCAGGCTGGAGTCCTCCTCACTTATGGAATTCCATATCCATAATTCTACTCTCCCACAGAGCCGCACACCTGGACATCTCCTACTCTGCCATGCTTGGGCTAAAATGTGGCATCAAGAATTAAATCCTATTCCATGTGTTGTATAATCATCAGATAACACACCAAATGAGGACTTCCCTTGTTCCACACCACATAAATACAACCAGTTCAGTATTCAGATTTCTGGTAAGCTCATTAAATTATCAACCCTTTGGGTTTACAGTCAACCAGAATGGCCAAGTCACACACATCATAATAGTTAAGCATATTTCTCCTTTAGTGTGTGTTTCTTTTTTTTAGCTTGTGAAAGATGTTTTTCAGACCTGGTAAAAGGTTACATATTTATCTCAAACCTATTTTATCCTATTTATTTATTAATTTTATTTTTTTGAGATGGAGCCTTACTCTGTCACCCAGGCTGAAACGCAGTTGCACAACCTCTGCTCACTGCAACCTCCGCTTCCTGGGTTCAAGCAATTCTCCTGCCTTAGCCTCCCGAGTAGCTGGGATTACAGGTGCCAGCCACTACGCTCGGCTAATTTTTGTATTTTTAGTAGAGATGAGGTTTCACTATGTTGGCTAGGCTGGTCTCAAACTCTTGACCTCAAGTGATCCGCCCACCTAAGCCTCCCAAAGTGCTGGGATTACAGGCATGAGCCACCACACCTGGCCCCTATTTATTTTGAACAATTATTTTAGCTTGGTAGAATCATGTAAAATCTAGAGTCTGCCATCTAACACATTATCATGCCCAGACCAAAACTGGCCAATCTGGGTATGCATTCTGCGTCTTTAGAAAATTTATTTAAAGGTGAGTCCCAACTAAGAAGCCCTTCAGAATACCAGGGACATTTTCCCCATGCTGACACTGATTGCAACCTAACTTCATAAAATGATCTCACATTTTTCCACTGTGTTCACAAAAATACTATAAAGCTTTAATAAAATACTTTGTCACAATCTCTAAATACTATTGTAATCCCACATCTAATAAACTCTATCCCTTCAAAAGCATAATTTTCTATTAATCTAGCTAATGTCCACTGTGCATAGTTCCCTTCATTAATTCAGTCAACAGACATTTCCCAAGAGCAAAGTGTATGTGGCAATGGAGATACAGCAATGAAGAAAACACAGGAGGTTTATGGCCTTCACAGAGCTTTTGACTTGGGGAAAACAGATAATAAACTGACTCATATAACCATGTTAAACATTACAATAACGAGAAGGTGTCATGGGAGCATATAACAGGGAACTACAACCTAGTCTGGGGTCACGGAAGCCCCTCACTAAGAGAGTAAAGTTTAAACAGACACCTGAAAGATCAGTAGGAGTTATACAGGAGCAGATGGGGTTACAGTAGAGTTCCAGAAACAGGAAATACTGAGTATGAGGGACCAGAGGTCAAGAAGAACATGGAATGACTGAGAAAAATCCTAATGACTAGAGGAAGAGCGAGGATGAAGCTAGACCAGCAGTGGGGGCTTGGGGGGGTCAATTACACAATCACACAGGGTCTCATACAGGCTATCTAAAGGATATGGGTCTTTATCAAATAAAATTAATACAGGCCACTGATGTGTTTTGTGGACCAAGATGATCTCATCTCATTTTTTTTTTAATAGACAGGGTCTCACTATGTTGCCCCAACTGTCCCAAACACCTGGCCTTAACTGATCCTCTTGCCTCAGCCTCACACAGTGCTAGGATTACAGACATGAGCCACCACACCCAGCCTGTCTCTACACAGAATTAGAAAATTACCCAGGCATGGTGGCATGCACCTGTGGTCCCAGCTATTTGGGAGGCTGAGGCAAGAGGATCGCTTGAGCCCAGAAAAAAACTGCAGTGAGCCATGTTGGCACCACTGCACTCCAGCCAGGGTAACAGAATGAGACCCTGTCTCGAAAACAAAACAAAAAAAATTGTTAAAAAAATTTTTAAATAGAAGATACACTGTGGTACTGGCAAAAGAAATGATAAAATAGATCAATGGGACAGAGTACACAGCCGAGAAATGTACTCACAGAAATAGAGTCAACTGATATTTCACAAAGGAGCAAAAGCAATACAAAATGAAGCCAGGATTGTCTTTTCATCAAATGGTTCTGGAACAACTGTATATGAACAAGTAAAAATATGAATCTAGACATGGACCTTAAACCTTTCACAAAAATTAACTCAAAAGGGATGATAGACCTAAATGTAAAATCCGAAACTATAAAACTCCTAGAAGATAGGCAGCATTGGGTTTGCAATGATGTTTTAGATATGACACCAAAACACAACCCATGAAAGAAGAATTGACTAAGCTGGACTTTATTAAAGACATTTTTCAGAGAATAAAATGATCAAGCCACAGACTGGAAGAAAATATCTGCAGAACACATATCTGATAAAGAACTGGTATCCAAAATATAGAAAGAATTCTTAAAACCCAGTGAGAAAACAACCCAATTATATAATAGGCAAATAATGTGAATGTACACCTCACCAAAGAAGATATACAGATGGAAAATAAGCATATGAAAACATTCTCTACATCATATGCCATTAAGGAACTGCAAATTACAACGAGATACTACTACACCCCTCCGAGAGTAACTAAAATATAAAATACTCGTAACACCAAATGCTAGCAAGGATGTGGAGCAATAGGAACTCTCAGGAATGCAAAATGGTACAACCACTTTGGGGGACAATTTAGCAGTTTCTTACAAAACTAAACACACTATTACCAAATGATCTGGCAAATATGCTTCTTGGTATTTACCCAAATAAGTTTAAACTATGTCCATACAAAAACCTGCACATGAATGTTTATAGTCAAACTTAGAAGCAACCAAGATGTCCCTCAATAGGTGAATGGGTAAACAAACTGTGGTAAATCCAGATAATGGAATAATATTCAAAGATAAAAAAGAAATGAGCTATCTATATAACAGTAATGATGGACATGTGTCATCATATATCTGTCAAAACCCACAGAATATAAAACATAAAAAGTGAACCCTTATGTACTATTGACTTTTAATTTTTCTTTTTTTTTTCCTTTGAGACGGAGTTTTGCTCTGTTGCCCAGGCTGGAGTGCAGTGGTGCAATCTCGGCTCACTGCAAGCTCCGCCTCCCGGGTTCACGCCATTCTCCTGCCTCAGCCTCCCGAGTAGCTGGGACTACAGGTGCCTGCCACCACGCCCGGCTAATTTTTTGTATTTTTAGTAGAGACGGGGTTTCACCGTGTTAGCCAGGATGGTCTCCATCTCCTGACCTCATGATCCACCCACCTCATTCTCCCAAAGTGCTAAGATTACAGGCGTGAGCCACCGCTCCCGGCCGACTTTTAATTTTTAATGTATCAATATTGGTTCATGTAGTAAATGTACTACATGAACAACATTGGTTCAATGTAGTAAACGTACTGCATTAATGCAAGATACTAATAACAGGAGAAAGTGACTTAAGATTATGTGAGAATTCTCTATACTTTCTGAACAATTTTTTCTGTAAACCTAAAACTGCTCTAAAAAAAGTATTAATTTTTAAAAAAATAGATAGATAATGTGGCTTTAAAAATACAGTGTTAGAGAACGGATTAAAAATGGGCCAGAGCAGATGCAGGAAGATCAAATAGGAGGCTACTGCAGTAGAGTCAAATCTAGGGCTGATGGTTTCTTGGGATGCATAGTAATAGGTAGATAGAGAAAGTCTTTAGGAGGTAGAATGGACAGGACTTCACAATGCATTAAATGTAGGGAGAAAAAAAATGATTCCTGGGTTTCTAGCTTGAGCTAGTAGGGATAGTGGTAGAATTTACTGATATGGAAAACTGGAGGAAAAAGAGTTTGGAAGAGAAAGATGGCAAGTTAAATACCTGTGGGAAATATAATCACAGACACTAAATAGGCAGCTGTGTGGGTGGCAAAGGAGAGCCATGGGCTAGGAACATACAGTGGGATTCCCTGGCATGTCATTGGTTACTGAAGTCAGAGTGTATGAGACAGCCTAAGGAGAGAATGCACACAGGAGAAGAAGAACTAAACATTCAGTGGCTGGCCAGAGGATGAGAAACCAAGAGATTGGACTGTAAAGGAGCAACAGTGTTGGGAAAGGGAGAAAAGGATGAAATCCAAAAACTGTGGTATCACAAAAACCAAAGAAAGAAAATATTTCAAGAAGGAAGGCATCGTCATATGTACTGAATGTGGATAAGAAGTAAGAGGAACTCTAGCACACGTCCACTGGATTCAGTAAGGTGGAGGTCATTGGAGACTTTGGCAAGGGCAATCTGGGTGAGTAAACAGAAATGTGTACACAGCAGTCTCAGAAAATTCAATGAAGAAAAGGGGAAATACATGTTAGTAGCTGGAGATGAGACAGGGCAGAGGTAGGTGTTTTCAGTCTGTCTTTTAAGACCAGAGTTTTAAGCATGTTTTGAATGGTGATGAAAAGAAAGTAGAGAGGAAAAAGTTGAAGATGATGGAAAGACAGGGATCAAAGTTACTGACAGTGATACAGCAATTATTCATGACTTTAGTTTGACAAACTAGATCCTCAAAAATGGCTAGTTATGACTCAGTGAACACAAAGAGTAAAAAAAAATAAAAAAATTAAAATAAAAAAGCTAGTCGTTTCTCAAAAAAGAAAAATCTTCCCCTGAATATTTATTTATTTATTTATTTAGACACAGGATCTCAGTCTGTTGCCCAGGGTGGGGTGCAGTAGCATGATCATAGCTCACTATAACATCAAATCCCTGCCTCAACCTCCTGAATAGCTGGGACTACAGATGCACACTACCAGGCCCAGCTAATTTTTGTATTTTTTTGTAGTGATGGGGTCTTGCTATGTTACCCAGGCTGGTCTCAAGGGATTCTCCCAAAGTGCTGGGATTACAGGCATGAACTACTGAGCCTGGCCTTTCCCTAAAATTTAGATATGCTTTTGTTGTTTTTATTAAGTGGTAAATAAGCATATGTATTTGCATCTGCATAAGAGTTACTCCTGCTTACAAAAACTTGCAATATCCTAACACTGAAAACTATACATTGCTGAAAGTAAAGGTCTAAGTAAATGGAGAAATATACCAAATTTATGGATTGAAAGACTAATATTGTTACAACGTCAGCTCTTTCCAAACTGATTTAAAGTCAACGCAATCTTAAAATCCTAGTTAAGATTTTTAGAGAAATTGACAAACTGATTTTAAAATGTATATGGAGGCCAGACGCGGTGGCTCACGCCTGTAATCCCAGCACTTCGGGAGGCCCAGGCGGGCAGATCACCTGAGGTCAGGAGTTCAAGACCAGCCTGACCAACATGGAGAAACCCCGTCTCTACTAAAAATACAAAATTAGCTGGGCATGGTGGTGCATGTCTGTAATCCCAGCTACTCGGGAGGCTGAGGCAAGAGAATCGCTTGAACCCAGGAGGGAGAGGTTGCAGTGAGCCGAGATCACCCCACTGCATTCCAGCCTGGGCGATATAGTGAGACTCGTCTCAAAAAAAAGAAAAAAAGTATATGGAAATGCAAATTATCTAGAATAGCCAGAACAATTTTGGAAAGGAATAATAAAGTTGGATGACTTACACTACCTAATTTTAAGACTTATAATCACCGGGCATGGTGGCTCACCTCTGTAATCCTGACACTTTGGGAGGCTGAGACGGGTGAAACTCAAGACCAGCCTGGCCGACATAGCGAAATCTCGTCTCTAACTAAAATACGAAAATTAGCCAGGTGTGGTGGCGGGTGCCTGTAATCCCAGCACTTTGGGAGGCTGAGGCAGGAGAATCACTTGAACCCAGAAGGCGGAGGTTGAGGTGAGCCGAGATCGTGCCACTGCACTCCAGCCTGGGCATCAGAAGGAGACTCCATCTCAAAAAAAAAAAAAAAAAAAAAAAAAAGACGGGGCACAGTGGCTCACGCCTGTAATCCCAGCACTTTGGGAGGCCAAGGCGGGCAGATCACGAGGTCAGGAGATCGAGACCATCCTGGCTAACACGGTGAAACCCCGTCTCTACTAAAAATACAAAAAATTAGCCAGGCATGGTGGCATGTGCCTGTAGTTCCAGCTACTTGGGAGGTTGAGGCAGAAGAATTGCTCGAACCCGGGAGGTGAAGGTTGCAGTGAGCCGAGATTGCGCCACTGCACTGAAGCCTGGGCGACAGAGTGAGGCTCTGTTTCACAAAAAAAAAAAAAAAAAAAGGCTTACAATAACAGTCATCAACACTGTTTAATACTGGCCTGGCCTAAGGGTCAACAGGTAAACTGGGAATCCATAGTCCCACACTTACATGATAAATGGATTTTTAATGAAAGTGCCAAGGTAGTTCAATGGGGAAAGGATATCATTTCAACAAGTGGTGCTGAAACAACTGGGTATCTATCTGAAAAAAGAATAGCCCAGACCCCTGCCTCATACCATATACAAAAATTATTATTATTATTATTTTTATTTTTTGAGACGGAGTCTAGCTCTGTCACCCAGGCTAGAGTGCAATGGTGCAATCTCGGCTCACTGCAAGCTCCGCCTCCCAGGGTTACACCATTCTCCTGCCTCAGCCTCCCCAGTAGCTGGGACTACAGGCGCCCGCCACCACGCCCAGCTAATTTTTTTGTATTTTAGTAGAGACGGGGTTTCACCATGTTAGCCAGAATGGTCTCGATCTCTTGACCTTGTGATCTGCCCACCTCAGCCTCCCAAAGTGCTGTGATTACAGGCATGAGCCACCGTGCCTGGCCACTACAAAAATTATTTTTAAATGTATCATATATCAAAATATAAAAGCTAAATCTAGGAAAATTCTAGAAAAAAAGGAGAAAATCTGCATGACACTAGTAGTGTTTGCAGATTTTTAAATGTTATCTACATAGTCATTGTCATTTAGGTAGACAAATATTTCTTACACAAGATACATAAAAACACTAATCATAAAATAAAAAGTTGACAAATTAGAGTTGATCAAAATCAAAACTTTTATCACTTCTCGGCCTTTTGGCTAAGATCATGTGTAAAATTAAAACTTTGCTCTTCAAAAGACAACAATAACAATAAAAAGACAAGTCCCATGCTGGGCAAAAATATCTATTTTACATATATGTGTATTTATCTCATCAAGAACTTGAGTCTAGAATGTATTTTTTAAAAAACAGAACTCAGTAAGATAAACAATCCAATAAAAAGTGGGCAAAAGATATAAACATATACCTTACAAAAGAAGATATACAAATGGCTTATAAGCATGTGAATAAATGCTATACTTCACTAGTCATCAGGGAAAAGCACATTACAATGAGTTACCATTTTACATCCTCTAGAATGACTAAAATTAAAAATACTAACAATAATAAGTATTGGTGAAGATGTGGAAAACTAGAACATGTACATTGCTGGTGTGAATACAAAACAACGCAACCACATTGTAAAATTGTTTAGGAGTTTCTTACAAAAGTCAAACATAAATTTATCATATGACCCACCAATTACATTCCTATTTACCCAAGAAAAATAAAAAGCATATATCCATAAAAAGACTCATACCTAAATGCTCATAGCAGCTTTATTTGCAATCACCCAAAACTGTAAATAACCCAACTGTTCATCAACAGATGAATGGATAAACAAATTGCAATATATTGACACAATGGAATAATAGCCAGTAATACAAAGGGACGCACTACTAGTGCACACTCAACACAGATGAATCTCAAAAACACTGCTGAGCAAAAAAGGTCAGCACAAAAAACACATTCTGTATAGTTCAATTTATATGAAGTTGGAGCTGGGGGACTGACTGCACCGGAAACTTTCTGTGGTGATGAAATGATTGGAGCAGTGATTACACACTCATCAAACTGTACATTTAAATTATCAGCATTTTATTATATTTAAATTATACTCCAAGGTTGATTTTTTTAAAAAACTGAACAAGTATTTCCACTGTGAACAGACTACCAGACTAGTAATCGTGAGAGGAGACTCTACCCACTATCCGATGTGTAGCCCTGGGTCAATCTCTTACTCTTTAGTCACCTAGTCTATGGTATTCCATTATAGCAGCCCAAACTGACTAAGACAGTGAGAAAATACAGAATTCAAATACTAAAAGAAACACACAGGCTATAAATATGTGGAGTTCTGCTTATGCAAATGTCACAGTTGAAGAACCACAGAAGTTTTGACTTTTTTTCTATAAGTAAGCCTCACAGTAAATTGTACTTCAACAGAAGTAAAGAAAATTTGCAGCAATAATCAGCTACCTTGGAAAAACCTCAAAAATCATCATAGGAACTTGACCGGCTTGCTTTGCAGAAACATTCAATTTTGGAAATGGGTCTTTTTGAATTTTTTTTTAAAAAAAGTTAGGCCTTAAAGGCTTTTAAGAGAAGGGGAGGAAAAAAAACCCAAAAACCATCAAAGACAATCAAATCTGAACCAAGCTATGAACAAGACAGGAATTTTCCACTGAGAGGAAAAAGTTTACACACACACACATACACACACACACACACACACACACACACACACAAAATACTGACTAGTAATGAAGCCTATTTTAAAACGTGTGGGGCTGTGCATACAATGGAATATTACTCAGCCTTTAAAAGGAATGAAATTTGTTACATGTTACAACATGGATGATCCCTAAAAACATTATGCTAAGTGTAAGAAGCTAGACACTAAAAGGCAATTATTATATGATTCCACTTACATGAACTATCCAGAACAGGGAAATTCAGAGAAGCAGAAAGTAGATTTAAGGTTAGCAGCAGGAGAGCAGGAAAGGGGACTGGGAATTCCCACTGAATAAATACAGAGTTTCAATTTGGAATGATGAGAAAGTTTGGGAAACAGATAGTGGCAATGGTTATATAGCAAATGCCACTGAACTATACAATCAAGATTGTAAAAATGGTGAATGTTATATGTATTTTATCACAAACATATAGAGGCTGCTACAATTTCTTGGGGAGCATTACCATGCAGCAACATTCACAAAGGTATGATTCCCCTTACTTGCCAGGGGTTACAAAAATTTCCAAAACAAAATAAAGGTCCCAGGAATCAAGTTATCTCTCTACTCTTGCATCAGGACTAGAACTGCTTTGGAAATACCACTGTACTTCACTCTATCACTGTACCTCACTCTACCACTTCACTCTGTTTCGAGCCCTGAGCACAGGCCAGTTTGCTTGAATCATCAAGCCTTTAAACCACCTGTAACCAGCATTTGACACAGTTAACCTCATCTTATTTTTAAATACTTTCTTCTCTTGATTCTACATTCTTCTAATTTTCTTCCTGTCTAGCTTGATGGCCTTGACAAGAGATGCTTTCATAGAGTGGGTCTTGGTGAAAACATGATAAGAGGAAGTAGAAACAGGATAGAAACAGCTCCTTCTGGTTATTTCTGAAGTACCGTCCTTGAGAAGGTATTTGGTAAAGATGCAGGCAGGTGGACTGGACAGTGGGACAATGTGAAAGTTCTCTTCAGGTTGCTTCTATTTTCTTGAGTGAAAAAACATAAATGAGATTGAGAAAGGAGAAGAGGGTGTTGCAGGGTTGGAGAGGAAAGGTTTGAAATAGTATCCCAACCATCTAATAATGTGTTCTCTCTCTCTCTCTTTTTTTTTTGGGAGATGGAGTCTCGCTCTGTCACCCAGGCTGGAGTGCAGTGGTGTGATCTTGGCTCACTGCAATCTCTGCCTCCCAGGTTCAAGCGATTCTCCTGCCTCAGCCTCCCAAGTAGCTGGGGTTACAGGTGTGCACCACCATGCCCGGCTAATTTTTGCATTTTCAGTAGAGACGGGGTTTCACCATGTTGGCCAGGCTGGTCTTAAACTCCTGACCTCAGGTGATCCACCTGCCTTGGCCTCCCAAAGTGCTGGGATTACAGGTGTGAGCCACTGTGCCCAGCCAAGTAATGTATTCTCTTTTAAAATGTCAATTTTATCATGTCCCTCTCTTGCTAAAACACTTCACTGCTTTTTAAAAAATGAACTACACTACAGCAAAGAATTTCCTCATAACTCTCAGTCACATGCAGAAACACTGTCTTCAAGGCCCAGGCATGGTGGCTCACGCCTGTAATTCCAACACTTGGGAGGCGGGCGGATTGCTTGGGTTTAGGAGTTCGACAAACGCTTTCTTCAGTTGGAGAGAAAGCAGTAGAGCTAGTTATTCCTGGTGTGGTGCGGATGACCCCAGCCTGTCCCTCAATACTGGAGATATTTTCTGAGGGAAAAAAACTTCTCTTTTCTTATTGCCACATGATTCCACTTATCCCCATGGGTGGAGAGTATGTATTATTAGGTCTGCCTTTTCCTAGCACACTGTCTTGCACATGATAGGTACTCTATTTAATACCCACTGAACTACTAAAGTAAGCAAACACTTTACTGAGTTTCTAGGCCAAGTAATGATAAAAAAGGACTTGAGAATTCCACAGGTGAGACCGGCAATCCCCAAGAAAGGGGAACAAACACACCCCACGTCATCAAAAGAGCGCAAAGCAATCATGGCATTTAAGTCAATAATCCTGTGTTAGTCATTTCCACAGAAAGTTCTCAAACTGCTTATTCAAAATATTATTACTATAGGACTTTGAACTAAAGTGACTTTCATCTAAGTTGCTTACAGCACTTGATTAGTAACCATTAATTAAGGTTTCACGCTATACAATGTATAATTTCCGTTTTGAAAACAGTAAAACCAAGGCACTAAAAGGTTAAAAAAAATAACCAAGATTAAAAGATGAAAATTTAAAAAGTAAAAAAGCCACACTATTTTTACTCTATCCTGAGTAAATCTGAAAAATACCATTCCTGCTAACATTTTTCCTTAACTATACCTACTGGGTCAAAATTCATTATGACAGGCCAGGCACGGTGGCTCATGCCCGTAATCCCGGCATTCTGGGAGGTCAAGGCGGGCGGATGACCTGAGGTCAGGAATTTGAGACCAGCCTGGCCAATGTGGCAAAACCCTGTCTCTACTAAAAATACAAAAATTAGCCGGGCATGGTGGCACACACCTGTAATCCCAGCTACTCGAGAGGCTGAGGCATGAGAATCGCTAGAACCCAGGAGGCAGAGGTTGCAGTGAGCCAAGATCACACCACTGCACTCCAGCCTGGGCATCAGAATGAGACTGTTTAAAAAAAAAAAATCATTATGAGAGACTGTTGTTCTAAAATGCTTAGTTTCAGAACACAGACAACAAGAAACTTGATGAACTACTTTTTCAATCATAGGTTTCATTAACAACTGTCTGCAACCCTAAAAGGTTCACATTCCCATAAAGTTTGCTCCTTAAAGGCAAATGAATTTCCTAACTCCACAGATGACTTACCTCAAACAAAACATCATGGGTACAACATAGCAGACCAAAATCAAAATTGAGTCCTTTGTATGCCAGTCAGTTTCATAAACTATAAACCATGGTAAATTTCAACTAAGAGAATCAGTATCTTAGAAAACAGGAAAAGCCCAAGGTCTGTAGTTCAACCACACATTCTATGCTTCAATCCCCTTTGGTTATTTCCAATTATTTATATGGTTAATGAAAAGGCAGAGAGGCATGCTCAGAAAACTGTCTCTTGTAGAGCAGATGAAAAAAAGTAGAAATTATTATTTGAGAAAAGGAAAAATTTAATATTGCTGCTCTGATGTCACCCAAATGGCAATGACCAGCTATCTCCAACTTTAAAAAATATGTAAAAATAAAGCTAAACTGTGGTATGTTTCCCTACTTTAGGGGAACCATGGCCCTATATTAAGTAGATAAATAGATTACTGTATAATTATACAGTTAATAATTGCTCCACAATTATTAACTAAAGCAAGAGTCGCAAGTGTGTCTCAAGGTAGAAAAATCCATAAAACATGAGGTCAAATTATTCCAAATCTCTCTGATAATCAGAGTATCTGGGGGAATTTTTTGTTAGTTTCTTAACACATGTATATCCAGGCTCCATATCAGACCTACCAAATCAAAATCTCCAGAGCATGGGAGCCAGGTTATCAGTATTTTTTATAGCTTTCTAGATGATTCCAATGATCAGCTGTTCATTCATCCATCCCTTCATTCGTTCAATAAATGTTCATTGAACACTTACCACCCAAATGTTCACTGAGTACCTACAAGTACTATGCCTGATGCTGGGGGTGTACTGGGGAAGGAAATAGACAGTCTGGACTCTACCATCATGGAACTTAGTACAAAGATCAGACATATACAGTGAACCGCCCAGTGGGGACTGTGGCAAACTGAAGAGTGCAACTCCTAAAGGTGGATATCTGCTTTACTAATTCAATTCAATATTTCCATGAAGGAATGCATGCTTGATACTGACATATGTGATTTTTAAAGAAGGCAAGGGAAAAAGGGGGCAAAAATATTGGATGAAACATGACAGATGGCACAAAGAAAGATGACAGAAATTAGTCCAAAGATATCAGAAATCATAATAAGTGTAAACAGGGGCCAGGCTCAGGTGACTCACACCTGTAATCCCACCACTTTTGAGAGGCAGATGCAGGAGGATTGCTTAAGCCCAGGAGTTCGAGACCAGCATGGGCAACAGCGGATGATCTCTTTATATTTAAAGAAGAAAAAGGCCGGGTATGGTGGCGCAAGCCTGTAATCCCAGCACTTTGGGAGGCCAAGGCAGGCGGATCATGAGGTCAAGAGATTGAGACCATCCTGGCCAACATGGTGAAACCTCATCTCTACTAAAAATACAAAAATTAGCTGGGCATGGTGGCACATGCCTGTAGTCCCAGCTACTCGGGAGGCTGACACAGGAGAATCGCTTGAACCTGGGAGGTGAAGGTTGCAGTGAGCCAAGATCGTGCCACTGCACTCCAGCCTGGTGACAGAGTGAGACTCCGTCTCCAAAAAAGAAGAAGAAGAAGAAAAAATTAAAAATAAAAAAAGGCCAGGCCAGGTAGCTCATGCTTGTAATCCTAGCACTTTTGGGAGGCTGAGGTGAGCAGACTGCTTGAGCCCAGGAGTTCAAGATCAGCCTGAGCAAAATGGCAAAATCCCACCTCTACAAAATACAAAAAAAAGTGCTGGGCGTGGTGGCACACACCTATAGTCCCTGCTACTTGAAAAGCTGAGATGGGAGGATCACATGAGCCTAGAAGGGTTAGAAGCTGCAGTAAGTCATGATCACGCCACTGCACTCCAGCTTAGGTGACAGAGAGAGACCTTGTCTCAAAAAAACAAAAACAAACAAAAAAAACAAAAACAGAAAATAAACCAGTAAAACATGCTTATTAAAAGACAGACTCTCAAATGAGATATAAAAGAGATAATAACATACTGTTCATTAAAAATACGCTTAAAGCAAGACACAGAAAGGTTAATATAAAAGGACAGAAATATATAATACATGCCAGGAAAAAACAAATCAGAAGAAATATCAAAAAGAAAAATGGGCCAGACACAGTGGCTCACGTCTATAATCCCAGCACTTTGGGAGGCCGAGGCAGACAGATCATTTGAGTTCAGGAGTTTGAGACCAGCCTGGCCAACATGGTGAAACCCCGTCTCTACTAAAACTTCAAAAATTAGCCGGGCATGGTGGTGCACGCCTGTAGTCCCAGCTACTTGGGAGGCTGAGGCAGGAGAATCTCTTGAACCTGGGAGGCAGAGGTTGCAGTGAGCAGAGATAGTACCACTGCACTCCAGCCTGGGCAACAGAGCAAAACTCCATCTCAAGAAAAAAAAAAGAAAAATGAATTTAAGAAAAACAGTATTTAAAAGAACCAAAGAAGTATTTCAAAAAATAATGATTATGAACTTGCCTGTACCAAATAATATAGTCTCAAAATTTAGACTTGAAAATTTTACCTAAAACAGGCAGCCAGAATTACAAGGTGAAAATAATAAATCCATAGTCACAATAGGAAAATTATGAACATCTCCCCTCAAATTAGCCAGGCATAGTGGCATGCACTTGTAGTGCTAGCTACTTGGTGGCTGAGATGGGAAGATCACCTAAGCCCTAGGCGTTTGAGTCCAGTCTGGGCAACATAGCAAGGCCCTGTCTCTAAATTAAAAATAAATAATATATATATATTTTTTGAGAGGGAGTCTCGCCCTGTTGCCCAGGCTGGAGTGCAGTGGCGCGATCGCAGCTCACTGCAACCTCCGCCTCCTGGGTTCAAGCGATTCTCCTGCCTCAGCCTCCTGAGTAGCTGTCCTGCCTCAGCCTCCTGAGTAGCTGGGAATACAGGCATGTGCCACCATGCCTGGCTAAATTTTGTATTTTTAGTAGAGATGGGGTTTCACCATGCTGTTCAGGCTGCTCTCGAACTCTTGACCTCGTGATCCGCCCACCTCGGCTTCCCAAAGTGCTGGGATTACAGGCGTGAGCTACCACGCCAGGCCAATAAATATTTTTTTAAAACAACACCTCCTCCCAAAAAAACTTACAAATCAGACCAAAAAAATTGGATGAAGACTGTCTTAATAATATGAATAAGCCAAATGGAACACTTACACATACACATATATGTTTGTGTGACATACAGAATATTACAACACTTCATCCCTCAAAAGTTAAGCATTATTTTTAATTAGAAAACCAAAAGTTAAGGAGCTGAGAAACCAAAAAACTTCATGATAGGAAGGGCCAAGAAACATATAGGTAGGATCCCACCAGACAAAAGGCTTTCAACAGTGGCAATAATTTAAGAGATGTCGCAATGTCATGTCAAGGCAGTCTCTGAAATCAGCTGCCTATAGTCACATCTAGGATCTAGTACTCACATGCTGCATGATTTTGAGAAAGTTTCTATCTCTATAGCTGTTAGTGTGTCTATATAATGGGGATAATAACTGTACCTGCTTCATAAGGGTCTTGTGAAAATTAAGATATATGGAAAGAGCTTAAAACAGTGTCTAGCAAACTGTTAGCTTTAAAAAAATGTTAGTATGCTATTAAACACAATGAGGTAGGTCTATATGTACTAACATGTAAAAAGATGCTCAATATGTATTAGGATTAAAAAAGGTATGTTGCAAAATGCTAAGTAAACCATGCATGAAAATGTTTATATAAAAAGAAAATATGTAAATAATAAACCCATATACATATATATTTTTCTAGGAGAACACACAAATTGTTAACAGTTATCTCTGGCAAGTGGGGCCAGAAGAGCTCGGCAAACATTTTGTTTCTATATTGTGTGAATTTGTTTCTATATTACTTTCATTTGTTATATATGTATGCATGTATGTATGTATGTATTTAGAGACAGGGTCTTGCTCTGTCACCCAGGCTGGAGTGCAGTGGCACAATCATAGCTCACTTTAACCTCAAACTCCTGGGCTCAAGTGATCCTCCCACTTCAGCCTCCCAAGTAGCTGTGGCTACAGGCGTGTGCCATCACGCCCTGCTAATTTTTAAAATTTTTAAAATAAAGACAGGGTCTCATTATGTTGCCCAGGCTGGTCTCAAACTCCTAGCCTTAAGCAATCCTCCCATCTCTGCCTCCCAAAGTGCTGGGATTACAGGCATGAGCCTCTATATCTGGCCTCTTTCATACTTTTTAAATTACAAAAAAACGTAAAAATCACATTTCACAACTGAGTTATTTTGCCACCATAATCCTAAAACAGTAAGTCTAAAACTGTTACTGCCATAAATAGTTTGGTTTGTCCCATCTCTACATTCGTTCTTTTGCCCATAAAACAATGGTTCTCAAACCAAGTTGCCAGATTACCTTGGTATTCCATAGGCTGGAAATGAAGCATCAGACCACTAAGGCCTAATAATAGCTTTTCTCAAGTCACAGAAATACTTAAACTAATGAGACAATTCTCTCAGTCATGGCATCTGCTATACTTTTACTGGCAAATGATGAAACTAACAGTATGCAAATTAAAAATAACATCCATTTACAAGTTTATTAGGCTTACTTCTATATAGCTTTTTTATGGATGTGTATGCTTATAGTGAATTTATATTATATAAATCCAATAAAGTCATTTTCTACTAGTAAAACTGTTTCTCATTTATAAGACAGATAATCATGTGTCTGGAAACTCAAGCATGGTAACTCTAAGCTCTGAACAAATTTGAAACTCATTGCTCTAAATTTGCCTCCTGAGCCCCTGAAGGAAAATTATAATGTAGGTTTTTTGAGAAAACACTTATTTTAACTGTCCTTTTAAAAATATTTCATGACTCTAGACACTTAAAGAAAGCAAGTATCTGAAACAGTCTATTACTAGAAATAAGTTGACATTTACTGAGCATGTGCCAGCACTTCACCTGTGCCAAGCACTTCACTTGTATGTTATTGTATGTTATTGTAAATCCTTGCAGTAATTCTATCAAGTAGGTATTATTCTTACCCTATTTCCTTCTGATCAAGAAACTGAAGCATGAAGAGGTTACATAATTTGCTCAAAGTCACACAGCCAATGAACAGGTAGAGCCACTAAAAAGTAGGTGGCACCAACACCTGTGGAGGTCAAGGAGTGGTAAGGGATGATTATATACAGAATAAATTCTGACAGACGGTGTGATGAAGTGAAAAGAGTACTGGATTGGGCACAAGCTGACTTAAATCTGGATTCCAGTTCCCTAACTTCATAGTTTTGAGACTCTAGGAAAAAAACCTCTCCAGCTTCAGCTACCTGCTCTGTAATAAGACAATGCCAGAGTGATTCTCATATAATTTCGAGCTCTAAATATATTGCTAAATATATATTTTAGCACTGATAAGGTAGCCAAAGCAAGAGAATGAAAATAAAGGCTGGATCAACTGGCCCAGGAGCATATTCTAAGAGAACACAGAAAGGTTCTCAATTTTTGAAACAAAACAGCTGATTCATCAAGGTGCCCATTAGAAATCAGTCCCAAGCCCCTTCACAGGCCTGCAGAATTAGAAACCATAGAGGGAGGATCTGGTACTCCACATTTTTAACAACTCTACAAGTGACACATACTGAGAACTACTGGTCTAACAACTACACTGATTTTTCCTACCCAGTGATTTAGGCATTAGAGAGAACAGAGCTCAATGTAAAGGATATATTCCACCACTTCTGTTTCTTGAAATTAAGAATTCTTTCAAATTGCTTAATAAAAAAACTCTGAAGGCTTTCTTAAGATACAATCACCATACAATGCACCCAAAGTATCCATTTTAATACTTTTTAATATACTCAGAGTTGTACATTCATGATCACAATTAATTTTAGATCATTTTCATCATCCCAAAAGAAACCCCATACCCATTAGCAGTCACTCCCCATTTTTCTCCAACCCTACTCCCTCCCCTCAGCTCTAGGCAACCACTAATCTACTTCCTAGCTTTATAGATTTACCTATTCTGGGCCATGTCATATAATGCAATCATATAACATGTGGTCTTTTGTGAATGGCTTCTACAACTTAGCATGTTGAAGCATGTATCAGTACTTCATATCTTTTTATTGTCAAATAATATTCTGTTGTATGGATATATCACATTTTATTCATCCATTCATCAGTTGATAGATATTTAGTTGTTTCTAAATTGCCTAATTTTAATTTTTTTTTAAAAGTAGATTAGGTTAAAAAAACTGCATTAGAATTTTTCCAGGTAAATACATCAATGTCATCTATTCACTATAGTAAGTCTTATTGCAGTATAAAAAGTACTACTTACAGTTAATAGTGGCTTTCATATGTTATTTACTGCTATTAAATAGGCTGTCAAAATATAAATGATTATCATTACATGTTTAAATAGTAGAGATTTATATTTTTTAAACCAAATATTGTTTCTTTCAAAACCAGTTGTTAAATTCTGGTTCTGCCACCAAAGGTTATCTCTTCTGTACTGGAAAATTACTGACTTCACTTTCCAGTTCACAAATGCTCTCCTTGTCTCACTTTAAAAAAAAAAAAAAAAAAAACCTCCGTGGACTTGCTCCAGTCTACTTCACAGACCTTATTTCTTACTACTCCCTTTCTTACATTGCTAGTGCTGACCTATTAATTGTCCTTACGGGCAAATATGTCAGCTGCTATTAAAAACTCCGGAAAACTACACAGATTTTCCTAAATCTTTGTTTTTTTAACTTCAGGGTTCTTTTATTAAGCCTTTAACACTTTACACTTGCTTCAATTTAAATTTCTTTTCCTACTTTAGATATAGTCAGAAGTTTTCTTCCAATAACTGACAACTCTCAAGGTACAAACATCTTTGCCACTTGGATTCCGTGTGGTCAGAGACATGTCTGTTTTGGTCACTCTTGCATTCTCAGAACCTAGGAGAGGTCATGGGTAGTTATTCATACAGATACATACAGAGATAGAAAGAATTTTTAAAGGCAGCTTAAAGGTAATTTTCATAATAGCTGACATCTACTGAGCTTCTATGTGCAAGGTCCTATGCACATATTATTTATTAATGTGAATTATTTCTCATACAATACTATTAAATAGGTATTATGCATATTAACACCTCTGCACCCAATTTCAGAGATGAAGAAACTAAGATTAAGTAAAGTAACTAGAGACTAAGTAAGTAACAGAGCCAGAACTCAAACCCAGGTCTTTCTCCATAGCCCATGAACTTGGCCACTATAGAGCTCCATTCATATAAAGTAAAAGGCAACAGAGCTAAAGACAGAAAGAGCAAGTGAAGGAGGAGACCTGGACCCTGGACCACCACCCAGGTACTAAGGAAGGAGGTCTGAAGGCCGCCCACTCTGCCAGGGTGTCCGGTGGAGAAAGCAGGCATACTCTTTCTATGACCTTTCCTCAAACACACAAGTATCATCAACAGGAAAGAAAAGGCACAAATATTGCCAGGATACATAAAATGTTTTCCCTCAGTACCAGGTGCACTTAGGTAAAAGGTGCTCTTAGGTAGAACTAGCCTGTTCTGAATGGTTTACATTTCATCATTTCTAAAAAAATCTTCTGTGCCAAGCTGAAAAAACAAACAAAAAAGCCCAACCTGAGAAGAACTGGGGCAAGGACAGACACTAGCTAACATCCAACTGCCAATTCCTTCTGGTTCTCATTCAATGACAGCCACTGCCTCTAATTCAATGACAGCCACTGCCTCATTACTCATTTTATCTATGTCAAAACAGGGAAGCAGGGACCAAATGTTTTTAAGAATTAGTTTATTCTTTGCTACAGCATAGTTTAATGCAACAATGATATCCACTGTCTGTTCATACAAACTTTATTTTTATAAAACAAATTTATATTGATAAGAACAGACGTTTGCAATTTTTAAAGGCTTAGATACATAATAAATATATTTTCAGGACTAGCTGGCATACAAGAATATTTTAATCTTGCCTAGTAACATTTTTCCTATGCAGTAACTGAAAAAGCCATCCTAAAATGCCATCTCCTAATTTCTTTTTTTTTTTTTTGAGACGGAGTTT
The DNA here is from genome assembly GCF_000001405.40 of Homo sapiens. Lineage (NCBI taxonomy): Eukaryota > Metazoa > Chordata > Mammalia > Primates > Hominidae > Homo > Homo sapiens. Next base: position 12,590,117 of record NC_000018.10, read on the forward strand.
CACTCTTGTCGCCCCAGCTGGAGTGCAATGGTGTAGTCCCGGCTCATTGCACCCTATGCCTCCCAAGTTCAAGTGATTCTCCTGCCTTAGCCTCCTAAGTATCTGAGATTATAGGCATGTGCCACCACGCCTGGCTCATTTTTTTGTATTTTTAGTAGAGACAGGGTTTCACCATGTTGGCCAGGCTGGTCTCAAACTCCTGACCTCAGGTGATCCACCTGCCTTGGCCTCCCAAAGTGTTGGGATTACAGACGTGAGCCACCGTGCCTGGCCGCATCTCCTAATTTCTGAATGAGTTATGTCCTGAAGTTCCCTTTCAATGCAATCTGAAAACCATAAATCAATTTTTCCCATAGAAAAAGTTTTCGGGCCTAAAGAAGAAAGCCCAAAGGAAAAAAACAAAAAGAGAGAAAGTTATAAGATGTTCCAGTATTGGGCCACAATAGACTATTTAAATTGAAAACAGAGTATAAAAGTGTCCTGAGCCTCATGTCCACCTTACAACCCCTGAGCCCTGAGCAGTAGAATGGCAGCATCAGCGTTGTGGAGGCCTCGAGGGCTAGATTTGAAGAGCAGCAGTGAGAAGACACAGGCATGAAGACCCCCAGGAAGCCACTCTCAAGCGGGGGCAGGAGCGCTACAGGCCCCTGGGCAAGAAGGTTGGCAGGAGAGGCACCTTTTCTTGAGTCCAGGACTTCCCATGTACATATGTTACTGTGTACAGTTTGTAAAATGGGTTATGCAACTGTCATGATTTCTTTGGCCTTAAAACAAATTCACTGAGGTAGTACTTAGCCAAAATAATATCTATAAACAATATATAGTCATATATTATCATTTTATCCTCACTATTTTTACATATGACAAAGTCTCTGACCTCCAAAACATACATTCTAGAAGAGGGAGAGAGGCAATAAGATTAATAAACAAATTACAGTACATTAGAAGGCATTAAATGCTATGAAAAAAATAACATCAAATGCAGAGGTGGCTATTAGGGTAGTAGTTTGCAGTTTTAAATAGCACAGTTAGTTTAGTGTAGCCTTCACATCAGATGGTTACACAGGAGTAGAATGGAAGGAGGTGAGAGGCTAAGTATGCGACTATCCAGGGAAAGAGAGTTTCAGGCAAAAGGAACTGCCAGTGCAAAGGCCCTGAGAAGGCAGTGTGCCTGGAATGTTATGAAAATAGCAAGGCAGCTAGTGTGTCTGAAAGAAGTGAACGAGAGAGAAAAAGCATGAAATGAGAGGTCATGGAGCACCAGGTCACACAGGGCCTTGCTGACCACTGGAAGGGCTGTAACTTTTACACTGAAGAAGAGGGGGAGCCACTGCAGGTTAGTAGAGGAGTGACACATGACGTTACATGACAAAAAATGGTTGCCTCTGGCTCCTGACTGAGAATAGACTCTAGTAGAGTAAGGGCAGTCGGAAGGAGTGCTGATGAGAAATGGGCAGTTTCCGGCTACCATTTCAAAGCACAACCAAACGCATTTGCTAATACATTGACTGTTAGGTATTAAGAATCAAAGGCAACTTCAAGGTTTCTGTCTTGGTCAGATATAGAAAACATTAAGAATAGGCTAGCGTGGTGGATCACGCCTGTAATCCCAGCACTTTAGGAGGCCGAGGTGGGCAGATCACGAGGTCAGGACCATCCTGGCTAACACAGTGAAACCCCGTCTCTACTAAAAATGCAAAAAATTAGCTGGGCGTCATGGTGGGCACCTGTAGTTCCAGCTACTTGGGAGGCTGATGCAGGAGAATGGCGTGAACCTGGGAGGCAGAGCTTGCAGTGAGCCGAGATCGCACCACTGCACTCCAGCCTGGGCGACAGAGCAAGACTCCATCTCAAAAAAAAAAAAAAAAAAAAAAAAATCAAGAATAGGTTTGGGGGGAAAAAATCAGGAATTAACTTTAACTTTGAGATATTCCATTGATATCTAAGTGCACCAGTATGTTGGTAGTCAATTTCAGAGGAGCAAATAATTCAGAGAAGATACCGAGCTGTAAGTCATCAGCACAGAGATGAGATTTAAAACAATGAAACCAGATGAGATCACTGTCCTGGATTTGAGTTTGAGTCTCAAGAAGAAAAAAAGAGTTCACCAGGATTTTCTTTTTTCTGAGATAATAAAGAAATTGTCAGTATTTTACTTAGCTGAAGACTCAATTTGAAGGGCTTTTAAAGTGTACGATAATATTAATATCTGTTAAACTAATGTAATATCACATTTTAGACAAAGTTATAATCACATTTTTCATTTCTTCTTTGAAGAGCAAGATTCTTTTTGTATGTGCATCAGAAAAATGAGAAGATTTATAAATGTGAGTTTACAGATCATCTAATCCAATTCCTTTGTTTTATAAAAAGGAAGCGAAGGAAGGTGAAGGTGAAGAGAGGCTAAGTGACCTGCTTGAATTCACACAGCTCACCCGTGGTAAACTACAGCCCTGGTCTGCAGACTCCCTGTTCTCTGTGTCACTACTGGCTTTTCAGGTTAAGGAGTTCCAGTTAATAATATTCTTGCAAAGCCTGTCTCTATCTTAATATAACTGATTATCATTCAATATCGCCACAATGGCAGTAACTGCAGAGTTAGGTAGACGACAAAGCATCTGAAAAAGCTCCTTAGGTGACTGTGACAACCAACCCATCCTCACCCCTAGGTGTGCCATGTCACTTAGTGACAATATAGAGAGCTGTAGATAATTAACTTCTATCTCCTAAGCCTAATCCAGTCGTTGTTTTCCTTTCTTTTTTAGAGACAGAGTCTCACTATCTTGCCCAGGATGGCCTCCAACTCCTGGCCTCAAACAATTCTTCCACCTCAGCCTCCCCAGTGGCTGGGACTACAGGCGCAAGCCACCACACCTAGCTAAGTGGTTTTACTGTCTAATGTTACTGTTAGGTTCTCTGGTCCCTAAGTCTTTGTTGTAGATTACTCTTCGTGTTACAAAATAAAAATAAAAGCTTTTAGCTTCATGCTATGGTTTTAAATTGGTTTAAACTATGGTTACAAAACCCTCATCAGAGTTGATGCCTAATTATTGCTTAAGAGAGGCTTAAAATATAAATTAAAAACTATAACCTATTAACTGTCTCTACTTAAAAATTTAAGACCATACAGATGTGAGAATTACTAACATTATCACTTAACTATCAATAAAGGGCAACATATTAAGGAATTTAAATAGCAGACCAATTCATTTGATAATGCAGAATAAATTTACTAAGAATTCATTTCCTTGCCAATATGAAACAACAATTTTTAAACATTTTATGTTCTATAAAGCACTTTACAAATAAAAGTTGCTGTTATTATGCTTATCTGATAAAAAAGATGAGATTGTTAAAGGTCACCATTTAATGATCCACGCTGAAGACCAGGAAATGTTTCATGCATTTGCCATTTGAAAGAATATTTACTAAATTCCCGCTATATACCCAGCATTACACAGGGCTGGGAAATACAACGGAAACAAGACATAGGTCCTCTCCTGAAGGATTTTATGGTTTAGTGGGAGATACACTTAAGAAAGCATGCAATTGGCCAGGCGGGGTGGCTCATGCCTGTAATCCCAGCACTTTGGGAGGCCGAGGCGGGCGGATCACCTGAGGTCAGGAGTTCAAGACCAGCCTGATCAAAATGGAGAAACCCCATCTCTACTAAAAATACAAAAAAATTAGCCGGGTGTGGTGGCACATGCCTGTAATCCCAGCTACTTGGGAGGCTGAGGCAGGAGAATCGCTTGAACCCGGGAGGCGGAGCTTGCGGTTGAGATTGCGCACCACTGCACTCCAGCCTGGGCAACAAGAGAGAAACGCTGTCTCAAGAAAAAAAAAAAATAAGAAGAAGAAAGCATGCAATTAAAATAAAGCAGACTGAGTTTTTCCCTAGGAATTAGTATAAAATGCTGCCTATGATGCACATTGGAAGGACAACTAATATAGTCCGGGAAACGATCCAAGAAGAAAAAATAAGCCCAGGTTTTAACAAATGTGTATTAGCTAGGCAAAGTAGGAAATGTGTTATGGGCAAAAGGAACAGTACTGCAAATACCTAGAAGTTAAAGAGAAGATGAAGCTTTCAAAGCCTTAAATATGGATCAATACCACCAAAGTAAAGACTGGGAGGGGAAAGGGATGAACCAGAGATATCTGTGATCAAACCAACTATGTTATTAAATGAATAAACAGCCTATTAAGCAATGGGGGGATCAGTTAAATAATAATGTCCATTATTATGGACATTAATTAATGGAATATTAAGCAATCATTAAAAATGATGTTGAAATATATTTGATAACAGAAAATGTTCATTAAAACAAGTATTTATTGATAATCTGTTACTGTACTAAGCTAGGTAGTTGAAAAATTAGGTTACAAACCACTATGTCCACATGTGATATAATTCTTAGGAAAATCACACATATGTCCATAAGAAAAAATGATTAGAAGAATATAAAATGCTAACAACAGCTATTATTGTTGGGGAATGGGGTTGCAAGTGATTTTTCCTTTGCTTTTGCTTATCTTTATTTTCTAATCTTTCCCTCTTATTATAAAAACTAGTATGGTTGACCCTTGAACAACACGTTTGAAGTGCATGGGTCCACTTATACACGTATTTTGTTTTCAATAAAAATTACTCTTGAGTGTTTTGCCTGTCTCTCTTGCCTCCTCTTCCACCTCCTCCACCTCTTCAGCCACTGACACCCCTGAGCAACAAGACCAATCCCTCCACTTCCTCAGACTATTCAATGCAAAGATGAAGACCATTATGATGATCAATCTCCACTTAATGAATAGTAAATATATTTTCCTTATGAGGTTCTTAATAACATTTTCTTTACTCTAGCTTACTTTAAAAATACAGGTCTGGGTGTGGTGGCTCATGCCTGCAATCCCAGCACTTTGGGAGGCCAATGCGGGATAACTGCTTGAACCCAGGAGTTCAAGACCAGTGTGGGCAAAAGAGTGAGACCCTGTCTCTACCAACACAAAACAAAACAAAAATTCGCTGGGCATGGTGGTGGGGACCACTATAGGGGTGGCTCATGCCTATAATCCCAGCTACTTGGGAGGCTGAGGTGGGAGGATCACCTGAGCCCAGGAAGTTGAGGCTGCAGTGAGCTATGATTGTGCCACTGTACTCTAGCCAGGGCAACAGAGCCAGACCCTGTCAATAATAATAATAATAACAATAATACAGGATATAACACATATAAAATATGTATTAACTGTTATGTTACCGGTAAGACTTTCAATCAAAACTTAAGTTTGAGAGAGTCAAATGTGTTATACTCAGATTTCTGACTGCAAAGGAGGGTCAGTGACCCTAACCACCACGTTGTTCAGGGTCAACTGTATAAACAATCCAAAGGAGATTACAGAACTTTTCATAGGACCAAGTGCTATTAAAAGAAAACTATACGTGTGGCTCATCTACCAGAAGTTCTGGCAAATGGCAGACATCTGAAGTTGTATCTGTGTTTTTTAAACAATTATCCAACTAACCTTTATTGAGTACCTATTTGTATCAGGCACCAAAATATAGATACAAAAATAAATGAGGCATAGTCCTTGCCCTCAAAGGGCTCACAGCCAAGTGGAATAGACAAACACATATACATACAATGTGTGCTGTGGTGAGGTAACTGTTAACAGAGATATCACAAAATACTATGGAAGTACTGAGGACAGAGACCTCCAGCATTTCAGAAGCTGCTATTTAATACACAGATATCTAGGTGTATTTAGAAAGTCACATTTATCCCACATCACCTTGACCTATTTGCCACAAGAAAAAAAAGAGGGGATGGGGGATTGGAAGAGACACTACACTAATTATACAAACTAGATTTACAATGCAGTATTGATGTACTAAACCTGCTCTACAAGGAGCCTATTGTAGGAATTACACAATGACCAGACCAAGAGACACATTATCAGATGGTCTACTCCTGTTCTTTAGCACTCTAGGTTGTCAAGGGCAGATCTGCAATCAAGTCTGACTGTGTATGAATGGAGTTTTCAAGTAAAGTGAAATAGCTAGAAAAGAGGAAGCCATATATATTACCCAACTTTTAGTGAAAGAAAACAAAAATGAAGGGCAAAATAAAAGCCAAGAAAGAAGACTAGAGTCTGTTCGTTTCATTTGTCAAATAAACCAAAACAATTAACTTCCCCCTCTTGAAACACTTGCTTTAATTTCCTATCCTTATTTTGCCTTTGTCATTGCATAGACATTTAATTTTCTTTTTCACCATTCTAGTTCCAATTTTCTTTTAAATATAATAGGAACAATCAAATATACAGTATCAATCTGGTCACTTTGAGTACTTAAACCTCTATTATACAGAAAATTATGAAAAAATATTTTTTCCCACAAAGTTGAAAGGGGGATGAGAAATGTTTTGACAGTGTAGGCCACATAAGTAATTGTAATTACCCACACAAGATCCTCACTGTGAAATTTCCTCAGAAGGAGAAATCTGTGGCTCATATAAAATTCCATATATTATAATGATTATGGCATTGGATCTAATTTTTTAAAATACTGTTTTATGGTTAATCCTAATATTTAAAATGAATGTGTATATTATATATCAATTATAAATAAAATTAATTTTTAAGAAATGCCTATCAACTGACAAAATACAGTTGGGAAATTTGACATTTGTAATTTACCTTAATTCATTACATGTTCCTCAAGAAGTCACTGTAGATAGGAGAACTTAATACCACAGCTATAGCCCTGCACTGTCCTGCTAACCCCCTTCCTGTTTCCTCCTTCACCTGCACTGTCCTGCTAACCCCCTTCCTGTTTCCTCCTCCACCTTAAGAATGAGCAACCCGCCCAAAAGCCTGCTCCAGTCACCACTGCCCTGTTAACTTTTATTCTAGCCAATCATCACATCTCTTGACAAATGCCTTCTTCTCTTCCTGTGCTCTTTTATAACCTAAGCACCCTTTCATTATCTTACCTCAAAACCTCTATTCACGGATTTTTGCAACTTCCCTCTAGTGTCTCTTTCTACACACACACACACACACACACACACACACACACACACACACACACACAGAGGGAGAGAGACAGAACCACTCTTGATAATCCATTAATAGCTTATTTATAACCCCCCAAAGTTGAAAGTGATCCCCCATTCTGACCACCAGATTTTTCTGGGCCTGGTGGAGTGCAGCAGGCCTGAAGGAGAGCTAGAGGGGCTCCAGAGCACACACACAGGGAAGGAAAGCCTGGTGGGAGAGGGGCGTTACTTTATTCTGTGTGGGCAAGCATCGAAGAGGCCACCAAACAGGTATGAGCCAGAACAGCTTTCCTGTGCCTAACTCATACCAGCAACTATTGGGGAGACTGTATTTGAACTATATCTCTGGGCCTGGCACTTTTTTTAACATTTGCCAATGAATGGTTTCATCTCAGCGCCCCAGAATAGTTCAACTGCTTCAAAGAAATGTTTGGAAGAAGAAATAATTTGCTGTATAGTAATAATTTGCTGAGAATTAAATACTAACAGCCTCAACTGCTGGTTTCTCTTGTACTAAGAGTATTCAAAAAACAAATAGATACGGTCTCCGCTGTTTTTTAGAGCTGCCCAACTACTTAAAATAGCTGCTTAATTTCTTTGCTCCACTTTCCAGGGGCACAATTAAATATGCAGGCTGGAGGAAGAAGAGTGGAATCAAATGGCACAGATGCCCACATGACTGCATAGCTGGGTGTGTAGGCCCTGGACTGCCCCAGCTCACCCCCATCCACTCATGTCTAGATGTAAGACTGAGGAAAACTGCAGCGAAGGTGTGGGTGAGCAAACAGCTGGGACTGCATTGGCCAGGGACGCATGTGCAGAGGCGGCAGAGTTCACATACTTTGGATTTTTATACAAGAGACTAGCTTGAGTCACTAACCAGAGGGCACATAATCTTTGACATTTCAAAATTTCGAGATATATGATGTAAGAAAACCATTTACTCCTAATATTTTCTTATGTCTAATATTTGACATAATTACGTCTTCCTAAACATACACATTTTTAAACTAAATTAGAAATGTAAAATTATTATAAGATATCTCAAATCTAAAATTCTTTTTGAATTCTGTCAGAAGAAATGATTCTTTCAAGAACACTCCCTAAATTCCTGGTTATTAAAAACAATATTTTGAATACTGCCTAAGATTTCCTTTAGAGGTCACATAAAAGGCCAAATTACATTTTAATGACTATACAGTAGAAAACTATACTTCTATAACAACTGGCTTTCTGGCAGTATCTGTCCTAACATATTTTTAGCATATGCCACTGTTTACACTGTTTTTTTTTTCCCTAGTAACAGTGAAACTTCACCAGACCAAATTAACTACCAATTTAAGAAAAATTTAAATATTATCAATAAAACCTATTTTAATGACTTCCTTGGATTATTCTCGAGACTTTTCTAACAGGTCCTTACCTTTGATATCACTTAAAACTTACAGAAAAGTCTCAGGAATTAAAATGACTGAAAAGGCAAGGATATCGACTGGCTCAGTGGGAAAGCATGCAGCCCTGATTGTCACTGGCAATCACCTAAAATCTCAAGAGGAAGTGGCTGCTGGATGAAGCACACACTGAGGGCTAGAAGGCGGAAAGACAAAAAGAACCTGAGTATTTGATAAGACTGTGGAGCTCTAAATAAAGCCAACTCTGAAGCCCACCCCTCTGGAGTTCTAGCTTCTGAGCCAATTTTTGTATCACTTTAAGTTTTTTGGCATTTTTTTTGTTTTGATATAATTTTAAACTTACAGAAACGCCTCAAAAATATACAGAAATTATCAGGAATTCCTGTATATCCTTTGACCAGATTTATCAATACCAATGTTTTACCCCATTTGCTTTATTCACATTTTCTTTCACAAACCGCTGGAGAGTAAGTCACAAACTTTATGCCCATCTCTTCTCCAAATATCTACAAATAAGGGCATGTCTTAGATGACCACAATATAATTATAAAAATAAGAAATTTAACATCTAATCCACAGTCTATATTCAAATTTCAACTGTTCCCCAAACATGCTCTTTGTACTATCCTTCCTAACCCAGGCTCATCCATTGCATTTGTTGTCTTATCTCTTTAGCTTTTTTCTTTTTTTGAGACAGAGTCTCATTCTGTCAGCCAGGCTGGAGTGCAGTGGCACAACCATAGCTCACACAACCAAGCTCATAACCTTGAATTCCCAGGCTCAAGTGATTCTCCCACCTCCTGAATAGCTAGGACTACAGGTACGCCCCACTACACCTGGCTAATTTAAAAAAATTTTTTTATAGAGATGGCATCTCGCTATGTTGCCTAGGCTGGTCTCAAACTCCTATCCTCAAGTGATCCTCCCACCTTGACCTCCCAAAGTGCTGGGATTACAGGTGTGAGCCACCACATCCCTCTTTAGTCTCCTTTAATCAAAAACAGTTCTTCAGCCTTTGTCTTTCATTACAATGACACTGGAAGAATACAGGTCAGGTACATGGTTCCTCAGGTATTTGGTTTGTCTCATGTTTCTGCAGGTTATGCACACTTGGCAGAGATACCTGGCAGAGATACATGACCCTTTCAGTGAGTCAGGAGGCACATGGTATGGTTTGTCCTAATACTGGTGATGTCAACTTTTATTACTGTGGCACACAGACTCTAAGACATCCCTGTCCTTGCCACCTCCTGCTGTTCATGCCCTGTGTGACTCCTCCCTTTGAGTCTAGGTGGGACCTGTGAAGTGCTTCTAACTGACAGAATACAGCAAAAGTGATGGGATGTTCACTATTACAAATACATGATTATATTACATAAGACAGCTTCCATCTTGCTGGAGTCTCCTCTCCTTTGCTGGCTGTGAGGGAGCAAGTGGCCACGTTGGGAACCCACATGGCAAAGGAACTGCAGATAGATAGTCTCTACGTGCTGAGGGCATTCTCCAGCCAATGGCCAGCAAAAAAAAAAAAAAAAAATGAAGCCATCAGTTGTACCATCACAAGGAGCTGAATGTGGCCACAAGCACATGAGCAGGAAATGAATCCTTCCCAGACTAAGCCTCCAGATGATGAGCCCCAGCTGACACCTGAATTAGAATCTTAGGAGACCCTGAACAGAGGACCCAGCTAAGCCAGGCCAGACTCCTAACTAACAAAATCTGTGAGATCATAAATTTGTGGCTGTTTTAAGCTTCTAAACGTGTGGTAACATTGTTACACAGCAATACAAAACTAGTTCAGTCACTTAAGGTGGTTCTGCTAGATTACTCCGGTATACTATTTTTGCCTTTGAAATCAACAGGTATTTAACAGTGAACTCTTTTGAAACTGTTAATATCATGGTCCTCATCAAACCTTCATTAACTAGTTTTAACAACCACTGATGATTTTTACCTAAGTCAGCTAATACTATGATGGTTGAAAAAGAACAACATTCCATCCATCATCACTCCTTCTATATTTGTGAGTTGGCACTGTAAGGAAGAACTTTCCTTTCTCCCCATTTATTCACGTATTTAGAGTCTTGTGGATTTTATTATTTTATCAGTTTTATTTGGTAACTAATTTAATACATTATCATTATTCTTTTTTTTTCTGAGGTAGGGTCTCGCTCTGTCACTCAGGGTGGAGTGCAGTGGCGCCGTTTCAGTGAACTGCAGCCTCGACCTCCTGGACTCAAAAGTGTTCCTCCTAAGTCAGCCTCCAGAGTACAAGGACCACAGTGTACGCAACCACACCCAACTAATTTTTGTGTTTTTGTAGAGATGAGGTCTCACTATATTGCCCAGGCTGGTCTCAAACTCCTGGGCTCAAGCAATCCACCTGCCTCGGACTCCTAAACAGCTGAGGTTACAGGCATGAGCCACTTTGCCTGGCCCATTATCGTTAGTTATTCTGATGCTCAAGTATTTCCAGACTTGGCCAGTGGGCAGTCCTGCAAGCTGACTCCTGAGTCCTTGTGACCTCTCCCATAACTTTTAAAAACTGCTTTATTGGCTGGGTGCGGTGGCTCACGCCTGTAATCCCAGCACTCTGGGAGGCCGCGGCAGGCAGATCACTTAAGGTTCGAGACCAGCCCAGCCAACACGGCAAAACCCCATCTCTACCAAAAAAAAAAAAAATACAAAAAATAGTCAGGCATGGTGGGGGGCACCTGTAATCCCAGCTACTTGGGAGGCTGAGGCAGGAGAGTCACTTGAACCCAGGAGGTGGAGGTTGCAGTGAGCCGAGATCACACCACTGCACTCCAGCCTGGGCGATAAAGCAAGACTCCATTTCAAAAAAAACGAAAACAAAAAACAGAACCAAACTGCTTTATTGAGGTATAATTTACTTACCCTAAAATTTGCTGATTCAAAATGTACAATTATTTAATGATTTTCAGTGAATTTATAAAAATATGCAACCATCACCACCACCACATAATTTTAGAATTTGAATTTTTTATCACTCCAGATGAAAGAAAATTCATGCCCATTTGCAGGCACTCCTCTTCTGACCCCCAGCTCCATGAAATCACTCACGTACTTTCCGTCTCTACAGTTTTGCCATTTCTGGACATTTTATATAAATGAAATCCCACAACGTGGCCTTTGTCTCTGGATTTTTTCACAGTGCCTGTTTTCGAGGTTCCTCCATGTGGCTATATCAGTATTTTGTTCCTTTTTATTGCAGATGGTACTCCATGGCATGGCTGCACCACCTTATCAGGCTTTGTATGCTTCCTTATACCTGGCACAACAAGATGATTTGGCCTCATCTTGTCCTTCCCCTGCCCCAACCCTGGAATCAGCTACTTCTCTGGGGAGCCCTGGTTACTGGTAGTGGGGAAGGCTATTTAGAAACAAAGACGTGGGTGACTAGTTGTGCTCACTTGGGTGACTAGGGGTGCCACTGCTTCCAGGCCCTTTCACAGTGTGTGCGCATGTCTGCACGTGTGCACATATAACGTTTACATAAATACATAGACATATATAGACATATACACACACACATACACATAAAGGGCTGAGTTACTTTTTGTTGCTTGTAGTTGAAGGCATCCTAACAGACAGCAACATAAGAGATCAGATAAAAATCCCTTCCTTTCTCTATTTAGGAAGGAAATGGTAGTAAAAAACAGATCAGTTGTAGTTTCATTCTGCTTCAGAACTCTGAAATGCATACTCAAAAGGTTTCACTTGAGCCTTTTGGCACAAGAAATCTTTTCCAAGCAATGATCCCAAATGCTTGATGTTCATTTTTAATTTTTATTCTATCAATTCATATACTGGCTTAGTGAGTAGCCAGCAAGGAGAGGCTGCTCAGTCCCAGGGTGCTGGGAGTTCACCCTTTGAGATTGTCATCCCACACTAAACACAATCCAGAAAAATGACAGATATGAATTTTTAAGTGTTTTTGAGATATAGCCACTTTAAAGAAATCAGTAACTCTGTGGCGCAGAAACAGAACAGAAAAATGCTGCAGTATAATAAAAGGGCTGAAGCCATGGTCTCCCTGATTCTCTATCCAGAAGCAGCCAGGAGGCTGCAACCCAGATATAGGAGACATGCAATCAGGTCTACTGTGTAAGGCTGGGGCAAACCTTTCCTACTGTGAAACAAGGCTGATGAAAATTGTGAAGGCTGTGCAGATTACAATTTGTAGGAAGAAACACTGCCTGCTCAGGGATTGGATCTATAGCTCTAATATCGCTGTAGGATGAATACTCCAATCCACCCATAAGAATGGTCAACGGCCTAGTTATGTATGAAGTCCTTCTATGGACATCAGGTGAAGAACCCATTGATTTGTAGGTAAACATTTTAGTATACAGATGCTGCTTGACTTATGATGGAGTTACATCCTGATAAGCTCATTGAAAATACCATATAGTGAAAATGCATCTAATACACATAACCTACAAAACATCATAGCTTAGCCTAGCCTACCTTAAACAGGTTCATAACACTTAAGTTAGCCCATGGTTGGGCAAAATCATCTAACACAAAGCCTATTTTATGATAAAGTGTTGAACATTTTATTGAATACAACTGAATAACTGAACAATTTATTGAATACAATATGGTTGTATGGGTACTCAAACTATAGTTACTAAATGTTTATCACTTCTACACCATCATAAAGTCGAAAAATCTTAACTTGAACCGTCTGTAACTGTGTTTGCTTTTCTGGGGAAATGTGATATTTTGAAATACATATTTGGTCTTCATCCCTATCTCCTGGCATACAACTCCTAGAATCCTTGGAATGTCCAAAGTGATGGGTGTCTTTTTGTATATTAATGATTGAAGGCTGGGCCACCCCTAGGTAGCTTCAGGATGGGGCTGGTCACTAGAAAGATGAAGGCATGATTAGAGGACTGGGACTTTCAGCACCAACTCCAAAGAGGGGAGAGAGGCTGACGTCTGAGCTGATCACCAGTAGCCAATTTTTTTTTTTTTTTTTTGAGATGGAGTCTCACTCTATTCCCCAGGCTGCAGTGCAGTGGTGCAATCTCGGCTCACTGCAACCTCCGCCTCCTGGGTTCAAGCAATTCTACTGCCTCAGCCTCCCGAGTAGCTGGGACTACAGGTGCCCGACACCACGCCTGGCTAATTTTTGTATTTTTAGTAGAGACAGATTTTCACCATATTGGCCAGGCTGGTCTTGAACTCCTGACCTTGTGATCTGCCTGCCTTGGCCTCCCAAAACACTGGGATTACAGGCATGAGCCACAGCGCCTGGCCTATCACCAGTAGTCAATGATTTATGCAGTCATTCCAACATAACGAAGCTTCCCTAAAAACCCAAAGGGACTGGGTTTGGGGAGCTTCCAGAGAGCTGAACATGTGGGGGCTCCTGGCGGGTGGTGAGCCTGTACTGGGCACAGGAGCTCCACACTCCTTCCCATGTGCCTTTCCCATGCTTCTCTTCATCTCGTCACCAGTACCCTTTGTAGTATTCTTTATAATAAACCAGTAAACCTGTTTCCCTGAGTTCTGAGAGCCACTCTAGCAAATCAGTCAAATCAGTGTATCGAGTAGGGGGAACCCCAATTTAGAACAGATGGGTCAGAAGCATAGGTGAGAACCTATTACTTGCGATTGGTGCTCAAAGTGGGGGTCAGTCGTGTGAGGCTGAGCACTCTCACCCTGTGCTCTCTCCAGCAAGAGAGCATCAGAACGGAACTGAATTAGAGGACACGCAGCTGGTGTCCACTAAAGAATCCACCAGAGAACTGGCTGCTGGTAGGGAGAAATCCCCACACACTTCTTGGTGAGCAGAAGTCACAGAAGTATTCTGTATTGAGAGAGTCAAGGAGATAAAAACTGTTTTTTTCCAGAGGAAAGTTCTGTATTTTTCATCAAATTTTCAGTGAGATCTATGATCTGCAAATAGAAAAGGCCCACTGCCCTAATATATCCTAATATATATCTGAGTTGACATGATGGCCTCCGGAGTTTGCCTCACTGTGTTTAGTTCTGTCATTTATTTCTTCAAATATCTCTGCATGACCACTAGGTGCAAGACACTGTTTGTGAGCATTAGAAACATGGCAGAAAAAAACACCAAGTCTCACTTAGTGAGGGAAGGGAAGGGTCAGAGTGAACGTTTTTGGACATAAATCAGATCACATCCTGTCAATCTGTTGAGAACTCTCTAGTGGGTGCACACTTAAGTTCATAGCAGCATTCTTCACAATGGCCAACAGGTAGAAGCAACCAGTTGTCCACCAAACAGATGGATAAACAAAATGTGATGTTTATACACAATAAAATATGATCCAGCCTTCAAAAAGAAAGAAGCTCTAACACACTATAGCATGGTTGAACCTTGAGGACATTATGCTAAACGAAATAAGCAGTCACAAAAGGATAGATACTGGTAATTCCACTTCTATGAGTAACTGGTCAAATGCATAGAGACTGAAAGGAGAATGGTGGCTGTTGGGGAAAAGGAAAAGGGGAGTTGTTATATAATGGGTAGAGTTTCAGTTTTGCAAAATGAAAAGGTTCTGGAGATATGTTTCACAACAATATATTTAACACAACCGAACTATAAACTTAAATGACTAAGATGATCAATTTTTTATCATAATTTTAAAATAAAAGGCTGGGCATGGTGGCTCACGCCTGTAATCCCAGCACTTTGGGAGGCCGAGGTGGGCGGACCATGAGGTCAGGAAATGGTCAACATGGTGAAACCCTGTCTCTACTAAAATAAAAAAAAATTAGCCAGGTGTGGTGGCACGCACCTGTAGTCCCAGCTACTCAGGAGGCTGAGGCAGGGGAATCGCTTGAACCCGGCAGGCGGAGGTCGCAGTGAGCTGAGATCCCGCCACTGCCCTCCAGCCTGGTAACAGAGCAAGACTCTGTCTCAAAAAAATAAAAAATTAAAATAAAATAAAGAAATTCTTTTCACCTTACTTATTTGCTAGCAGATTCTAGGAGGACAAAATTACTTATCCAAGCAGGCCAGCAATAAGAGAAAATCTCAGAAACGTGGTTTTAAAAAAATTACCACATGCATTACTGATTATTGAAATGAAACCTGTATTTAATAACACAGTCATATTATCTGCTACTTGAATTACTCCTAGGTACAAAGGAATTAAATACGTAATGGTACACAAATAAATATGAATATCTGTATTAGAGTACTACTAGCTGCTGTAATAAACTTCTCCAAAGGTTTCCAGATTCACTCAGATGAGAGCTTACTGTACCCAATGGGGCCCTACACGACCTAGCTCCCTGCTGCTTGGCCTCCCTCGTTCACCGCCACCTCCCCTAGCCACACTGGCCTCCTTCATGTTCTTGGTCCACCTAGGCATCTTCCCACTGCAGGCCTTTGTGCTTGCTTCTTCTTCTGCCTGGCTTACTCCCTCATATCACTCAGATCTCTGCTCAAATGTCACCTCTATTGAGAGGCCTTCAGTTTTTAAACAAAATTGAAAAATGGAATTGAAGTGAACCCTCTCCTCTCTGTCCACCCACCCCTGCCCAATTATACTCTATCCCTTGCCCCCCCTTTATTTTTCTTCATAGCACTTAACACCACAGAGTATTTTATATACATTTACTTATATATTATCTGTAAGTACTAGAATGTACAGTCTATGCAAGCAGAGGTTTTGTCACTTTTGTTTATTGACATACAACCCAGTGCCTAAAACAACTGTCTGGCACATTAAGTTCTCTCTTTGTACAAAGAAGGAAAAGAATAAAGACAGAAGAAAAAAGAGAGATAAAGAGGACAGGGAAGAAGAATAGAAAAGAAACAAAGAAAAAGGAAAAGGAGAAGGTGTCTGATAACTTAACTCAGGGCTATTCTCCTGGTCTACCTTGTTTCTAAAGCTGCTCACTTTCCTAAAACCAGTAAATTATTTTCTCTCTTTAATTATCTGATTTTTTTTTTTTTTTGAGACAGGGTCTTACTCTGTCGCCCAGGCTGGAATGCGGTAGCACGATCTTGGCTCACTGCAACCTCCACCTCCCAGGTTCAAGTGATTCTTCTGCCTCAGCCTCCCGAGTAGCTGGGATTACAAGCATGCACCACCATGCCCAGCTAATTTTTATACTTTTGGTAGAGACCGGGTTTCGCCATGTTGGCCAGGCTGCTCTCAAACTCCTGGCCTCAAGTGATCCGCCCACCTCAGCCTCCCAATGTGCTGGGATTACAGGTGTGAGCCATCGCACGGGGCCAGATTTTTAAATTAACAGTGTTAGTGCTCCCTTTTATTAGTATTATACACATAATTAAACAGCTGACTTACTCTTATACCTGCTGAACAATGGAATAAAACATAATTGTGTTAAGGACATACAACTTGCTTTCTACTTAGCTCAAGGTAAACAAATTTCAGAAAATATTTCAATTATCTAGGAAGTCATCTGATGCAAGAATAGCACCGAATCTGACAGCTTCATTACTATGCTTGTTTAACTGTGACTCACAGACTGTTTTACAGAAGAGTAAATTTCCTGGTTTCTAATTTCTTGAGGAACTTGTGACAATCACAAGGTCCTGTTTTTTTGAAAATGCATTGTGCTAAGTCACCAATATTCACAGAAAGACTTTAAAAAAAATAGCAGTTCGTTTTTTTAGAAAGACCTGTAACTGCTAAATTTCCCTTGTATCTTACACGTTTTTCTTTTGAGTGGCCTTCAACAGACATTTTCCATCTCAATTCCAGTTTGATTCTCTCCTAGCTAAAAATTATTGAGATCCCTAAAGAGACTCAATGTTATGGGAATCAACAAAACCATAGTTCTTGAGTTGCTGCCAGGCTCCTAAGGCATTGAATGAGCTTGGTTCTATGCCTCCCTTGCCCTTCAAGTACCCTTACAGTCATGGGACTGGGTGTGGGTTTTGACAACAGAATGGAAGAGACAGTTACACAGTCATTCATGACTAATAAGAAAGCTAAATGTATGTCTCCACCTTTAGGGTTTTCTACTCCACAGCACTACACACACACACACACACACACACACACACACACACACACACACAGTCTCTTGTTTTCTTATTACAAAAGCAAGTCACATTCATTATAATCTCAGAAAATAGAAGCAATCTAAAAGAAAAGTTAAAGACTTACCTGGGAATGTTTGTAACACACAGAAATGTGTTTATAACACAAATAAATGCATTTGTAACACAAAGAAATGTGTTGAGGTGACGGCTACCCCCATACCCTAATGTGATTATCACATTGCATGCCTGTATCAAAATATCTCACCTACGGCCGGGCGTGGTGGCTCATGCCTGTAATCCCAGCACTTTGGGAGGCTGAGGCGGGCAGATCACAAGGTCAGGAGATCGAGACCATCCTGGCTAACACGGTGAAACCCCGTCTCTACTAAAAAAATACAAAAAATTAGCCAGGCATCATGGCCGGTGCCTGTAGTCCCAGCTACTCAGGAGGCTGAGGCAGGGGAATGACGTGAACTCGGGTGGCGGAGCTTGCAGTGAGCCGAGATCGCGCCACTGCACTCCAGCCTGGGTGACAGAGCGAGACTCCATCTCAAAAAAAAAAAAAAAAATCTCACCTACTCCATAAATATATCCACCTACTATGTACCCCAAAAATTTTTTTTTAATTTTGTCTGAGGCTATCACTATTAATTGTTAATACAATCACTTATTTTTGTTCTTCAGATCATATTCTTTGCACTTTTAATACAATTGGATCATTCAGTACCTACTATTTTGTAACCTATTTTATACTACAATGAACCATTATTCCACATAATCAATTACATTCTATCCGTTTGTTTCTAGTAAGGTAAAGTCTTTTGTTGCACAATAGTTAGACATTTAGGTAGATTCCACCTTTCCTCTCTTACAAACAGTACTGCAAACAAGTATCTTCTTGCTTCATTTTCCCACATATTCTTAGTTATTTTCTTTGGAAAAGGTCCCAGAAGTAAAATTACTAGATCAAACCCATGCTCTTAGATGTGTGATATGTGTTACCCAATTGCTCTCTAAAAAGTTAACTCCAATCTCTACTCCAGCCTTTGCATATGAAAATACAGGTATTATCCTCTGGTAACTGAGTTCCTTTGTAATAAAGCTTTACATTAAGGTGATGGCAATAATAATATCAATAGTATCCACCATTCCAGGAACTTTTGTTCTACTTATTCTCTAATCCTTACAACAACAACCCAAGGAACAGGTGCTAATACCCTCTGTTTACAAAGAAACTGAGGTTCCATAAGGTTAAGAGTCACAAAGAAGCAAAACTGAGGATTACTAGTAGAACTCCAAAGCAGCAGTCCCCAATCTTTTTGGCACCAGGGACGGTTACACGGAAGACAATTTTTCCACAAATGGGGGTGGGGTGTGGGGATGGTTTTCAGGATGAAACTGTCCCACCTCAGATCATCAGGCATTATATTCTCCTAAGGAGCACACAACCTGGATACCTCGCACGCACAGTTCACAATAGGGTTCGAGCTTCTATGAGAATCTAATGCCACTGCTAATCTGGCAGAAGGCAGAGCTCAGGTTGTAATGCTCACTCAACCACCACTCACCTTCCTAACAGGCTGCGTCTGTAATGGTCTGTGGCCCGGGGATTGCAGACCCCTGCTCTAAAGCATTCAAACGGTACACAAATATTTTAAGGAAAATAGAGTCTGCTCTAAAGTGTGTGGTATGCTAGAGAGTTCATATCAAGGACTATCGAGAGCCAAGCTGTCCAATATTCAGGAATCTTACAAGCTGGTTGATGAAACCTCTGATAGCCTGAAACTGGCAAGGTGGGAGTACTTATAGCACAGAAATTTGTGTTTGGGGGGTTTTTTGAGAGCCAGTTTACCAGCACACCAAATTCAAGTAGTAACATTTGTCTTCCGTTTTCCCAGCCATTTCTCCTTTTCATTACCCTGGTAAGAAAGGCTGGCTTCAGTCTTCTCTTGCTACAAGCTAGGTAGAATCTGTTCCAGTCTCAACGATCTGAGACCTATTTCTGGGTATTTCTGTCTGCAAGAGTCAAAAGGTAGCTCCACTCTCCTTACTCTCCAGCATCCAAAGCCTCACCACCCTATTTGAGCACCTATCAGAACCAGGGCTAACATCATTTTATCTTGTGTCCTCACTGACATAAATCAGTACAGAAGCCAGAGGCTCCCACTGCCCATCTCCCAGAAGGCTATGCCTCTTCTGTCCCCATCTTCTATGCCTACTGCCCACCCCTCCCCACCTCTTGAGAGGCTTCCGGTGTAACCTCCAGAAGTAACGGTTCCCTAGATCTTTAACATCTCTGAAGGCCCCCCTCCACCTTTTTGCTCCAGACTAAACCTGAATCTCCTCAGGATCAATGTTGGTCCTCATTGTTCTTTCTGTCACAGTTATCAGGTTGCTGAACCTGGAACTGGGAGGAGGTCCTTCTTGCTCCTCACTGATGCTTCCTCCCCACCCCTCCCTCCTCTTCCCAGCCTGGAACCAGAGGTCCAACTACCATATACCAACTGTCTCCTTATCGCTGCCATCTGTTGCTCCCCAAGTTACCCGTTCTCCTGTCTCAAGAATTCTAGTTGCCGGTTTACTGTCACTCTTCTCTCTCAATTCTTGGTGATTTTAACATATGTATGCCTGACCCTTCCAATATTGTGGCCTCTCCTGTCTGTGAGCTCCTCTACCTAATGATCTTGTCCTCCACCTGATCTCAGACATCCTTTAACAGCCTCCACCTATCTTTCTAGTTCATTCCCTCTAATATTTGACTCCAGTAATCTTTCAACCCCATCAGGCCCTACCATCCATTGATCTTAAGTTATATTTACTTTCCCTCATTCCTCACCCCTATGCTCTAAACTTCCTTCTTAAGCAGGTTAAATTCTAAGATCAAACATTGTAATAATTTGCCCTTCAATCCCTTGCCTTTTCTCTCTTTGTACTCATTTGGACAGACCACACACTGGTTAAATCTACCTCTTCACTGCCTCCCCACCTGCATTTGTATAGCTGAATGTGGCTAGAGTAAAACACAGAAAACTATACTGACTGATCTTGCCTTAAATTCATGACCCTGAATCTTGTGTGGGTCATTAATGCTCCCCCCAAAACCACGCATTTCCTTGGTCCACTCACTCTCCCACTGTCCTTGGTGACTATAACTTCTCTTCTTCCCTCCTGAAACCTGATACCTCTTCTCTCATCCTCATTCTCAATGACCCTGCTTTCCATTTCACTGAGAAAACTGAAGTAACCAGAAGAGAACATCCACAAACCTCCCACCATCCCATCTCAGCACCTCGTAGCATCTTTTGACACACATACTGTCTTCCCTCCTGCCACTCTAAGTGGACTACCCTCATCCTGTGCAAAGCCGAGTCCCCATTCCTTTACTTATGCTCCACATCATATCCCCTCTCGCCAAGGTAATAACTCTCCAACAATTCTCTACTCTCCATTCTGCATCAATAATTTTCCCTTCTATACTGGATCGTTACTGGTGCAACAAACAAATATGTTATTGTTTCCATCAATTAAAAACAAAAAAACTTGCTAGGGTCCCACTTTCCTCTCCAGCTACCCTCAAATTTCCTGCTCTCTGGGTTATCCAGCCTCCATGAAGGCCCCTAATGGCCCCCACCCTCTTGGTATTCAGGTTCTTATGCAGTCCCCTCCCACACTGTGTCCATGTGATCAACAGAATACAGCAGAATAACGGAATGTAACTTCCATACATGGTAGCTTCTCTCTATATATCTTGGATCATCCTCTCTGAAAGAAGCTGGCTGCCTTGTCAGGAGGATACTTAAGCACTCCTATGGAGAAGAAGCCTATATAGTAAGTAAGAAACTGAGGCCTCCTGCCAACAGCCAGATGAAGTGAGCCATCTCAGAGGCAAGTTCTCCAGCTCAGGTCAAGCCTTCAGATGACTGCAGCCCTGGCCAATATATTGACTAAAACTTCACAAAACACTGAGCCAGAATCACCCAGCTAAGCCATTCCTGAATTCCTGACACACAGAAACTGAAATAGTAAATCTTTGTTGTTTTAAGTGACTCTTAAGTTTTACTTTGTTTTTGTTTTTTGAGACAGGGTCTTGCTCTGTTGCCCAGGCTGGAGTGCAATGGCATGATCATGGCTCACTCAGCCTCAACTTCCCAGGCTCAAGTGATCGTTCCTGCCTCAGCCCCTGGAGTAGCTGGGACTATAGGCGTGCACCACCACATTAAGCTACTTTTCTTTTTTTTTTTGTATTTTAGTAGAGAAGAAGTCTCACTATGTTGGCCAGGCTGGTCTCAAACTCCTGAGCTCAAGTGATCCTCCTGCCTCCGCCTCCCAAAGTGCTGAGATTACAGGCGTGAGCCACTGTGCCCAGCTTAATTTGTTATGTAGCAATAGATATCTAACATACACACCCTTTACAAAAAAATGCCTCAGTAACTTTTATTTATTCACTATCTCTGATTTCTCTCCTCTCTTCTCTTTGAAACCCACTCCAATAAGCCTTTTGCCCTCACGCTACCCAGCTACCTGCTTGTCAATAACCACTATGTTGTCAAACTCAATAATCAATTCTTAGCTTTCCTCTTACTTGACCTATCAAGCAAGATTTCACACGGTTGATCACTTCTTCCTCCATGAAACAATTTACTTGGCTTCCTGGAGAAAACACAGAAAACTATACTGACTGATGTTGCCTGAAATTTATTTACATTCATGGGCCCTGTGGGTTTCCTTCTCGCTTTGTGGCCACGCCTTCTTAGGCTTCTTTGCTGGCTCCTCCTGTCTCGCCATCCTCTTAATGCTGGAGTGCGCCAGGGCTCAGCCCTTAGCCCTTTCCTCTTCTCTATTTACCCTCATTCCCTTGGTGATTTCAATAGTTTCATATTTATATAGTCTTACATGGCCCTTAAGGCCCTATATCCTTACTAATCAAACTGTGGTCCCAGGACCAGTAACTTCACCGTCACCTGAGGGTTTGTTATCTCTGACCCAACTCAAGATCTACCAAATCAGAATCTAAATTTAACAAGATCTCTAGGAAATTTGTATGCATATTAAAGTTTGAGAAGCACTTCTTTTGTGATCTGCTACCCTACTCCTCCCCTGACTACATATCCTAACTCACCTGCCTCTAACTGAGATGACATCTTCGCCACTGCAGGTGCATGGCAGGTGCATGCCCACCTCCAGGCCTGCCAATACTGATCTCTCTGTCTGAAATGCTCTTCCCCCAGATATCTCAATACCTTTTTCCTTATCTCCTTCAAGACCTTGTTAATCTATAACTACTTTGGGAGGTGTACTTCGACCACCTTGTTAAAAATTGCAAACCCACCATCACTACCACCATTATGCTCCCCATCACAGGGCCCTATTTTACTTTCCATAGCACTCAGCACCTTTTAATGTACTATAGTTCACTTATTTATCCTATCTATTATGTCTCCACCCACTATATTACAAACACTTGAGGGCTGAGATTTTTATCTGTTGTGTTCACTGATGTATCCTATATCCTAGATGAGAGCCTGGACACAGCATGTGCGCAATAAACTTTTGTTTTTTAAAGTCTTGTCTTCAGTTGGTTCTTCAAGGACTTAGTAACCAAGTCTCTGACTAAGGTGCCACTGAAATCTACTTTCTTCATTAGCAGGGTTATTCTCATAAATCTTTCTCCCTGTGTCCACCTGGAATCTACTGTGTGTTTGTGAGAATATTCATCTACTCTGACTAGCCTTTTACCAGACCCTTTGACATGCTGCTCCCGGCTCCCCACTAAGCCTCATAATTTTTAAAGACAATTCAAGACCAAAACTTCTCTTGTCCCTTCAAACATCTCATTTCTTAAATAGTTCTATTCCTTCTTCTCTCTGCTCCTTTAGCCAAATGTAGCTACAGAACACTTGACATGTGGCTAGCCCAAACTGAGAAGTGCAGAAGCATAAAATACACCCCAGATTTGAAAGACTTCATAAGAAAAAAAGAAAATAAAATAGCTCATTAATAATTTTCGTATCTGGCCGGGCACGGTGGCTCACACCTGTAATCCCAGCACTTTGGAAGGCCAAGGTGGGAGGATCACTTGAGGTCAGGAGTTTGAGACCAGGATGGCCAACATGGTGAAAGGCCGTCTCTACTAAAAATACAAAAATTAGCTGGGCAAGGTGGCATGCGCCTGCAATCTCAGCTACACGAGCAAGAGATTCGCTTAAACCAAGGAGGCGGAGGTTACAGTGAGCCAAGATTGTGCCACTACACTCCAGCCTGGACAACAAAGTGAGACTCTTGTCTCAAAAAAAACAATAATAATTTTCTTATCTGTTACATTTGATGTGATAGTGGTTTAGATATACTGGGTTAGATAAAATATATTATGAGGGCAAGCACGGTGGCACACACACTGCAATCCCAACACTTTGGAAGGCCAAGGTGGGAGGACTGCTTGAGGCCAAGAGTTCAAGACCAGCCAGGACAACAAAGCAAGACTCTAACTCTACAAAAAATAAAAAAATTAGCTGGATGTGGTAGCACACACCTGTTAGTCCTAGCTAGTTGGGAGGCTGAGGCAGGAGGACTGCTTGAGCCCAGAAGGTGCAGACTGCAGTGAGCTATGATCGTACTATTGCACTCTAGCCTAGGCAACAGAGTGAGAACCCATCTCTAAAAATAAATAAATAAAAACTGGAAAAAAGATATATATATAATGAAAGTTGATTTGACCTGCTTCTTTTTACTTAATTTATCTACTAGAAAATTTCAAATTATGTCTATGGCTCCCCCTGTATTTTTACCAGACAGTGCAGCTCTAGATCAGTCCCAAACAAAATAGCTCCTTCCTCCCTGCAAGAAACTCTTTCCCTGGTTTTTATTTTAATAAGCAGGAGACTGGGAAAGAAGGGAAGGGAATGCAATATGCAATTAAAACCAGAAACTAAGCGGGAAGCAGTGGCTCACGCCTGTAATCCCAGCACTTTGGGAGGCCAAGGTGGGCAGATCACCTGAGGTCAGGAGTTCAAGACCAGCATGGCCAACATGGTGAAACCCCGTCTCTACTAAAAATACAAGAAAAGTAGCCGGGCACGGTCACGGGCGCCTGTAACCCCAGCTACTTGGGAGGCTGAGGCAGGAGAATCACTTGAACCCGGGAGGCAGAGGTTGCAGTGAGCTGAGATCGCGCCACTGCACTCCAGCCTGGGCAGCAAGAGCAAGACTCTGTCTTAGAAAAAAAGAAAAAAAGAAACTAAATAAAATCTCTGTATTACTTTAAAATTTTAACTTTGATCTTCACATAAAATCCAAAATTTTATGGCCAGGCCCGGTGGCTCATGCCTGTAATCCTAGCACTTTGGGAGGCCAAGGCGGACGGATTGCCTGAGCTCAGGAGTTCGAGACCAGGCTGGGCAACATGGTGAAACCCTATCTCTATTAAAAATACAAAAAATTGGCTCGGAGCGGTAGGTCATGCCTGTAATCCTAGCACTTTGGGAGGCTGAGGCATGCGGATCACCTGAGGTCAGGAGTTCGAGAC
Organism: Homo sapiens; assembly: GCF_000001405.40. Classification (NCBI taxonomy): domain Eukaryota; kingdom Metazoa; phylum Chordata; class Mammalia; order Primates; family Hominidae; genus Homo; species Homo sapiens. The sequence goes on from NC_000018.10 coordinate 12,615,128, forward strand.
TAGCCTGGCTAACATGGTGGTTAACCCCGTTTCTACTAAAAATACAAAAAATTAGCTGGGCGTGGTGGCACACACCTGTAATCCTAGCTACTCAGGAGGCTGAGGCAGGAGAATTGCTTGAACCCAGGAGGCAGAGGTTGCAGTGAGCCGAGATTGGCCATTGCACTCCAGCTTGGGCAACAAGAGTGAAACTCTGTCTCAAAAAAAAAAAAAAAAAAATATATATATATATATATATATATATATGCATGTATATAAAAAAAATAGCTAGGCAAGGCGGCGTGCGCCTGTAGTTCCAGCTACTCAGGAGGCTGAGGTAGGAGAATTGCTTGAACCAGGGAGGTGGAGGTTGCAGTGAGCCAAGATCTCACCACTGAACTCCACCTTGGGCGACAGAGAGAGACTCTATCTCCACAAAAAAAAAAAAAATCCCAAATTTTAAGATAACATTTTTCAAAGACAAGAAATTTGGTATATTTAAATGACATTAAAATATAACATTATTATCACCTGTAAAAATTCATCAAGCTATAACTTAATGATCTGTATACTTTCTCAGTGTTCTGTACTTCAATAAAATGTTCTAAAATACGCTAATGCCAAATAAATCAATTGTACACAAACCAAATTATTTCTGTGTTTTAAGAAAAAGAAAATTCTTGCTCTTGCTTGATTCCTAAAATGTTAAAGGAATAAAATAAAAGAGTCCTCTCCTTTCATTTCCTGCCTTTAGAAGTCAGAGTTCAGTTACGGATGATTTAAATACTATTCCTTCTCATAAGAATCTCCTTAGCAACCTTTTACAGCTTGTCATGAGTTGCAGAATTCTCTCAATCTTCCATTCTTCAAATGGCCTGTGTCCCCTCTAGAACAAACTATTTTAAAACAGAAAACTTAACAAGCTCTTCGTTTTTTTTTTCCAGGAATAGAGGTATTAACAAGCTCTTTGAAGAGAAATTTTAAGGCAGTCTCACAGTCTCCTTCAATTCTTTTGCCAGCTTCTACCTTCTAAGCATTCTTCCCTCTTCCCTTCCCAAGGTAAAGTCACATCCTCTGTAAAAATAACAGTGGCCTCTTCCAAAGATATCTGGTAGTCATTACTAAAGTTTGTTTGTGGTGTAGAATGGAGAAAATGAAAAGAAAGCCCTGGGATCAGGTGAAGAGAGGAAAGGAAAAGGAAAAAGAAGGCCATAAGCCACGTGATCCTCGACTCCATCTGGAGTGGAGAGTCTAGATATCAGCTGAAATGGAAAAGCAAAGGACAGAGAGAAGGGAGGATAAAAGACAGGCCAGGATCCAGGGAAGTGGGTGATGTGACCAGGCACAGGGTGTTGAGGTTTTACTTGCGGGTGGGTGGAAGGTAGAAGGTCCCAGAGCAGCCACAAGAGAAGAGAAAGTTGAAGAATTTTTAAAAGGGAATTTTGATAATTTTAGTAAGTGTTGTTACAACCTATAAAATGGATCTACTAAGATCCTTTGAGAGATGTTTTTAATTGCATTACTGTGCTTACTTACAGGCAGTGGTAGTGCGAAGGCGGAGCCCTGCCTCATAATTGACCCAATGTTTGAATTCATAAATTACAGGAAGAAGAGAGAAAAGCCAGGCAAGAGAGCAGTTTAATCAAAAAGCTCAGGTTCTGTCATCTTATTCAGCAATGCAATACATTCATGTGCTACGTTTTATTAAGATTACTGGTAAACCAACAATTCTTTGTATTCATTTTATTTATTTTATCATTATTATTTTTTTTAGATGGAGTCTTGCTCTGTCGCCCAGGCTGGAGTGCAGTGGTGCAATCTCGGCTCACTGCAGTCTCCACCCCCGGGGTTCAAGCGATTCCCCTGCCTCAGCCTCCCAAGTAGCTGGGATTACAGGCGCCCACCACCATGCCCAGCTAACTTTTGTATTTTTAGTAGAGACGGGGTTTCACTATGTTGGCCAGGCTGGTCTTGGACTCCTGACCTCAAGTGATCCTCCAGCCTCGGCCTCCCAAAGTGCTGGGATTACAGGCATGAGCAACCATGCTCACTATTTTTTTTTTTTTTTTTTGAAATGGGGTCTCGCTCTGTCGCCCAGGCTGGAGTGCAGTGGTGCGATCTCAGATCATTGCAACCACCACTCTGTCACCCAGGCTGGAGTGCAGTGGTGTGATCTCAGATCACTGCAACCTCCGCCTCCTGGGTTCAAGCGATTCTCCTGTCCCAGCCTCCCAAGTAGCTGGGATTACACGCACCAACCACCATGCCCAGCAAATCTTTTTGTTTTTTGTTTTAGTTGTTTTTTGTTTGTTTGTTTGTTTTGGAGACAGAGTTTCGCTTTTTTGTCCAGGCTGGAGTGCAAGGGTGCAATCTCAGCTCACTGCAACCTCTGCCCCCGGGTTCAAGTGATTCTCCTGCCTCAGCCTCCCGAGTAGCTGGGATTATAGGCGCCTGCCACCATGCCTGGCTAATGTTTGTATTTTTAGTAGAGACGGGGTTTCGCCATTTTGACAAGGCTGGTCTCAAACTCCTGACCTCAGGTGATCCACCACCTCGGCCTCCCAAAGTGCTAGGATTACAGGCGTGAGCCACCATACCCGGCCTCCCGGCTAATTTATTTTATACTTTTAGTAGAGACGAGGTTTCACCATGGTGGCCAGGCTGGTCTCAAACTCCTGACCTCAAGTGATCCACCAGCCTCAGCCTCCCAAAGTGCTGGGGTTCCAGACATGAACCACCATGTCTGGCCTCTTTTTATTCATTTTATCATGGTAATACTCTAGCAAAACTGAACATTTAGAGGACAGAACCGTGTTGCCTATGCTTAGTACAGGGTCTATAAATAGCAAGTCCTCAACAAATGATGTAAAAAAAATTTATATTTTTACCTGTAGTTCCATGTTCCTTTCACAACTCTTCATTTTCCTAAGAGCTCCTATCTATCCATGAGAATTTCCCCCTAGATAACAGGTTCAAACTATAAGGTACTTATTTTTTATTTTTTATTTTTTTGAGACAGGAGTCTTGCTCTGTCGCCCAGGCTGGAGTGCAGTGGTGCGATCTCGGCTCCCTGCAAGCTCCACCTCCCAGGTTCACGCCATTCTCCTGCCTCAGCCTCCCGAGTAGCTGGGACTACAGGCACCTGCCACTATGCCCGGCTAATTTTTGTATTTTTAGTAGAGATGGAGTTTCCCCGTGTTAGCCAGGATGGTCTTGATTTCCTGACCTTGTTATCCGCCCGCCTCGGCCTCCCAAAGTGCTGAGATTACAGGCGAGAGCCACCGCGCCCGGCCACTATAAGGTATTTATTAATTACCCACAGAAGCCAAGGCCACAATCTATAAACTATCTCATGAACTTTCTGTTGCTGAAGAAAAATAAGCAGTTATGTCAAATGAAACCTCTAGAAATAAAAACAGGGAAGTTCAACAGCTAAAATCAGTCAACTAGTTTGAAAGCTATCTATACTTTTTAATCTTATATTCTAGAATGTTGCTCTTCTAAAGAGAAAATTATCCTAAAGGGAAACAAAAACCGCTCCAAATTCAGTTACAATGGGCCAAACCGAAAAGTTTGTTTCAACACACAAAAAAACTGTTTTTAAACACACACAAAAAAATATTTCCACTTGAAATATAAATTATATAAACATGCTCTCATAAGACTGTTATTTAACATTCAAATATTTAAATATTCTCTCATAAAATACCTTTGAAATAAATTGTTTAAATGCTTTGGGAGAATCTATTCCACCCGCCAGCTCTGAGCCCCACAAAAACAATTTTTTTCCCCCCCAAGACAGAGTTTTGCTCTTGTTGCCCAGGCTGGAGTGCAATGGTGCGATCTCGGCTCACCACAACCTCTGCCTCCCAGGTTCAAGTGATTCTCCTGCCTCAGCCTCCTGAGTAGCTGGGATTACAGGCACCCGCCACCACGCCTGGCTAATTTTGTATTTTTAGTAGAGACAGGGTTTCTCCATGTTGGTCAGGCTGGTCTCGAACTCCCACTTGAACTCCCAACCTCAGGTGATCCGCCCGCCACGGCCTCCCAAAGTACTGGGATTATAGACGTGGGCCACCACACCCAGTCCACAAAAACAATTTTTAAAAATAAACAGCAAGAGGGCCGGGCATGGTGGCTCACGCCTGTAATCTCAGCACTTTAGGAGGCCAAGGCAGGCCAATCAGGTCAGGAGATTGACACCATCCTGGCTAACACGGTGAAACCCCGTCTCTACTAAAAATACAAAAAATTAGCCAGGCGTGGTGGCAGGCGCCTGTAATCCCAGCTACTCGGGAGGCTGAGGCAGGAGAATGGCGTGAACCTGGGAGGCAGAGCTTGCAGTGAGCTGAGATCGTGCCACTGAACTCCAGCCTGGGCGATACAGCGAGACTCCGTCTCGAAAAACAAATTTAAATAAACAAATAAAAATAAAAATAAAAAATAAAAAAATAAACACAGGCTAGGCGCAGTGGCTCATGCCTGTAATCTCAGCACTTTGGGAGGCCGAGGTGGGTGATCAGGAGGTCAGGAGTTTAAGACCAGCCTGGCCAACACAGTGAAACCCTGTCTCTACTAAGAATACAAACATTAGCCAGGCACAGTGGTGTGTGCCTGTAGTCCTAGCTACTCAGGAGGCTGAGGCAGGAGAATCTCTTGAACCCGGGAGGTGGAGATTGTGGTGAGCCAAGATCGCGGCACTGCACTCCAGCCTGGGCAACAGAGCGAGACTCTGCCTCAGGAAAAAAAAAAAAAAAAGCAAGAAAATAAAAAGGCATCCAAATTGAAAATTAAGTAATGGTATCTCTATTCACAGATGACATAATCTTATAAAAAGAAAATCCTAAGGAATCTACTGAAAAAACATTAAAATTAATAAATGAATTCAGCAAGGTAGCAGGATATATGATGAATAAACAAAAATCAGCTGAGTGCAGTGGCTCATACCTGTAATTCCAGCACTTAGGGAGGCAGAGACAGGAGGACACCTTGAGCCAGGAGTTCAAGACCTGCCTAGGCAACATAACAAACCTGTTCTCAAAAAAAGGGGGGAATTCCCCTTTTTTTGGAGTCAACGAAGACCTAAATAAATGGGAAGACATACTGTGTTCATGGTCTAAGGCTTAGCATTGTTAAATGCGATAATAACCAAATCCATTTATAGATTAAAGGCAATCCCTATGAGAATTCCAGCTGGTTTCTTTGTCAGAAGTTGAGCTAATTCTAAAATTCGTATGACAATCAAAGGACCTAGAAGAGCCAAACAATCTTGAAAAAGAACAACAAAGTTGGGGGACTCACACTTACCAATTTCAAAACTTATTTAAAAGCAAGAGCAATCAAGGCAACATGGCACTGGCACAATAGAACGGAACTGACAGTGCAGAAATAAACCCATACATCTATAATCAACTGATTTTCAATCAGGGTGATAATACCATCCAACAGGTAAAAAATATTTTCAAGAAATGGTGATGTGTCTATTAGATATCCACACATAAAAGTATGAAGTTAGATCCTTTCCTCAAACCATATACAAAAATTAACTGAAATCGATCAAAGACCTAAATATAAGAACCAAAACTATAAAACTCTCAGATGAAAATAGGCATAAATCTTCATGATCTTGGATTTGGCAATGGATTTTTAGATATGGCACCAAACCCCACAAGCAATAAAATAAAAAATAAATACACTGGACTTGATTGAAATAAACTTCATGCTTCAAAGGACACCATCAAGAAACTGGCATGAAAATCCACAGAATGGGAGAAAATATTGGCAAATCATGTATGTGATAAGAAATTTTATCTACACTATATAAAGAACTCTTACAATTCAATAATAAAAAGAGAACCCAATTTTAAAATGGGCAAAGGTCAAGGCTGCAGTGAGCTGTGATTGTGCCACTGCACTCTAGCCTGGTGAGAGAGCGAGACCATGTCTCTTAAAAAAAGGGGGAGTGGGGGGCAAAGGATCTGAATAGTCATTTCTACAATGGTCAACAACCACATGAAAATAGGCTCAACATCATTAGCTACCAGGAAGATGTAAAGCAAAACCACATGAAATACCATTTTACATGCACTAGGATGCCCAGAATCAAGAAGTCAGATAATAACAAGTGTTGGCAAGGATGTGGAAAAATCAGAACCCTTATACACTGAGATGTCAAAAGATAGAGTTACTTTGAGAAACAGTTTGGAAGCTCTCAAAAAGTTAAAATATAGAGTTACCAGTTTACTCAGAAATTCTTCTCTTAGGTATATATCCAAGAAAAATGAAAACATATGTCCACACAAAAATTTGTACATGAAAGTTTATAGCACCATTACTCATAACAGCCAAAGGGTAGAAACAATTCAAATGTCCATCAACTGATGAATGGGTAACAAAATACAGTATATCCATACTATGGAATATTTGGCAATAAAAAGGAATAAAGTACTGATACATGTATGACATGGATGAACCCTGAACATTATGCTAAATGAAAGAAGCCAGTCCTAAAATAACCTATGAGTCCGTGCATATGCAATGTCCAGAATAGGCAAATCTATACATATAGAAAGTAGATTAGTGATTGCTGGGGCTAGGAGGTGATAGCTAAAAGGTACCACATTTCTTTATAAGGTGACAAAATGTCCTAAAATTGTGGTGATGGCTGCATAACTCTGAATATCTCAAAAACCGCAAATTGGGTAAGTGGGTAACTTGCATGCTTTGTGAATTATATCCTAAAAAAATTATTTTTAAAAAAATTAGAAACATCATCAAAAAATTAGGAAATGGTCATAAACCGAGGAAATTATCTAATTTTGCTGATAATGGGTTTTTAAAAACCTTATTTTAATATCTGCTAAATACAGTAAAATCTCCACCAAATTGAGAGAATATGTCGAGACACCATACTGAACTGCAGAAGCTCAATTAGCCTCCACCTAAATGACTCATCCATCTCTACTCCCTAATCCCCAGATCTATCATACTGACTTCTCTCCACGTCACAGGCCAGCTACTCCTTCAGTCACCAGGCATTTCTGTTCCTATGCTTACCATGGGTCAGTTGGGTTTGTTCCCAAACCTATTTATACAACTGCACCACTATTATTATGGTACCAATTAATTAAATGATGTATAAACTGATGAAATAATGAGTGTATAAAACACATCTGTGTAGCGTGGGAAATACAAAGAATGTAAGAAAACAGCAGATGAACAATACATAACAACAGAAGAATGATCACAGGAATAGAAAAAAATTTCAGACAGAAATGTTTCTTCCCTTGAAGGGAAAACGGAGCTATGTCCAGTCTTTTTTTTTTTTTTTTTTTGAGACAGAGTCTTGCTCTGTCGCCCAGGCTGGAGTGCAGTGGCGCGATCTTGGCTCACTGCAAGCTCCGCCTCCCCGGTTCACGCCATTCTCCTGCCTCAGCCTCCTGAGTAGCTGGGACTACAGGCACCCACCACCATGCCCGGCTAATTTTTTGTATTTTTAGTAGAGACAGGGTTTCACTGTGTTAGCCAGGATGGTCTCGATCTCCTGACCTCGTGATCCGCCCGCCTCAGCCTCCCAAAGTGCTGGGATTACAGGCGTGAGCCACTGTGCCCAGGCCTCAGCTGTGTCCAATCTTTAACATGACCTGTAATACTTGGCACCACCTTGTCTTTCCTACATTTTCTTTAACTCTCCCTCCTTCTCTATGCTTCAGACATCCTTGTGTTCTGTCAGTTTCAAAAACAGCTAGCTCTTTCAGAATCTTCACTATGGTGTCCTTCTTCCTGGAAAGTTCCACTGGATTTACCTAAATCCTTTCCCTCAGCCTGGCTAACTCCTTCAAGCCAAGTCTGTCTTTTAATGCAAAGATGCATGTGACTCTAAGAATGGCACACAACAGATGCTCAATTAATGTGTCAATATTGTTATGTACCTAAGGGAAGAGATGCCGAGAAAAATACTCTAAACAGCCACTATCACTAAGCAGTAGGGTATGAAGTGATTTTTACATTCTTTTACCCTTCAAGATGTTTTAATTTTTACAACAAATATACATTTTTTTTTTTTGAGACAGAGTCTCGCTCTGTTGCCCAGGCTGGAGTGCAGTGGCGTGATCTTGGCTCACTGCAAGCTCCACCTCCTAGGTTCATGCCATTCTCCTGCCTCAGCCTCCTGAGTAGCTGGGACTACAGGCGCCCGCCACCACGCCTGGCTGATTTTTTGTATTTTTAGTAGAGACAGGGTTTCACTGTGTTAGCCAGGATGGTCTCAATCTCCTGACCTCGTGATCTGCCCGCCTTGGCCTCCCAAAGTGCTGGGATTACAGGTGTAAGCCACTGCGCCTGGCCAACATCATTTCTACAAATGCTACAAATGAATAAATGTACTTTGAAAAACTAAATAAAAATCTAGTCCCTTCCCACACAGATCCCATCCGCATTGCATTATGTGTGCTGAAAAATACTGGTTTTATTTTATTTAAATCATTTTAATTTTTCACTAAGACAGACTGATAAGGCAAATTCTTTTTTGTTTTGTTTTTTGAGAGAGTTTCACTCTTGTCACCCAGGCTGGAGTGCAATGGCATGATCTTGGCTCACTGCAACCTCCACCTCCCAGGTTGAATCAATTCTCTTGTCTCAGCCTCCCAAGTAGCTGGGATTACAGGCAACCACCACCATGCTCAACTAATTTTTTGTATTTAGTAGAGCCAGGGTTTCACCATATTGGCCAGGCTGGTCTCGAACTCCTGACCTCAGGTGATCCGCCTGCCTCGGCCTTCCAAAGTGCTGGGATTACAGGCGTAAGCCACTGCACTCGGCCTTTTTTTTTTTCTTGAGATGGAGTCTCACTCTGTCGCCCAGGTTGGTGCGCCCTGGAGTGGTCTCGGCTCACTGCAACCTCTGCCTCAAGGGTTCAAGCCATTCTCCTGCCTCAGCCTCCCGAGTAGCTGGGATTACAGGCACGTGTCACCACACCCAACTAATTTTGTATTTTTAGTAGAGACGGAGTTTCGCCATGTTGATCAGCTGGTCTCGAACTCCTGACCTCAGGTGATCCGCCCGCCTCGGCCTCCCAAAGTGTTGGGATTACAAGCGTAAACCACCATGCCTGCCTAATAAGGCAAATTATTAAAAAAAAAAAAACATTCTACATGGCTGGGAGTGGTGGCTCACACCTGTAATCCCAGCACTTTGGGAGGCTGAGGCGGGTGGATCACTTGTGGTCAGAAGTTTGAGACCAACCTGACCAATATGGTGAAACCCCGTCTCTACTGAAATTACAAAAATTAGCCAGGCGTGGTGGCGTGTGCCTGTAGTCCCAGCTACTCGGGAGGCTGAGGCAGCAGAATTACTTGAACCCAGGAGGCGGGGGTTGCAGTGAGCCGAGATCGTACCACTACACTCCAGCCTGGGTGACAGAGCAAGACACTGACTCAAAAAAAAAAAAAAAAAAATCTACATACTCTATTGTAAAGTACTGGGAGGTGTTTAAGCTACCCATATAGTAAATATGGTAAACTCTTTTGAGACCAGCCTGGCCAACATGATGAAACCCCATCTCTACTAAAAATACAAAAATTAGCCAGGCATGGTGGTGGACACCTGTAATCCCAGCTATTTGGGAGGCTGAGACAGAATTGCTTGAACCTGGGAGGCAGAGGTTGCAGTGAGCCGAGATCACGCCACTGCACTCCAGCCTGGGCGACAGAGTGAGACTCCATCTCAAAAAAAAAAAAAAGTAATTATAAAATATTTACTCCCAGATAATTTGAGTTATTCTGAAATCCTTTGCCAGACATATAACTATTATTTGTCTTCAGATATAGTAAAAACTATTCAAAGGAACACTACTTGTATAAATTATGTATCCTATGGTCAAATCATGTCCCCTGATAGACATCTATGACTGTAACCCAGAAAGGTCATTTTAGTAATAAATGCCAACTGGGCGGGGGTGGGGGAAGCATGACTGAATTTCAAATATGCCAAGTGACTGTCATAATGTCCTAGTCTATGTCTGATACATGAAATCTAAGTGGAGATTATCTATTCATCACACTACAATGATCCCTCTGCCAAGACCTCTATTAAAATTGACACTCGGAAGCGGCAACTCATGTACAGACACAATTTCCTCTGAGGACGTACAAACTGATTTCCACACCGTGTTGCGGCCATGGGAATTCAGGTGTGTTTGGGGTCTTTAATCCAAAAAGACAGAAAGTAGAATGCAAGCATTCCTAAACATTCCTCTTAGCCTGCTGACCAAGGAGAAAATGCTGTTGTTACCAGCAGTTACTGGAGTTTATTCTTCCAGTCCTCTTTGACAATACATTTCATCATTTTAACTTCTTGTGATGCAATTCCATTTACAAACCCATAAAGCGTAAGATCAGGCAAAGCCATCTGCTAAAAGAGTAGATTCAATAATAATTGCCTTGTTGTTTCTACAAGATATTTTAAGATTTAATTAGTTTGGTATCAAATACTATTTCTCAGTCACATAAAACAGCCTCATTTATGCAGCTAAAGTTGTGCATGCATGCAAATATTTTCATGTGTGCATAACTACTACTTTCTTCTTTCAGGTTGGATTTTTTAGTTACTTTTGAAATTAAGGGCTACCCATTGTCAATTAAAAGAGGCAATACAGGGCGGGGCATGGTAGCTCATGCCTGTAATCCCAGCACTTTGGGAGGCCAAGGCGGGTGGATCACCTGAGGTCAGGAGTTCGAGATCAGCCTGGCCAACATGGTGAAACCCCGTCTCTACTAAAAATACAAAAATTAGCTGGGCGTGGTGGCGGCTGCCTGTAATCCCAGCTACTCAGGAGAATCACTTGAACCCAGGAGGCAGATGTTACAGTGAGCTGAGATCACACCACTGCACTCCAGCCTGGACAACAGAGAGAGACTCCATTCCCCACACCGCCCCGCCCCCCCCCAAAAAAAGGAAATACAAATCTAATTGTCACCTAAACGAGCCAGAAGGTAGAATCAATTATGGGTAGTGAGCTGATTTAGCTAAAGACAAAAAAAGACATTTTAAAATGTTATACTCCGTATAAAGCAGCAAACCCCATTTACAGCCTTTAGTAGTTTATTTTAGGATGCTCAGAAAACATTAAAAATTGATATAGCCCTGTTTGGGTCAAAAACTGTACATAACCAGATCGAGGTCCAAGAGACTATGATGTATTTCTTGGCTTCTCTCAAGATCTCTGGGTCCCCTAAAGCAGATTTGACTTTCCAGGAGGTTCAACTATATAGAACAATTCTTGAATCATTTTGAGTAATTTGGAATCAGACTACTTTACAAGTTCCTACAGTACAGACCCTGTCCTCATCTAAGAGGTTGAAGGTTCATGGACTGCGTTAACACTTTTGTCAAGGTTACATCTAACAGGACTATATCCGTTGGCTATAAAATGCCAAGAACTGAAGTAGCTGCAGTTAAGAGGCATATAAGGAGATACAAAGGCATCTCATTATTCCAAATAAGGCACTAAATTAACCATCAGCATTATGTAGATACCTTACATTGCAGATACAGGCTGAATAAAGAAAAGACAAATATATGAAAAGTAAAGAGATAAAGTGGTTCCGCAACTTTCTGGCTATGTCGGCTTGGGCAAATTACTTAACCTCTCTATATACTTAGCTCTCATCCCTAAAATGCAAATAATAGGATCTACTTCATACATTTGCTGTGATGATTAATTAATGTCTATAACAGTACTTGGAATATAGTAAGCTGTAAAATATATATATATATATATATTTTTTTTTTTTTTTTGCCCAGAGGATGATCATTTTTAATTTAAAAAGATTGTTAACAGGTCTGAACTCTTTTGTTATTTACATAAACAAAACAAAATTTTTTGACTGAGAGTAATTAATGCCTCTTAATTCAAACTAAATATTCTTTTGCTTCAGAGGTGGACAGAGAAACACTCTTCTAATTGTAAAATTTTTTTGTTATTATACTTTAAGTTCTAGGGTACATGCGCACAATGTGCAGGTTTATTACAGAGGTATACATGTGCCATGTTGGTTTGTTGCACCCATTTACATTAGGTATTTCTCCTAATGCTATCCCTCCTCCCTCCCCCACCCCACAACAGGCTCCAGTGTGTGATGTTCCCCACCCTGTGTCCAAGTGTTCTCATTGTTCAATTCCCACCTATGAGTGAGAACATGTGGTGTTTGGTTTTCCGTCCTTGCAATAGTTTGCTCAAAATGATGGTTTCCAGCTTCATCTATGTCCCTGCAAAGGACATGAACTCATCCTTTTTTATGGCTGCATAGTATTCCATGGTGTGTATGTGCCACGTTTTCTTAATCCAGTCTATCATCGATGGACATTTGGGTTGGTTCCAAGCCTGCTATTGTGAATAGTGCCACAGTAAACATATGTGTGCATGTGTCTTTATAGTAGCATGATTTATAATCCTTTAGGTATATACCCAGTAATGGGATCACTAGGTCAAATGGTATTTCTAGTTCTCGATCCTTGAATCGCCACACTGTCTTCCATAATGGTTGAACTAATTTACACTTCCAAAAACAGTGTAAAAGCGTTCCTATTTCTCCACATCATCTCCAGCATCTGTTGTTTCCTGAATTTTTAACAACTGCCATTCTAACTGGTATGAGATGGTATCTCATTGTGGTTTTGATTTGCATTTCTCTGATGACCAGTGATGATGAGCATTTTCTAATGTGTCTGTTGGCTGCATAAATGTCTTCTTTTGAGAAGTGTCTGTTCATATCCTTTGCCCACTTTTTGATGGGGTTGTTTTTTTCTTGTAAATTTGTTTGAGTTCTTTGTAGATTCTGGATATTAGCCCTTTGTCAGATGGGTAGATTGCAAAAATTTTCTCCCATTCTGTAGGTTTCCTGTTCACTCTGAGGGTAGCTTCTTCTGCCATGCAGAAGCTCTTTAGTTTAATTAGATCCCATTTGTCTATTCTGGCTTTTGTTGCCATTGCTTTTGGTGTTTTAGTCATGAAGTCCTTGACCATGCCTATGTCCTGAATAGTATTGCCTAGATTTTCTTCTAGGGTTTTTATAGCGTTAGGTCTAACATTTTAAGTCTTTAATCCATCTCGAATTAATTTTTGTATAAAGAAAGGGATCCAGTTTCAGCTTTCTACATATGGCTAGCCAGTTTTCCCAGTACCATGTATTAAATAGGGAATCCTTTCCCCATTTCTTGTTTTTGTCAGGTTTGTCAAAGATCAGATGGTTATAGATGTGTGGTGTTATTTCTGAGGCCTCTGTTCTGTTCCATTGGTCAATATATCTGTTTTGGTACCAGTACCATGCTGTTTTGGTTACTGTAGCCTTGTAGTATAGTTTGAAGTCAGGTAGTACAATGCCTCCAGTTTTGTTCTTTTTGCTTAGGATTGTCTTGGGAATGCGGGCTCTTTTTTGGTTCTATATGAACTTTAAAGTAGTTTTTTCCAATTCTGTGAAGAAAGTCATTGGTAGCTTGATGGGGATGGCATTGAATCTATAAATTATCTTGGGCAGTATGGCCATTTTCACGATATTGATTCTTCCTATCCATAAGCACGGAATGTTCTTCCATTTGTTTGTGTCTCTCTCTTATTTTGTTGAGCAGTGGTTTGTAGTTCTCCTTGAAGAGGTCCCTCATATCCCTTGTAAGTTGGATTCCTAGGTATTTTATTCTCTTTGTAGCAATATGAATGGGAGTTCACTCATGATTTGGCTCTCTGTCTGTTATTAGTGTACAGGAATGAGTAAGCTGTAAAATATTTCTTCAAGATGCATGTGGGAATGAAACACAGAATAGGTACTTATGCCCAGTATACATGAACTTTATTTCTGAGATGTGAACATGAGTCTTTTTAATAGTTTCCCTCACTAAAGCTTAAATGATTCTATGGTACAATTTTTACAAACCAGTTCTATCAAGATTAAAGTAATGATAAAAGTTCATTTAACTTTATATAATACTTTAACCTATTCCACTTAAAATACAGTTAATCCCCCAAGGGAACAGGATTGTTCTAGTTATTCATTTAACCTTCTTTCCTGCTGAAGGGAAAGGGCCTCTGAGTGCTACATAATTAGTGGTGATTAATAGGAGACAGGAATGTGATGAAATTTGGAAAGCTGGAAAAAAACCAATGTAAAAGCCTCAATTAAAATACATGGAAATTCAAATCAGTTCTGTTTTAGCATTTTCAAATATTTAGCAATTTTCTTCAAAAGTAAGATTATAATCCACAAAACTATTTAAACAATGGCAGTAGGAAAAATTTGTAAAATTGGAATAAAAGCTACCCTTAAATCTGGGTCTGAACTGCTTCCTTGACAGGCAAGCGCCTACGAGTACAGGTTAGTCATTCAAGAGTTTATAAATTAGTAGTCTGAGCTGTGAGCCACTACTAGGAAGGGAGAAATATGGGTCACACGCTGTTTAAATTACATGTCCTTTTCAAAACTGTAAGAACAACATACAGATCAGTGGCTAAGAGGGGCTGGGAGGAGGGGCAGGGCTAACTACAAAGTGGCATGGGGGACGTTAAAGGGGTGACAAAACTTGATTGTAGGGATAGTTAACAACAAAATATCCTTGTCAAAACTCAAAGAATTAAATAAAAAGGTAAATTTTACTGTATGTAAATTATACTTTCAAAAAGCAGAAAAAGTTATAGGGAAAAATTAAATTGCCTATTAAAGTAAAAAAATTTGCATGTCATTTAAAACAAATCATATGAAAGATTTCCATTAAGGAGTTCAAATGCTGGAAAATACTTAGTATAATCAAGTATATTAAAACATTTTCCAAACAGTAAGAAATAAGGTAAAATACTTGATTTTAAGAAACATTAGCTTGAGGTAAAAGATCACATAAAAGTTAATCAAATACCTATATGTGATTTCACTGCTTTCTCAGAACTCATAATTTTTAATTTTTAAGAATATGGTAAAAGTGCTAAAAAAGTTATAATTAAAACTACAAAATAATTCATAACATGATTTTTATGTACTACAAAAACTATTAAAATTAAAAAGTTGAACAATTGATGTTCTCTATTTCAATTCTATGACTTGATGAGGGTCCTAAAACCCCAGAGAGATAAAGAGATTTTGTTCTCCCTGGGAGTCTGTAAGCCTTGCTTAAGAAGGACTTCCTTCTTGCTCCCAGGAAACCTTACACTTCCCAACCAGGAATGACACATAATATGCTGCACGTATAAAGCTAGGCTTGATGCTGAATAAAATGTAAATAATTTTTATGGCAGGCACAGTGGCTCGTGCCTGTAATCCCAGCACTTTGGAGGCTGAGGCAGGCAGATGACCTGAGGTTCCGAGTTCGAGACCAGCCTCGCCAACACGGCAAAACTCCATCTCTACTAAAAATACAAAAATTAGCTGGGCGTGGTGGCACATGCCTGTAATCTCAGCTACTCAGGAGGCTGAGGCAGGAGAATCGCTTGAACCTGGGAGGCAGAGGTTGCAGTGAGCTGAGATCATGCCACTGCACTCCAGCCTGGGCAAGAGCAAGACTCTGTCTCAAAAAATAATAATAATTTTTGCAGCTATCCACCCTCAATGGAGAATCTGAGGCAGAGAAGCGAGAAGGAAAGGGAGGCCCCATGAGCTGAGCCTGGGCACAAGGGCCACCTAACAAGGCCTCTCTGAATTCAGAAAGGCTGAACAGGCTGCCCCAGAATGGCAGCCAGCCTCTTCCTTCAGGCAGCTTATACTAGCAAGAGTTGGGTGAGGGGTTTACAGAGGGAATGGCAGAAATAGAAAAACAATTTGTTTTGCTCAACAGAAAAATAATTTAAGAGCCAAGAGAGGCTCTAGTAGTCAGTCCCCTTTGTGACCCCGTATAACCTCAGTCTCAGAAATGAGCCTGCCTTCTTGCTGACAAAAAGAGCCTTAAACCCATATGGCAAGGATGCCTGGGCTTCCTGCTGCCTACCCCACAACTCTAGTTTCCTCCTACCTCCCTATTCTGTTTCTTAGGAAGAAGTACCTCTGCCATCTGTGCTCTCATACCACAGCTCTCAAACCTTTAAATTTTGGTTTTAGACTCTCTTTACACACTAAAAAATTAGAGCCCAAAGAGCTTTTTTTTAATGTGGGCTATAATCTATCAATATTTACTGTATTAGAAATTAAAACCAAGGAATGTTTAAAATATGTATTAATTCATTTAAGCCCATTAAATGTTAATAACATTTTATGGAGGAAAAAAAAACTACATTAAAAAAATGAGAACAGTGGAATTGTTTTACATTTTACAAAACCTTTTAATGTCAGGCTCAATGAAAGCCACAGAGGCTGGGCAAGGTGCCTCACATTTATAATCCCAACACTTTGGGAGGCCGAGGCATGAGGACTGCTTGAGCTCAGGAGTTGGAGACCAGCCTGGGCAACATAGCAAAACCCCATCTCTACAAAAAAAAAAAAAAAAAAAAAAAAAAACATAAAAATAAAAAAACAGGCCAGGCACAGTGGCTTACGCCTGTAATCCCAACACTTTGGGAGGGTGAGGCGGGAGGATCACGAGGTCAGGAGTTCACAACCAGCCTGGCAAAACCCTGTCTCTACTAAAAATACAAAAATTAGCCGGGCATCATGGCGCACGCCTGTAGTCCCAGCTACTTGGGAGGCTGAGGTAGTAGAATCGCTTGAACCCAGGAGGCAGAGGTTGTAGTGAGCCAAGATCGCACCTCTGCACTCCAGTCTGGGTGACAGAGTGAGACTCTGTCTCAAAAAATACACATAAAATAAAAAATAAAAAACTGTCCAGGTGTGGTGACATGCACCTGTAGTCCCAGCTACTCAGAGGGCTGAGGTGGGAGGATGACTTGAACCTAGGAAGTTGAGGCTACAGTGAGCCGTTATCATGGCACTGCACTCCAGCCTGGGTGACAGAGCAAGACTCTGTCTCCAAAAAAAAAAAAGGCTGGATCTCATCTGCTTCTGCAGTCATTCTGACAGTCTTCCTCATGCCTCCAAAAACTCCATGGTACGCTCTTAAGAGAATGAAAGTATAAAGGCAAATGATATCCTAGTAGTACTATGAAAATAGTTTTGACCTTGCAGATCCCCTGAGAGGGTCTCAGAGACCACAGAGCCCTGGACCAGTCTTGGTTCTGAGCAGCACTACTCCAGACAACCATCGTCTCCCATGTGTTCCTGGGTCTGCTTCATTAGATAACCACTCTTGAACCTGGCTCACGCACTCCAGGCTCCCTCACACCACCACCACCAAATGGCCCATCGTCTCTAACCTAAAACGCAACAGAAAACTTCCTCCTTATGCTGTTTTTTAATTCCTTCTGTCATTTCACCAAACTTCTAAGAAAAAGTAGTTCCCTCTGGCTCTACCGCCTCACCACTCCTGCTTTTTGCTATCTTAATTACCAAAGTAATACACAGATACTTTTTTTTAAATCAAACAATATGGATAAATGACCATCCACAATCCCAATCTCCTCCCCACTGATAACCACTGTTAGCCCTAGAAAATACCTATTTTTCTGAATTAAATCAATATCAGATTGAAATTTTTGTTTCCTTGTGTTTTGCCCCCTCCAAATTTTTACTTTTTTTTTAATTCTGAAAAACTTCTATTTAGTTAGATTCCAATTCTTTTGGTGACCTATGTTATGGATCAAATTATAAGGGCTGTCAATTAGGAGATAAAATGAACTAATGCTTCTTTACAAAGTGAGTACTAAACTAATGTTAAGATCATGTGGATTTTATGACAATATAATAAAACGATAATTAGATAACTGTGCCTTGTATGTAAAATCTTCATATTTCATTACCTAAATGCAGATGAATGCTGACTATATTTGTATCATCTTAATTCACAATAGTGCATTTAAGGTTTATGAAACATTTTAATATATAGTATCTCTTTAAAAATTTCATAAGCTATGAGGTTAATACAAATTACCATTAACATTTTATAGATAAGAAAGACAAAGTTCTGGAAGAAAAATTACTTACTCAAAATTGCATAGCTAGAAAAATACACACCCAGAAACCACAAAACTTACCTCTTCTGACTCAAATCAAATCCCACCCCTTTGTGTCATGTTGAATAGTATATCAAAAATTCTAACAATATAAAAATATTAAGTTCTTGCCTTTTTAGATCTAACTTGGAAAAAATTGTCCCTCCTTTCAAAGTTGAATAGAAAATGCAAAAATGGGCCGGGCACAGTGGCTCACGCCTGTAATGGTGGATCACCTGAGACCGGGAGTTTGAGACCAGCCTGGCCAACATGGTAAAACCCCGTCTTCACTAAAAATACAAAAACTAGCCAGCATGGTGGCATGTGCCTGTAGTCCCAGCGACTCGGGAAGCTGAGGCAGGAGAATCACTTGAACCTGGGAGGTGGAGGTTGCAGTGAGCCAAGATTGTGCCACTGCACTCCAGCCTGGGAGACACAGCAAGGCTCTGTCTCAAAAGAAAAAAAAAAAAGAAAGAAAATACAAAAATTAATGCCAAAAGGGATAAATTATTTTTGTTTCTCTATTATACAATATAATCCCTTGGGAAGCCTACATTTCATTTAAAACAACAGTTAAAACTTACTAAAACCTACAACAATATGTAGATGCATTATAAAATTTGAAATACAACTTCTTAAATCCTTTATTTGGGCATTGCCACTAACAAAACACCCAACACCCCCAATCTAAGGATGATGAAACTGCTACTGAAAAGAACACCACACATATATGCTGACCTGGTATTTCAGTATTATGCTTGAAATCCCTGCAATGAACACATAGAAACCCCTTAAATTTCACAATCAGAAATTTGAAATTAAATTATTAAAAAATAATAAACCAGGCCAGGCACAGTGGCTCATGCCTGTAATCCCAGCACTTTGGGAGGCCGAGGCGGGCGGATCACGAGGTCAGGAGATCGAGACCATCCTGGCTAACACGGTGAAACCCTGTCTCTACTAAAAATACAAAAAATTAGCTGGGCGCGGTGGCGGGCGCCTGTAGTCCCAGCTACCTGGGAGGCTGGGGCAGGAGAATGGCGTGAACCCGGGAGGCGGAGCTTGCAGTGAGCTGAGATCGTGCCACTGCCCTCCAGCCTGGGCGACAGAGCGAGACTCCGTCTAAAAATAAAAATAAAAAAAAAAAAAAATAATAATAATAATAAACCTACTTGTATAAATAACAAAGCACCAAATTTATTATTAATCTTACTAAAACATTGTTTCTAAGTCCCTATTTTTTCTTAAATTAAGGCAGCTCCAATGGAGTCTAACACATTTAAATGCTGTATTTATTATATGACATACTGCACTGAATTATGAAAAAAAAACTGAAATTACTAAGAGCTCTGGATCTTAGCTAACTCAATTCTGCAAATAATAATACGGTTAAATTTTAAAATGATAATTAAGCTATTCTTTATAACACAACCTGACGTTACAAAAATATGGACAAGGCAAGTAATTTTTCTTCACATTTTACTCTTCCTAAACCTAGAAAACACACCTGCTCTCAAAACATCTTATCAGGGCCAGGTGCGGTGACTCATGCCTATAATCCCAGCACTTTGAAAGGCCAAGGCGGGTGGATCACCTGAGGTAAGGAGTTCAAGACCAGCCTGGCCAACATGGTGAAACCCCGTCTCTACTAAAAATACAAAAATTAGCTGAGCGTGGTGGTGGGTGCCTATAATCCCAGCCAGTCAGAAGGCTGAGGCGGGAGAATCGCTTGAACTCAAGAGGCAGAGGTTGCAGTGAGCCAAGATCGTGCCATTGTACTCCAGCCTGGGCGACAAGAGCAAAAGTCCATCTCAAAAAAAAAAAAAAAGAAATCTTATCAGAAGACCAAGAACCTATAGTGAGATAGTTCAGTACTCAAGTTAGTCTAAACAGGACTGCAAAGCTGCTTTACTAAGAAATATTTGAGTATTTCACTTACCTCTGTTTCCATACATTGTGAATATCCCAATTTACCTGTAATAAAAATGAAAAGGATTACTTTAAAAAGATTTCAGCTTTTTTAAATCATTGATAAAAATATTTGAGCTTCTCTGGCTATGGCTTTATTATGTCTATGAGAATATCTATGCAAATGAAAGATGCTAGAATGACCAAATATCCCTGAAGGTCCTACTTAGAGATTTAAGTTTAAATAGGCCCATTAAAAAATAACAAAGAAAAAAGGTGAGAAAAAAATGCTTAACTGTAATAAGATCTAAAACATATGTACATATTTAATACAGATATATAAATCAATCAAACAAAAACATTTGAAAGTCTTGCTTTCTTTTAAGAAACACCTTAAAATACTTTAAAGGTATTTTATTTTAAGTATACCTTAGGAAATCTTAAAAGACTGCAAATATATTTCCAGTTTAAAGATACAGTGATCATTTCAATGAAAGGAATAATGTTTAAATTCATACTTTCTTTAATATATGCTGACTGTTTTTCTTTAATATATGATTAGGCAAAACCATATAATTAATTGAGTAATTTTTCCAACAGAGGCTCACTTAAAGAATAATTAGAACTGAACAATATTTGGCTGCACCAACATTAGTATTTTTCTCCATCACTGATACATAATACCAAAGAACATGAACAATTAATACATTTCTGTCAATGTCGCTGACAAAAACATACTTCTTAAACAAAAACAGCTATTTTAAAGAATCACTTATTAAATAGTTTTAACAAAAAGAACGAATAACACAATTATACAATTAATTATACTGCGTACTAGAAAATTGGGTTTTTTTGGTTTTTTTTGTTTTTTTTTTTGAGAAGCAGTCTCACTCTGTCACCCAAGCTGGAGTGCAGTGGTGTGATTTTGGCTCACTGCAACCACCCACTCCCGGGTCCAAGTAATTCTCCCACCTTGGCCTCCTGAGTGAGTAGCTGGGACTACAGGCACCCACCACCATGCCCAGCTAATTTTTGTATTTTTAGTAGAGATGGGGTTTTGCCATGTTGGCCAGGCTGGTCTCGAACTCCTGACCTCAAGTGATCTGCCTGCCTCGGCCTCCCAAAGTGCTGGGATTACAGGCGTGAGCCACCATGCCCAGTCAGTACTAGAAAATTTAATTTCCCCAGACTACACTTAGATTTCACTGACCTAAATTCAAATATGCATTTAGCTCTATACCTTTCCCTTCACCCAATACTATCCTCCCACTTCTTCCTCTCCCCAGGATTTACCCTCACACCTAGCCCACAGTGGTTATTCTAACAGCCTTGTTATTTTTTTAGTACTTAACTAGAATTTCTATGCCTCAGACTGTATTATGACATCACAAAAGAAAAATCACAAATAATAGCTTTTGTATGCTCCCAATTCTTAAAATAAAAAATAAAATTGAAACCACAATTTCTTATTTGAAATGAGTTGGTTGAAAAAAAAACAAAAATGAAAAAATAAAAGAAGACAACCACAACTCCTCATCTCTTAATGATCCTAATGAGAAACACTGGCTGAAACTGAGACCAGAAAATAAGGGGCCTTAGGTTCTATGAATTAAATTAAAAATTATATATGAGCAATAAAGACTACATGAACATATATATAAAATGAGCTTACTAGCTAAGGGTTTATATAATAGGGTTTGATAAGTATAAGACTGTTATTTTACTTATATATTTATTTATTGTTACATAAAACTCTACATTCAACAGTGATTTATAACATACATTTTATTTATTTATACATATGATTGTTTGTTCAGACCATTAATGCTTTTGGTAGTTAAGAATACTTAACTCCCATAAAATTGGTAATTAATTTTACTCGGCAAAGTACTACTGGACAGAAACAGCTCAAGGAAGGGTACAGACTGCCTTTCGGCAAACAGTTACTGAGAGCCTACTCTGCATGGGGGGAAGAGAGAGAGGGAGGAAGAGAGGAGCACTCAGGCAAACTGTAACAGAGAGTAGCCTCTTTAAGAGTATATGAGTTGGCCAAGTGCAGTGGCTCACGCCTGTAATCCCAGCACTTTGGGAGACCGAGGCAGACAGATCATGAGGTCAGGAGATTGAGACTATCCTGGCTAACATGGTGAAACCTCATCTCTATTAAAAATACAAAACATTAGCCGGGTGTGGTGGCAAGTGCCTGTAGTCCCAGCTACTCGGGAGGCTGAGGCAGGAGAATGGCGTGAACCCGGGAGGCAGAGCTTGCAGTGAGCCGAGATTGCGCCGGTGCACTCCAGCCTGGGTGACAGAGTGAGACTCTGTCTCAAAAAAAAAAAAAAAAAAGAGTATGTGAGTTTACATCTTCAGTAGGATATATTCTGAAGATAAAGAGAATTACAAAGAAATCTATAAGTTTTTGTAGTACGTTTCTTGTTGGTAGTATAAAATTCTGAAACTATTTTAATGTATTGCAGCAATGAGCACATGAGTAAATACACTGATATTGCTGGGAGTCATGACTTACACTATGGGAGAAGGAATACACAAACCTAACGTGAGAAGAAAAGGAGCCCTGTGGTGGCAAACTGTAACTAGAGATATTACACAACTTCAAAACATTTCCTAGCTCTGCTCATCAAAAGTGGGAGAAGCCCATGGGGCACGCCAAGCCCATTCCCCTTCAACAGAATCAGGATTCCTTGGGAAATTGGCTGATTTCAGGGCTGGGACAGGGAAATTACAAGGTAAGTCAGGAACATCTTTTTGTACCAGAAAACAATGAAGTGCTTAAAAACAATGATAGAGGAGTGCCAAAAGGGCATAAGAGTCTATAAAATAAGATTTTTTTCAATGACCTGCATTATAAAACTGAAAATGCTGTAAAAGTACTAAAAATTTTTGTGAGAATTCAACAGCTCTTGGTCATTCAATTTGAATTGGTGAGTAACTCACGGTAATATGAAAAGGCTGTAAGTACAAAGTATTTGACCAACTACACAGGTCTGCCATCCAAATTCCTGCTCAAAAGCTAATCTAGGAATCCAAAAATCCCAATCACATGACATCAGAGCTTAAAGGGATCTTGGAAATGATCTTGCTCAATCCATTCATTTTATACATGAGTAATTTGGCTGGGTGTGGTGTCTTGCGCCTGTAATCCCAGCACTTTGGGAGGCTGAGGTGGGAGGATTGTTTGAGCTCAGGAGTTTGAAACCAGCCTAGGTAACATAGCGAGACCCAGTTTCTATCAAAAATAAAAAATTAGCCACGCATGTTGGCACAAGCCTGTAGTCCCAGCTACTCAGGAAGCTGAGGAAGGAGGATCACTTGAGCCCAGGAGGTCCAGTCTGCAGTGAGCTGTGATAGTGCCACAGCACTCCAGAACAGGTGACAGAACAAGGCCTTGCCTCAGAAACCATTAATTAATTAATTAAAAACAGATGAGTAATCTGAGAGCTCAAGGAGTCAAATGAGTTGCACATAATGACACAGAGTTGGTGACAGAGTGAAGAGCACACTCTAAGGCTCCTGATTCCTCCTCATGTATGTTGGTGTGGTTTTCTTATTCTAATCCTCTTGATATGGTTTGGTTCTATGCCCCCACCCAAATCTCCTGTTCAATTATAATTCTCAATGTTAGAGGTGGGGCCTGGTGGGAAGTGATTAGATCATGAGGATGGTTTCTAATGGTGTAGCACCATCCATCCCCCTAGTGCTGTCCTGTGATAGCGAGTTATCATGAGATCTGGTTGTTTCAGTCTGTAGCACCTCCTCCTTCCCTCTTTCTTCCTCCTGCTCCAGCCATCCAGGACGTGCTGGCTTCCCCTTCACCTTTTGCGATGACTGTAAGTTTTCTGAGGCCTCCCCAGCCATGCTTCCTGTACAGCCTGCAGAACAGTGATCCAATTAAACCTCTTTTCTTTATAAATTACCCAGTCTCAGGTAGTTCTTTATAGCAATGCAAGAATGGACTAATATATCTCCATTCCCACTTTCAGTGGCTGTTGGGATTGAGGGGAACTGCAGGGGTACTGTCCAGGCTAACTACCATTTCTACTGTTTCTGAGGAATGGGGAAATGCATTCCTCAAAAAAAATTTTTTTTTTGAGACGGAGTCTCGCTCTGTCGCCCAGGCTGGAGTGCAGTGGCATGATCTTGGCTCACTGCAAGTTCTGCCTCCTGGGTTCAGGCATTGCACTCCACCCTGGGCGAGACAGCGCCACTCCATCTCAAAAAAAAAAATTCTGGGTGAAGTCACAGGATTTGTAAGTTTTAGAGGGATTCATTCCTTAGGTCTGGTGCAGTAAAACAGAAGTGGCCAACCTTTGAAGAAAGACTCAGAACTTGTCAAGTGTAAATCCCTTGATGCTATACTGGTAGTTTCCAATTGAAGAAGCTGTTGTTGAATTGAGGAATGCGGCCAGGCGCAGTGGCTCATACCTGCCATCCGAGCACTTTGGGAGGCCAAGGCAGGTGGATCACGAGGTCAGGAGTTCAAGGCCAGCCTAGCCAAGATGGTGTAACCCCATCTCTACTAAAAATACAAAAATTAGCTGTGCATGGTGGCAGATGCCTATAATCCCAGCTACACGGGAGACTGAGGCAGAGAATTGCTTGAACCCAGGAGGCGGAGGTTGCAGTGAGCAGAGATCACGCCACTGCACTTCCAGCCTGGGCGCAAGAATGAGACTCCATCTCAAAATAAATAAATAAATAAATAAAAATAAAAAAAAGAAAGGCTGAGGTGGGAGAATGGCTTAAGCCCAGGAGGCAGGCAATGAGCTGAGATGGTACCACTGCACTCCAGCCTGGGCAACAGAGCCAGACATTGTCTTTAAAAAAAAAAAAAAAATTTATTAGACGAGTCCCCTTATGTCCCAGGAAACAGAAAAGCCTATGCCTTCCTATAAACTGACACAGAATGGCTTTACGAAACAAACTAGTCCTGATATAAAATGTCTGTCATAAAGAATTCATAACTAAGGCAACACTGTCATCTTCAGCAGACATTATAAATCTTAAATATTGATAATCAGATCATTTCACCATGGGTCTGCTCAGAGAATGCAAATAATACTTTCAAATTAAGGTAGCTACTTATCTTTAAAGTAGAAACCTCAGCATATGGCTGACTTATCATGCAGTCACATTATCAATATGATTCAAACTAGCTGAATAAGCAAAAGGCAAACTATACCTACCAAAAAAACAGAATTTCTGGAACTTTTAAGATAAATGGTTCTCAGAATTATTCTCCAGCTTTTTACTATGTGACCAAATTCTAGACAATGTTTCAGTCCCTCTAACCATGTGAAATTATGTTCTTTTTCATGCTAAAACTGAGATACCAATGAATACACCCTGCTCTCCTGCCAGCATACCTCTGCCACCTTCATTTGTTCAGTAAATATTTATTCACCACCTACTAAGTACTACTCATAAGCACTGATGACACACTGTCGTAGTAAACAAGCTAGACACAGTTCTTGCCTCATAAGGCTTACATTTTATTGAACACAGCCCCAAAAAAGTAATCAAACAAAACAGAACTCGTGATAAATGGATCCAAAAGGGAGAGAAAGTAACAGAAATGACCCCATCTGGGGTGGTCAGGTAAGATTCCTCCAAAAGATGATATTTAAACAGAGACCTTGAAGCTGGGTAGAACCAACTGCAGGGCGGGAAGAAGAATCTGTTCCGGAAGCAGGAGGTGGCGTGTGACAGGCCTGGGAAGTGTTTGGTGGATGAGTAACATAAACTGTGTTTAGACAGGCAGGGGGCAGATCACACAGGCTTGTAAGGATAGTATGATGAGTTCAGATTTGACTTTAAGGAAAATGGGAAGCTATTGAAGGATACCAGGCAAGAGGGTCAGCTGCGTCCAGGTAGTTTCCAGGTCAGTCTTGCTATAATGTGAAGAACGTAGTGGAGACAGCCAGATGGAAAGCTCAAGGCCAGCGAGGAGGCTACTATCATTGTACTGCAGCACTACACGCGGGCGGCCAGGCAGGGAGATGGCAGTAATGAGGGTGAAAAGGAGAGGGTTCATGAAATAATTTGGAAGTAGAACAGGATTTGTTAATGGATTGACAAACAACATCCTGAACATGCTCCATGTTTTCAAGAATAATATTCTCAAACATTTGACCAAAACTGATCAACAACAACCATTAGTTTAAGAACTATAATACTTTTATAAGAAAGGAGTTTATTAAATATGCTTCTGGGACAATTTTTGTATTATTACTAGGAAAAAAAACCCATAGTTTTGTAGTTAACAGGCTGAAATTTAGCAATAAAAAAATTTCTACAGCCTAATCATACCCGAATTTCTTTTTTTCTTTTTTTTTTTTTGAGATGGAGTCTCGCTCTGTCGCCAGTCTAGAGTGCAGTGGCACGATCTTGGCTTACTACAACCTCCGTCTCCAGGGTTCAAGCGATTCTCCTGCCTCAGCCTCCCAAGTAGCTGGGACTACAGGCACACACTACCATGCCCAGCTAATGTTTGTATTTTTAGTAGAGACGGGGTTTCACCATGTTGGCCAGGATGGTCTTGATCTCTTGACCTCATGATCCGCCCACCTCAGCCTCCCAAAGTGCTGGGATTACAGGCGTGAGCCACCACACCCAGCCTCATACATGAATTTCTAAAGTGCAGTGGCCACTGAGGACTTGGAATCAATGAACAGAACTTCAAAAGTTAGGACAGTGAAACTACGTATTTATTAGCTTAAACCAATTTCCCCCAACAAAATCATCTTTGCCAAGTTGCATTTTAAGGGAAAAAAGAATGTTATGCTTTTTTTTTTTTTTTTTTGAGATGGAGTCTTGCTCTGTCGCCCAGGCTGGAGTGCAGTGCATGATCTTGGCTCACTACAGCCTCCGCCTCCCAGGTTCAAGCAATTCTCCTGCCTCAGCCTCCTGAGTAGCTGGGACTACAGGCACGCACCACCACGCCCAGCTAATTTTTGTATTTTCAGTAGAAATGGGATTTCACCATGTTAGCCAGGATGGTCTCAATCTCCTGACCTTGTGATCCGCCCGCCTCAGCGTGAATGTTATGGATTTGATACAAAAAACAGTCAGGGACATGACCTCTAATTTTAAATATCTCTCATGGAAAAAGCATTCATCTGTTCATTCACCAACAATACGTTTGTGTGACAGGCACTCTCCAGAACTTGCATCTTCTTCCTTGAGATTATCTGACCCCCACCCACAGACTCTGCCCCAAGCCAGGCTCTAGGACTTTCAGCCTTCAATCACCTTTGCCATAAATGTGACTTCTATCCTAATTCAGAAATGGAAGCTCCCACTTTATTTTTGACATAGACTACACTTTGCTTCCTAGATTTGTAACTAAATCCCTTACCTTTCAAAAAAAATGACAGCCTTGGATTGTTATTACCAGTCACCTTCCCAGGGACTAGAGTCTCCCCTTGGACCTAGTATCAGTGATTAAAACCCGCCACAAAATTTGGATATTATCTTTTATCTATTTTATGTAATCTGGCAACACTGGAAGCTTGCAGAGCAAATAAGTTTCATCTCTAGTGCCAATTCTGAGTAACAGTGGCTGTCTAGAATGTCATCTTCAGAAGTATTCTGATGGCAAGTACAGGATAGGAGGTGCCCAGGACTATTTAGAAATGGTCTCACTCATAAGTGGGAGTTGAACAATGAGAACACATGGACACAGGGAGGGAAACAACACACACCAGGGCCTGTCAGGGATGGCAGGGGAAAGGGGAGGAAGAGCATTAGGACAAATATGTAATGCCTGTGGGGCTTAAAACCTAGATCACGGGTTGACAGGTGCAGCAAACCAGCATGGCACATGTATACCTATGTAACAAACCTGCACATTCTGCACATGTATCCTGGAACTTAAAGTAAAATTTTAAAAAAGAAGAAGAAATGCTGCCATAGGAATAGAAGACATAATATTTGTATTTAAAGAATAGTACTGTATTCATAAGTATAATAAAAATGTGTAACTTACAAAACTCATTACAAAAAGATATTTCTTGACTATGTATAGTATATGTAGTAAAGGATAAATAGCTAAAAATGTTTATAGTATAAACATTTTTAAATGTTTATACATAAATAGCTAAAAATGTTTATAGCCTGGAGCCACATTTCTGACACTCCTGTGTTAGAAGACAAGGACAATGAAAGTCAAAGTACTCTTTGTAAACTGGGTTGATTTGGATTAAACTTTTCCCTAGTAACAGCAATTCAAACATTGCTTAAACTTCACAAGCTCAAAAATACATAGACATATCACTAGATTTTAGGAATGAGAACTTGGAGGGGAACCTCCCCAAGCCAAATCATAAACAGAGTTCTAGCAGGTGACAATCCCAAATGTTCTACTATTCCCTATCAATTGAAGAGTTCTGGTTTTCATGCATTTCATACACACATCTGTGTCCATTCTCTTTAGAATCTCCTGCCCCTCTGTGGCATCTGAGTATGAGACAACCTAGCCAACAAGAGCCCTGCAGAGAAGCATCCCAGGAACTTCTATCTTCCAAGCCCTAATTCCCTTTAGTTATATCACAACTCTACCAGCCATATCCACTTACCCAAATGTGTTACTTTCCCTCTGTCAAGATTTGGGAGATCTGATTTAAAAACTATAAAAACAACATAGGCTTGACATAGACTACACTTTGCCATTTTTAGCTATTTAACCTTTACTATAAACATTTTTAGCTATTTAACCTTTACTACATATACTATATATAGTCAAGAAATATTTTTGTAATGAGTTTTGTAAGTTACACATTTTTATTATACTTATGAATACAGTACTATTCTTTAAATATAAATATAATGAAAAGATCATTAATTAAAGAAGAAAGTCAAGCTGAGCACTGTGACTCACATCTATAATCCCAGCACTTTGGAAGGCTGGGGGTGGGGGCGCGAATCATTTGAGGTCAGGAGTTTGAGACCAGCCTGGCCAACATGGTGAAACCCTGTCTCAACCAAAAAAAAAAAAAAAAAATTAGCTGGGCATGATGGCACATGCCTGTAGTCTCAGCTACTTGGGAGGCTGAGGAGGGAGAATCGCTTGAACACAGGAGGCGGAGGTTGCAGTGAGTTGAGATCGAGCCACTGCACTCCAGCCTAGGTGACAGAGGGAAACTCCATCTCAAAAAAAAAAAAAAAAAAGGTCAGGGTTAGGGGGCAACTATCATTAATTTAAGGAACTTAACAATTTCCCATCAAAAACATTTAAGTTTATACACATCAGGCAATACAACAGTTCAAATATTTCATCTAAACTATGGCTTATCTTATAGGTCTCAGATGAAATGTGTTCCAAGAGTTTATAGGGAAAGTTATAGTTACATTGTTTTATTATTTACATAAATAAGCCCTCCTATACTCCCCAAAGGATTGAAAGAAGCTAAATTAAATGATCAATAAATGAGTATCAAACAAGTCAGAAAGTGGCAAAAGAAGGAAAAAAACAAATTCAAGATAATATAAAATATATGGAAATCCATAAAAAATATAAACGGTGGTCAAGCACTAATTACCTTTCCCTGATAATCTGCAAGTAACCCTCCATAGTCCATTCTAAAAACCTGGTGGAGCACCTAAGGCAACAAAGGTCTAATCACATGGACACCCACATTTCAAATTTTTTCAACCTCAAGAATCATTTTATAGACTTCCAAACATATATTTAATATTGTTTTAGAACTTCTTTATCAATCTTGACTCAAATAATTTGGAAGTATTCATCTTTTTACAAAGGATAGCAATGGCTCAGTAAAAATGTATTTGTGCAGTACATACAAGGTAACAAAATGCCCCCACATATATTTCT
Organism: Homo sapiens; assembly: GCF_000001405.40. Lineage (NCBI taxonomy): Eukaryota > Metazoa > Chordata > Mammalia > Primates > Hominidae > Homo > Homo sapiens. Next base: position 12,644,881 of record NC_000018.10, read on the forward strand.
TCATTTGAGTCTCATAACAATTTCACAAGAAGGGCTGGACAAATATTACTTCCATTTTACAAATAAAGAAAGAGAGCGGCCGGGCACCATGGCTCACACATGTACATGTAACCCCAGTACTTTGGGAGGCCAAGGCAGGTAGATGTCTTGAGCCCAGGAGTTCAAGACCAGCCTGGGGAACCTGGCAAAACCTGGTCTCCACACACACATACAAAAGAATAAAAGAAAAAAAAAAATAAGACAGTATCAGCATCAGAAATAGTTAAATGGCTTGCCTGAGGTCATAACTATTCAATAGTAAGCATCAGAGCCAAAAGAATTGAAACTGCATCTTCTGTAGCCAGCTCTTAGTTCTCTCCATGTTATGGTGTGACATTCAACAGCTGATTTGCAACTATCTGGAAGGCAGCAAAGGAGCTTGGTGGGAATCAACATGACTCCACAGGAAAAAATATTTTCCAGGCCAATTTAATTTCCAACAAGTATAAACCATCATCTATCTTCCCACCCTAACCTGCCCCTCCTGCCTACCCTGTCACCCAAGCACCCAGGCAAGAAGTCAGAGCCTTTGAACAATCCTTCCTCTTTCTCACCCACACATAAAAAGTGGAAGAGCTATACCATGTCCTATTTCCTAAATCACTCTCAATCTGATTCTTTCTCTCCATTCCTACTGCCCTAATTCAGACCTCCATCATCTCCTGTTTGAACAGCCATAACACTCCTAACTGGTTTAGCAACTTAAAGGCTACAAAGATCTAAAGATATATAAAATGCCTACTGGTGTCTATGCCCTCCATTTTACCCAATTCAATACATCTACAAAGCCCCTACATTTATCTTTCTAAAAAGAGTAATCTGCTTACATCATTTTCCTGCTTAAAACCCTTCCATAGCTCTCCACTGCCTGTACAGACTATAAATACACACTCGACCATGTGGCTGGCACAAAGTCCTTCATCATCTGATCCCAGCCAACGTGCCTTTCCAGCCCTTCTGACTCCGACTCCCACACACATCCTCCGCTCCAGGCACAGGGAACACCCACTACAAAGAAGACAAACAGGTTTAACCTCACGTGCCAACTCCAAATAATTAGTAGTGGCCACCTGAAGCATCCTGTTGAGAACTCTTGGGGCTGCTTACGAATTCGGCAGCAAAAAATGCGGTAACTGATTAGCAGTTATATGCTTTTGGCATGGGGAAGTGGGTGGCAGCACAACGCCACACTTGCCATCCATGTACTGCTGCTCTCTGAGTACCATATAACGTCCTCCACATCTCCAAGCCTTTCCACTTGCTGCTGCTGCTGCTGCCTCACATAGTCTTCCTTTTAGGCTACAGCCCCATCCTGGAGACCTCCAGAAACCAGATCTCCTCTGTAACACTCGCCTACTGTCACCAGGCAGGGTCAGCCACTCTCTTCTCTGGGCTCTCATAGTTTTCTAAACATCTTTATTATTTTAAAATTATTGCACTGTACTGTGTTAGTTTCTCCATCTATGAGCTTCTTGAAGGTATGAGTGCAGTTTATCCCTCTTTGTATCGTCAACATCTGGCACAGTGCACTTAGAAGGCACTCAAATATTGGTGAAATGAATACATGAAATCAGGTAATGGGAATATCGCTAACATGGTATTTTCACTAAAAATCCAGGAAGACATGACCAAACCCTGGGACCAGGCAACCTATAGGGATTGTTAGTGACATTCTAGCACTACCCTCCAATTATCTCTATTTATATTTTTATCTCTCCGAAATACAAGATATTAAAGGAGTATATTAGGTAGGAACTTAACTTCTAATTAAATTAAGGGATGGGAGAGAAAATGGGAAATATGACAGAAAAAGACCACAGACTTAATTTAAAAAAATGTATTAGGCCCGGCGCAGTGGTTCACACCTGTAATCCCAGCACTTTGGGAGACGGAGGCGTGTGGATCACTTGAAATCTGGAGTTTGAGACCAGCCTGATCAACATAGTGAAACTCTGTCTCTGCTAAAAATACAAAATTAGCCAGGCGTGGTGGTGCATGCCTGTAATCTCAGCTACCATGGAGGCTGAGGCAGGAGAATCACTTGAACCCAGAAGGTGGAGGCTGCAGTTAGCCAAGATCGCAGGATTGCCCTCCAGCCTGGGCAACAAGAGCAAAACTCTGACTCAAAAAAAAAAAAAAAAGCATTAGCACAATTAGTATAAAAAGACCTAAGAGTCACAGTTTTCAGAAGCCAGCAGTTTGGTATTATTAGGAATATAAACCCTCCATATACCTAATCGAATCCTTTTTAAATTTATACTAATGTCTCATATCAGTTTTAATTTTAAAAGTTTGTGAGATACAATCACTTTGGAAAATTTCTGGCAATATCTACTTATGCTGACCATACATCATGAATTAGCAATTGCACTTTTAGAAACATATTCAACAAAAATGCTACATTTGTTCACCAAAAGACACGTGCAGTAATGTTCACAGTGGCATTATTCATACTATCCAGTAAGTCGATATTTGAAACCCAAATATCCATCTAGAGTTTGAACATCAAAAATAAACTCTTTAACATTTCTTCTTCTATATTAAAAACAGGCCAGGTGCAGTGGATCACACCTGTAATCCCACCACTGTGGGAAGCTGAGGCAGGAAGATCACTTGAATGGGGTTCAAGACCAGCCTGGGCAATATAGTGAGAGACCCTGTCTCTACAAAAAAATAACAAAAAAATTAGCCAGGAGTGGTGGTGTGCATTTATAGTCCCAGCTACTCAGGAGGCTGAGGTGGAAGGATCACCTGTACCCAGAAGTTCAAAGTTACAGAGAGCTATGATCACATCACTGCACTCCTGCCTGGGCAACAGAGCAAAACTACAACTTTAAAAAATAAATAAAAACAAAACAATAAGCAACAAGCATACCCAGTGCTAAGATCATGGTTTCTAAACACCATTCTCCAATAAAAGAAACAAGAGCTCCCTGGAAATATGGGTGACTCTAGGGCTGGGGCAGGAAATATATAAGATGATCCTTGAAACATCTTGCAGTGCCAGAAAGCAAGGACGTGCTCCACCAGACAGAAGGAGGGCTGCATATCAAAGGAACCCAGGAGCCAAGCCTAAGGAGCAATCAATGGCCACAGCGGGAACAATCTGAGCAACAAAACAACCAAAGTACAAAATACATGTCAATCCAGACTGATATAAACAAATGATTGAATATATAAGTAAATGGAGGAGAAGGCACAAATCTTCTTCACAGAATTCAAAATAACTCTAAGAAGATATTCACGTCTCCAGGAGGTGGTTTAATTACCTGGCCCTATCCTTGAACGCAGGCTGGAATTAATGACTCCTTTCTAAAGAACAACATATTAAAAAAAGGTAAAAATAGTAACTTTTTAGTGGAGAAACCTGACAACACTGTCTTAATCAAGTGTCCAGGTTATCGTAGCCAGTGATGTCACATGGTTATCATGTGCCCCAACATGATGTGATCAGGGGGAGCCCTTCACCTCGCTGGTATTCTTCCCCCAAAACTATAACCCAGTCTAGCCATAAAAATACCAGGCAAGTCCAAATGGAGGGACATTTTACAAAATAGCTGACCAGTACTTGCCAAGACTGTCAAGATCATGATAAACTGTCACAGACCAGAAGAAACTAAGGAGATATGATGACTAAATGCAATATGGTATCTCGAATGGGATTTCTGCAATAGAAAAAGGACACTAAGGCCAAGCACAGTGGCTCACGCCTGTAATCCCAGCACTTTGGGAGGCCGAGGCGGACAGATCACCTGAGGTCAGGAGTTTGAGACCAGCCTGACCAACATGGAGAAACTCCGTCTCTACTAAAAATACAAAATTACCCAGGTGTGGTGGCAGGTGCCTGTAAATCCCAGCTACTCGGGAGGCTGAGGCAGGAGAATCCCTTGAACCCAGGAGGTAGAGGTTATGGTGAGCCAAGATCGCGCCATTGCACTCCAGCCTGGACAAGAAGAGCGAAACTCCGTCTCAAAAAAAAAAAAAAAAAAAAAGAAAAAGGACATTAATAGAAAAACTGGGGAAACCCAAATGAAGTCTGGAGTTTAGTTAATAGCAATGCATCAATGTTGTTTTTTCAGTTTTGACAAATATACCACAAGAATATAAAATGTTAACATTTAGGGGAACTGGGTGAGGGGCAAATAAGAATTATCTGCATTCTCTTTTCAACTTTTCTGTAAATCTAAAATTATCCCAAAATAAAAAGTTTGGTCAGGCACAGTGGCTCGCACCTGCAATTTCAGCACTTTGTGAGACTGAGGCAGGTGGATCATTTGAGGTCAGGAGTTCAAGAGCAGTCTGGGCAACATTTTTCTCCACTAAAAAATAAAAATAAAAAATTAGCCAGAAGTGGCAGCACACACCTGTGGTCCCAGCTACATGGGAGGCTGAGGTAGGAAGACTGCTTGAATCCAGGAGCCGGGGGCTGCAGCGAGCTATGATCATACTACTGCACTCCAGCCTGAGCAAGAGAGAAAGACCCTGTCTCTTAAAAAAAAATTTTTTTGACTAAAAATTCCCACTACATTTGGTAACTCAATATTTCCTTCATAGTTTTAAACAAATATCTGAAAGAAGTTATTTTCCTTTTTTCTACTTAGCCAACAAGAAGTAAAAGGGAAATACATACAGCTCTAATGACACTGTTATGAAAGCAGGATGAGAACTGCTGTTATTTTATAGGACCAATGATACAGGAGAGTGAATCTGACCTTCCATATATAACAAGCAGAGTGCAACTCATCATCTCTTATCAACATATAGTCCTTGGTAGCTCAATGATTTTTTTCTTCTAAAGTTTAGTCAAAACTCTTAGTGAGGCCAATGGTTTCCTAAGAGTCCTAACTTACTTGAGGACTAATATCTGTAGATGACTAAATTCTTTCTACTGTTTCCCTCTGCAAAAGTAGAAACACAGATACAAAACCACAAATACATTATTCCAAAATTTCTCCCCAAAACTCTTGTGACCCCTCTCTTATAACCCAACACACGTAGAAATATATTGCATGGTAAATTGGAACCAAAAGTGACAGTAGGTCAGGCTTGGTGGCTCACGCCTGTAATCCCAGCACTTTGGGAGACCAAGGCAGGCAGATACTTGAGGCCCAGAGTTTGAGACCAGCATGATCAATATGGAAAAACCCTGTCTCTACTAAAAATACAAAAATTAGCCAGGCGCAGCGGCATGTGCATGTAATCCCAGCTATTTGGGAGGCTGAGGTGCGAGAATTGCTTGAACCTGGGAGGCGAAGGTTGCAGTGACCCGAGCTCGTGCCACTGCACTCCAGCCTGGGCAACAGACTAAGACTCTGTCTCAAAAAAAATAAATAAACAAATAAATAAAAGTGACAGCAGGCCAGGCATGGTGGCTCATGCCTGCAATTCCAGCACTTTGGTAGGCCAACGTGGGCAAATCACTTGAGCCCAGAAGTTCCAAACAAAACTAGGCAACATGGCAAAATCTCTGTCTCTAAAAAACGATATAAAAATTACCCAGGCATGGGCCAGGTGGTAGTGGTGGCTCACATCTATAATCCCAGCACTTTGGGAGGCCGAGGTGGGTGGATCATGAGGTCAGGAGTTCGAGACCATCCTGGCTAATATGGTGAAACCCCGTCTCTACTAAAAATACAAAAAATTAGCTGGGCGTGATGGCACGTGCCTGTAGTCCCAGCTACTCGGGAGGCTGAGGCAGGAGAATCGCTTGAACCCGGGAGGCAGAGGTTGCAGTAAGCCAAGATCACGCCGCTGCACTCCAGCCTGGTGACAGAGCAAGACTCCATCTCAGGAAAAAAAAAAAAAAAAAATTACCCAGGCATGGTGACACATGCCTGTAGTCCCAGCTACTCGGGAGGCTGAGGTGGGAGGATTGCTTGAATCTGGGAGGTCAAAGCTGCAGTGAGCCGATCAAACCACTGCACTACAGCCTGGGTGACAAAGCGAGACCCTGTCTCAAAAAAAAAAAAAAAAAAAGTGATAGCAATCTTATCCAATTACAGCTAAAATCTTAATTTTGCAAATGAACATCTAAACTTACTGTTAAGGCTCCTCCCACTCACTTAGAAGGGGCCTGTGTAAATGAAGGGACTTGAAGTTTAAGCTGCATTAGATTCATGGTAAATTCACCACTGTGTTTCTGTTTTATTTTCTCTTCTTTAATGACTAGAACTATTTGCCCTTACATCACCCATGTAAAACTAGAACACTACTTGTACATAGTAGGAACTCAAAGCATATTTGTTAGATTGAATTAACCTGACATATTTGAACTTATTATTCAAAGAGAACAATTTTTATCTATTACTGTAACTGATAAGGCATTTCACCAATCTCTAATTCTACCATTCACCCCCACTACCTACTCTGGAAACCTACACATATACTTCATATATTCCTTTCCTTTAATGATCAGGATGGGAACACAAGAAATACAGAAAGAGCAGACCAAAAAAAATGTTTTTAAACATTTTTTTGCTGGGTGCGGTGGCTCACGCCTGTAATCCCAGCACTTTGGGAGGCTGAGGTGGGTGGATCACAAGGTCAGGAGATGTAGACCATTCTGGACAACATGGTGAAACCCGTGTCTACTAAAAATACAAAAATTAGCCGAGCATGGTGGCGGGCGCCTGTAGTCCCAGCTACTCAGGAGGCTGAGGCAGGAGAATCGCTTGAACCCAGGAAGCGGAGGCTGCAGTGAGCCGAGATCACGCCACTGCCTCCAGCCTGAGCAACAGAGCGAGACTCCATCTCAAAAAAACAAAAACAAAAAAAACATATTTTTTCACTATTTCAACCTTTTCCACAAATATTCTCTCTTTAAAATCAAATAGGATTTTATGCCAAGACGATCTTCCCCTCCAAATTAGCATGAACCTTGCTGAGAAGCTTGACTGATCGTATCCTCTTTTCAAAACCCAAACAAAGCCTGAATGTTCCCTATACCAAGAAACCATTCTCAAGGGATCCCTTTATTAGTATGCACACAGGCATTCATTGTTCCTTTCAGGAAAACCTTCTACCAACCTTAAGATTATTTTAAATCAACATATGGCCATAATTTTTAAACGATTCTTTATACATCTAAACTAAAGGTACATCAAAAATTTTGAAACCAAAAGTTAAAATAAATGATTGTTGTCAGACGGGTATTTAAGTCCTGAAAGACTGTGAGACCACACATGATTCTAATCTCTAAAACTACTGCTATTAATAATTCTTTGTGGCATGCCAGAAAAGCAAATGCTTTTTAACCATGTGAAGATCTAGACTATAACCTAAACTGCATCAGTTACTACCTTCTAAAGACCCTGTATACCAAAATGTGCTCTAATTGCTAGTCAGGTATACTTATGAGTATACAAAGAGCCTGCGTGTCTTTAACCCCTTAATTAAGCGTGTGAAAGTTAAAACTTCATCAACTTGTACCTAATAAACTTTCCCAAACAACAAAGTCTTATTATTACTACAACTGCATAAACACTGGAGAAAATAAAATGTTAAATAAGCCACCAAACAAGAATCATAAACTCTCTTGATTCTAAGCAATCTATCCTCCTGTCATCACAGAAATACTTCTTAACCATACTGCTCATTTTAGGACGTTATACATAATTTAATCTTTTTACTTTCAAGAGATCCTCTAAAGAGCTAGTCTTTCCTTTTTCTTGAATTTATCTTCTTGGGTCCTATATCACACTACTTTTATGGCCATGCTAGCAATTTGGCTCTAAGTTTTACCTGAATGCTAAATAAACTCACTAATTCTTCATTTTTTTCCTTCATTGGTCTCCAGCCTCTGACACATTTCAACATTTTTCTGTTTTTCTTATAGCATATTTCTATTTATTTCATTCAAACTGAATCTAACCATTCTCAGATGTATCAATACTGTTAAAAGTAAACAAGAATTAAAATCAATTACTACCACATTCAGTCCCCTAAAAAGTCAGTAAAGCCTATGAAGTACTATTTCTTCTAAAAGGACTAAATGGAGTGATACTGCTGGTACTGGCAAGAACCAGTACGACTCATTCAGCTCAACAACAGAGTGACAATGGCCTGTAGAAGGATTCACTCACTTGAGGATTACAGCCAGAATCCACTTCTCTACCCTGAACACAATCCTGGGCACCACCTGCTAGAGCAGTGGTTCTCAACTGGGATGATTTTGCACCCTAGGGAACATCTGGCAATGGACAGAGACTTTTTTAATGTCACAATTGCAGGGGAGGGGCCTACTGGCATCCAGTGTTAGAGATCAGATCACGGATGCTGCACAGAACAGCCACCACAACAAAGTATTACTCAGCCAAAAATGCCGACAGTGCCAGTTAAGAAACTCTGACCTTGACATTTACCCCAATTCTTGGTAAAAACATAAAACAGATGGACTAGAGACAGTATAGTGGTGAGAAAGGACCACAGGATTAGAGGAAGAAGGAAACTAAAACCTACTGAGTACCTGCTATACAGCAAGTCTTGCCACTTGACATATATTATCCTCACTTATGCCCCAATCCTGTGAAAACAACAATATATTCTGATTTTACACAGAAGGCTAGACTCAGGGTGATTGGGGAACTTACTCACTGTCACTTATCTAAGGGGAAGAATCACAAAACAAATTCAAACCAAATGTTTCATTCCACAACACTACTAAGCCTAGACACTAAAAGACCAAGATTTGATTCAAAGAGTTACTAATCACTTAACTTCCCTAAACGTCCATTTAGAAAATATATCAGGCCGGGCGTGGTGGCTTACACCTGTAATCCCAGCACTTTGGGAGGCCAAGGCTGGTGGATCACTGAGGTCGGGAGTTCGTGACCAGCCTGGGCAACATGGGGAAACCCCGTCTCTACTAAAAATACAAAATTAGCCAGGCGTGGTAGTGCATGTCTGGAATCCCAGCTACTCGGGAGGCTGAGGCAGGAGAATCTCTTGAACCCGGGAGGCGGAAGTGGCAGTGAGCCAAGATTGCGCCATTGCACTCCAGCCTGGGCAACAAGAGCAAAACTCCGTCTCAAAAAAAAAAAAGAAAGAAAGAAACAGAAATCAATGGATGTGAAAACATAAACGTTGCAGATTGCTAACTACATATAATCATGATAAATACAATGAAAAAGAAAGTGTGGCCAGGCACCGTGGCTCACTTCTGTAATCCCAGCACTGTGGGAGGCTGAGGCGGGTGGATCACCTGAGGTCAGGAGTTTGAGACCAGCTCAGCCAACATGGTGAAAACCCTTCTCTACTAAAAATACAAAAATTAGCTGGGCATGGTGGTACACACCTGTAATCCCAGCTACTTGGGAGGCTGAGGTAGGAGAATTGCTTGAACCCTGGAGGCGGAGGTTGCAGTCAGCCGAGACTGCACCACTGCACTCCAGCCTGGGCGACAAAGTGAGACTCCACCTCAAAAAAAAAAAAAAAAAAAAAAAAATTTGGCTGGGCACGGTGGCTCACGCCTGTAATCCCAGCACTTTGGGAGGCCGAGACGGGCGGATCACGAGGTCAGGAGATCGAGACCATCCTGGCTAACATGGTGAAACCCCGTCTCTACTAAAAATACAAAAAAATTAGCCAGGCATGGTGGCAGGCATCTTTAGTCCCAGCTACTCGGGAGGCTGAGGTAGGAGAATGGCATGCACCTGGGAGGCGGAGCTTGCAAGCTTGCAGTGAGCTGAGATCGCGCCACCACACTCCAGCCTGGGCGACTGAGCGAGACTCCGTCTCAAAAAAAAAAAAATTATTTTTACTTATTTTCCCCAACTCTTCCCTACAATGGAAGTCTCATGAATACAAACGTTCCTTAAAACTGAAACGAGAAGTCAGGCGCAGTGGCTCACGCCTGCAATCCCAGCACTTTGGGAGGCCGAGGCAGGCGGATCATGAGGTCAAGAGATCAAGACCATCCTGGCCAACATGGCGAAACCCCATTTCTACCAAAAATACAAAAATTAGCTGGGCGTGGTGGCATGCGCCTATAGTCCCAGCTGCTCGGGAGGCTGAGGCAAGAGAATCACTTGAACTCAGGAGGCAGAGGTTGCAGTGAGCCAAGACTGTTCTACAGCACTCCAGCCTGGCAACAGAGGGAGACTCCATCTCAAAAAAAAAAAGAAAGAAAGAAAAGAAAAGAAAAAGAAAAGAGAGACTGGGCAAGGTGGGTTACACCTGTAACCCCAGCACTTTAGCAGGCCAAGGCAGTTGGATCACTTAAGCCCAGGAGTTCCAGGCTGCAATGAGCTATGACTACAGCACTGCACTCCAGCCTTCAGCAGCCTGGGCAATACAGCAAGACCCTGTCAAAAAAAAAAAAGAAGAAAAGAAAAAGAGAGAGAGAGAGAGAAAGAGAAAGAAATAAAGCGAAAGAAAGAAGGAAGGAATAGAATTTTTAAGTGTGCACACCACCAAATTATTCATCAAGTGTAAGAATCAAGATAAAATCTTCAGAAGACTGTATCTTCCTGAGCCACGCAACTATTCTTAAAGCCAATGAGGAAATAAACTAATGTTTTAGTATGAACTTCTTAAATAATTTTAGGCAACAGAAAATGCTCAAGTCTCTATCAACAACTTTGATTAGGCCTCCTCCATAACTGGTAGCGCAGGTCATGAGCAGAACTGAGAAAGAGAATTATAAACCTATTGCGAATTGTGGAGAACAACTCCACTCACTATTTTCTCCATAAAGGCAGTTTATTACACTGAGATCAACATGTTATCACTCACACTAGTGATGTAAAAAATAATCCAATTCAACATAAGATTCAGACCAAAAAAAAAGAAAAAACCCATCCACGAGAATCTATCAATCTTTGACAACAAAACTACACGATTTTGGGATTAAATTTAAGTGACAAGACAATGTAAACTGGGGGCTTGTTCTCTCCGGAAATCACCACTACCAACGCTGCTTCTAAAAGCAGGCTGCACACAACCATTTTTCCTCTGGAAATAGCTAAATCCCAAGGCACGATATTGCTGTATTTTTTTTTGAGACGGCGTCTCGCTCTGTCACCCAGGCTGGAGTGCAGTGGCGCGATCTCAGCTCACTACAGCCTCCACCTCCCAGGTTCAAGCAATTCTCCCACCTCAGCCTCCCGAGTAGCTGGTATTCCAGCGGCACAACACCACGCCCGGCTAATTTTTGTATTTTTAATAGAGACGGGGTTTCACCATGTTGGCCAGGCTGGTCTCGAACTCCTGACCTCAGGTGATCCACCTGCCTCGGCATCCCAAAGTGCTGGGATTACAGGCTTGAGCCACCGCACCTGGCAGACATTGCTGTATTTTATAAATGTATCTTTTGTACCATTTAATACACTATAAATTATAATTGCAAGTATTTCCCACTAAGATTAAGTCCAAGTTTAAAAGCAATAAGCCCATCAAAGAAACAAAAATACTATTTGAAATAGTTTCAAAAGAACAATTAAAAAGATGGCTTTAAATAAAAAATCGTTTACCTGACGCTAAAAAATAAAAGATAAAAGCATGTAAATAAAAATGTGTTTACCTGACACTAAAAAATAAAAGATAAAAACGTTCTGGTGGAACTGAAAGAATAACTATAACCTTGAATATTGTTTTAATCAAGTTAGACAAGGGTTTTCATTAAATGTCATTTTACTAATTCGAAATTACATCTTTCACCTTAAGCATTTTGACATTTCCATCAACTTTCTAAAAGTGAGGGTAGATTGTTTTTCTATGTTTTTAATAGACTTGCCTCTCAAAAGAATGAATTAGATAAAAACTGATGGGAGAAACCTTTTCTCAACCTCCTCCTCCTCTTCAATGAGCATCTGAGTAAACCCTGGCTATAAATTACTGTTTAGGTCATAATCCTGAAAATTTTACATTAGACAATGACGTAACTAAGGCCCATTTTCTCTTTGTATCCCGACATCCTGTCAACTTTTCACTTTACAAGCCTGTTTTTCATCACAACAAATTTTCACATACAGGAATGCAATCAGTATTTTCTAACGTCCAGGAGCCAAAAATCACTATTTAGTCTATTTTTCCATTTCTCCCCAAAGAGCAGAATTCTCACGGTTCAGAATCATCTTTACATTTCCGAACCGAGGAAAGGCTGTCTAATGTGGAATACTGCTAGTTTCCCGTGAGGAGTGCGGTGTTTCCGACAGCGGCACTGAGGATCCGTGCGGAGCCCCCGCGTGAAGCCTGCGATGCCCTCCCCACCCCGTGAACCCGGCCGTGTGTCAGCAGCCACGGCGTGAGGCGCACAGGCCGCTGGCCCGGAGCAGGGCCCAGCCCACCGCTCCCAAACGCGCCGCGGGCAGCTGTCCCGCGGGCAGCACAATGACGAGCGCCCCGCGGCCCGCAGGCCCAGGCCCACCCAAACGTCCTCCGCACAGCGGATTTGCGCCGTCGCCCGCCACGAGGCTCTGACCTCCGAGGGGCCCCGGCCAGCCACGGCCTGACGCCGTCCTCCCCTGCGGGTCCCCGCCGGATCCTCCCGGGGGTCTCCCGTGGCAAAATGGGGGGGGACGGCGGGGGCGGAAGGGCCGGGGACGCTGAGGGTAAGGCGGCCCAGCCGCGGGTGTTCCAAGAACTACGAGGGAAAGGGGCCCGGCGGCCTCACCCGCAACTGGGGGCGGCTCTCCCGCGTCGTCGGCCGCGGGCGCCAGGGTGACGGCGCCGTCCCTCCAGACGCGGATCTGCGCGGCCGAGCGCACACGGTGGCGGGGCTGGCGGCGGCGGGCGGCGGCGCGCAGGGAACCGCAGCACTGGTAGCACACGGCCCACGCCTGCTCCTCGTTGATGGGCTGGTTGTACAGCCGCAGGATCTCCTCCAGGCTCAGCGCGTCCCGGGAGCCCCCGGCCGCGCCGCCGGCTGCCCCGGGCTCCCGCGGCCCCTCGCCGCCCACTGCCTCAGTCCGCGGCTCCCCGCCGCCCGCCGGGCCAGCCGCCTGAGCCATCCCGCGGGTGGGCGCTGCGCTCGGCAGTCGCGCCGTGTGCCGGCGTCTCCTCAGCTCCGGAGCATCGTCGTCGCGCGCCGCCGCCTCACCATCCCCGGAACCGCCGCCGCCCAACGCGGCCGCGCGCGCCGCCGCCGGGACCAGGCGAGTGCCCGGGAGGCGTGGGCAAGAGGAGGGCGGCGAGGACACGGCTGCAGTCCCGGTCAGACAGCCGCCGGCCGGTAGCGACGCGATGGCGTCCGGCGCCCCGCCCCGCCCCGCCCCGCCTCGCGCCGTCCAGCGCCGCCCAGCGCCCGCCCCTTAGGGGGCCGCACGGGCCGGGGGATGCACGCTCTGGAGGTGAGGACCAGGCAGGAGGGCCTCGCCTCGAGGCGAGATGGCCGCACGGTCTCTAGCCCGCAGGGCTCTCAGAGTCGCAGGCGGTGACGCCCGGTCGGGGGGCCCGGTCGCAAGGGACACACAGCTGGGGGCGCAATGGTGAGGGCGGCGACGCACGGTCCGGAGGGGATGCGCGGCCGGGTAGGGCGTGCAGGGTTGTGGGGCGTGGGGGACACGCGGGGCCGGGCGCGCGGTCGGGGGGCGCAGGGGCAAGAGGGTGTCGCATTTATCAGGGAAGTCCCCGGCCGACTCTGGCGGGGAACTGGGCGCGCCAACCCGGGTCACCGCCCTGCACAGCGGGAGAAGTCACCCGCATTGACGTTCCCTAGGCGCTGGATCGCCGAAGGTCTGGTTGAAAACTTGAACCCGCCTGGAGCGGATGCCTAAGAAAATGCAGGCCCGCTGAAGCCTCCCCGCCGGGCCCTGGGCCCTGAAAGCCTCCGGCAGTTTCCCGTGACCCCGCGGCCGCTCTGCGCGTTTTCCGATTTCTTGCTGGTTGAATACCTCCCTCTCCACTCCCATCTTCAGGGTAAGCACCGTAAAGACGGGGATCTTTACGGGTTTTCCTCACTGACTTCTCCCAAAAGCTAAACCAGCGCCTGGAATATAAACATGTACATAATTTGCAGGTGTTAGTTTTAGCGTCCTTCCGGATTCATTTGTAACATTGGTCCCTTCCCTCACTAAGGTAATGTCTCAAGTACCACACTCATCAGAGCATGTGGAATGAATATCACAGTGGTAAAATTGAACTGAGGGCAATTAGCCGTAGAAAGAAAGAATTCCGCCCCCCCAACCTATTAAATATGCAATAAAACAGATAATTCTTAATCACCCATTGGTAGATTAATTTAATCGATAAAATTCCACTGAGGCTAGTCCTGTGTGAAAGCCCTACAGAGTGTTGAAAGCATCAACCAAATAGGCAATGTATATTAAGTTCCAGTAAACCTTTTACGGCAGTTTTATGTAAAATGTTAGAAATCACGCTCTCAACAATTGCATCTTGCGGTAGAAACTACAACAGTCTATTTAAATAACAACAGTCTATTAAAATGAGATACCATCTTACATACAGCTGGGAATGGGGAGGAGGGAGAAAAGCAACAGGACGAAAAGGAAAATTAAGAAATTGAAAGAGGGCCGTGCGCAGTGGCTTAGGCCTGTAATCCCAGCACTTTGGGAGGCTGAGGCGGGCAGATCACTGAGGTCAGGAGTTCGAGACCAGCCTGGCCAACATGGGGAAACCCTGTCTCTACTAAAAATACAAAGAAAATTAGCCGAGTGTGGTGACGCACGCTTGTAATCCCAGCTACCCGGGAGGCTGAGGCAGGAGAATCGCTTGAACCTGGGAGGTGGAAGTTGCAATGAGCCAAGATCACACCACTGCACTCCAGCCTGGGGGACAGAGCGAGAGTCTGTCTCAAAAAAATAAATAATAAATTGAAAGAGGAGAAGAAAGCTCCCCAGGCAACTTATTATAATTTCAGTACGAGAGAGACAAAACAACCCCTTAAAGTAGCATCACTTAATTATAGGTTCATAATCTCATTTGTAGCAATGCAGTATCTATGTGTGCCAAAGCCCAGAGAGGCAAACATGTAATTCCTTATGTGTGACACTATATACATATAAATATATCTCTGTCCTCTTGATTAAAAACAGACAAACATTCCCAAATTTTGCTATTTCAAAAGTTTATCCTGTGTGGATTTTGCAAATACAGACTGGTTTAAAATATTTTGAACAATCCAGGAAAAAAAATGAAGGTCTACTTTTATGGACAACACTACCACCTCCTGGCCTTATGGGATACTGCTGCCCATTGCACTTGGACAACTACAGCCAAACACATTTTTATCTTTGCCTTACCCACCAGTAAACAAGATAAATGGGTTAATAAACTGAGGAATCTATGAGCCATTAACCTGCTAACCCTGGCATAGAGCAGTAAATAAATCTTGAAGACAACAATACAGGGAAGGAGGAAGTGAGTAAAGGAAATCCAAACTTTATCTTTTAAAAGATGCATTCTTCTTTTTTTAGTCATCCCTCTAATCAATGGAAAAAGATGCATTTTTTTTTTTTTTTTAATTGAGACAGAGTCTCACCCTGTCTCCCAGGCTAGGGTCAGTGCCGCGATTTCAGCTCACTGCAACTTCCGCCTCCTGGGTTGAGATGATTCTCGTGCCTCGGCCTCCCGAGTAGCTGGGATTACAGGCACACGCTACCATGCCTGGCTAATTTTTGTATTTTTAGTAAAGACAGGGTTTTACCATGTTGGCCAGGCTGGTCTCAAACTCCTGACTTCAGTGGTCCACCCGCCTCAGCCTCCAAAAGCGCTGGGATTACAGGTGTGAGCCACTGTGCCCGGCCAAAAGATACATTCTTAAAAACAAATTTGCAACACTAGGATTTTCCTTGAGTGATGATTTTTTTTAACATATACACATTTTGAGAGGGAGACATTACTGCACTGTATCACAAGACAGTTATATCCAACAGAAGGGCTTTTTTTTTTATTGCCAAGTAACAATTCATGGTATGATATACTTAAATATTTTGCCTGTGTGAGCATATATGTAATTAAGTTGAGGAAAGATGACAAGTAGAATATTGTGTGATGTTTCTTCTCTACACAAAATAAAGGAAAATCTTTAAAATCCTAGCTGTCTTCTAAGTGTAGTTATACAACATGAACACTTGACTCTTTTTTGTATAAAGACTATAACTTACTAACTTCTAAATGATTTTCAGTACTCCTTAAAGTTTTGATAAGCTGGCCAGGCATGGTGGCTCACGCCTGTAATCCCAGCAGTTTGGGAGGCCGAGGCGGGCAGATCACCTGAGGTCAGGAGTTCGAGACCAGCCTGGCCAACATGGCAAAAACCTGTCTCTACTAAAAATACAAAAATTAGCTGGGCATGGTGGCAGGCACCTGTAATCCCAGCTACTCGGGAGGCTGAGGCAGGGGAATCACTTGAACCCGGGAGGCGGAGCGTGCAGTGAGCCGAGATCACGCCATTGCACCCCAGCCTGGGTGACAAGAGTGAGCCTTCATCTCAAAAAAGAAGAAAAAAAATTGATAAGCCTTACCGTCATCCATCATCACAACACTCTGAAAGTGACTGCTGACCACTCAAAGGCTACCAGCCATTGATATCTTCTCAGTGGAGTTCTAGCACCCCTGTGGAATAACAGCACTGTCCCATTTTCTCATTTTCAATTCAAATTCAAAGATTTGAGGCCAGGCGCAGTGGCTCATACCTGTAATCCCAACACTTTGGGAAGCCAACGCAGGCAGATCGCTTGAGGCCATGAGTTCGAGACCAGTCTGGCCAACATGGTGAAACCTCGTCTCTACTAAAAATGCAAAGAAAATTAGCCAGGCATGGTGATGCATGCCTGTAATCCCAGCTACTCGGGAGGCTGAGGCAGGAGAATCGCTTGAACCCAGGAAGTGGAGATTGCTGTGAGCCAAGATTGTACCACTGCACTCCAGCCAGGGTGACAGAGTGAGAGTCCGTCTCAAAGAGAAAAAAAAAAAATCCAAAGATTCAAATGCCTTTATGTTCAGGATATTTTGTTCCCAATTTCAGTCATTGATTGTATTTTTACTCTATGACTTCATATTTAAAATGTCTGAACAACTCAAATCAACATTTAAATGTCTTTTTCAAAGTGCTGTGAAGTCCATGTTACTCTGAATATGATTTTGTTTTGTTGATTTTGTTACTTTATTAAAAATTGAATCCTTGACTTTTTTTATATTTACTTCTTATTCTTGTAGAATAAGTGTACTTCATGCTTCATACTCTGGAGGTACTGGCTGTGCTGCTCTGAGTCTTTCAGGGAGCACCATCACTGTGCAGCCCAAGCTTTTCCCAGACACTTCTGGACAAGTGCTCCTAAGAGGCACATTCACCTAGAAAAGTGCACCAGAAAGGAAAAAAAAAAAACAGCATATTTTTTAATGTTGTAACCTAAATTTTCATTGCCCACAATTGTAATACCTTATACATCTGTAGTGCTATTTATACTTTCAAAATGTGCTCTTCAGTTATACAACTTGAAGGGTCAGATATTATTATTCCTATCTTACAGAAGAGAAAATACAGTCATAGGACAAAATACAGAAGCAGTAAATGAAACAGTTGGTACTGGAATTCAGGCCTCCTGACCAGCTCAGCTCTTTCTCCTACATTACAATGTCCATGTACACTCACAGAGAGCGAGAATAAAGTCCTGAGCCCGGCCATGGGGGCTCACACCTGTAATCCCAGCACTTTGGGAGGCTGAGGCAGGAGCATCATTTGAGCTCACAAGTTTGAGACCAGCCTGGGCAATGTGATGAAAATCCATCTCTACAAAAAATACAAAAAAGTAACCAGGCATGGTGGTGCACACCTATAATCCCAGCTGCTCGGAAGGCTGAGGCACAAGAATCGCTTGAGCCCAGGAGGCAGAGGCTGCAGTGAGCCGAGATCATGCCACTGCCCTCCAGCCTGGGCGATAGAGTGAGACCTTGTCTCAAAAAAAAGAAAAACATTTTTTTTGACGAAAAGTAGAGGATTGAGATAAAATGTGTGAACAATAGTGTATCAATGGGTTCATGAGAGACCCTGGAAAATACTAGGCTAAGCAATAATCACGTTTCACCTACTTAATGTGATTCTCCTTTAAGATAATTATTTTTAAACCATTATAAATGTATGACGTTCTGATCTGAATATAAGTGTAATTATTAGCTTCAACTAGTTAAGAAGATTTGACTTGGAAAAGACCTCATAAATATGAATTTTAGGCCAAGCCACTATTTTATGCTTATGGAAATTGGAGCCTGCAAATGTTAAGTGACTTACCCCAAATTACTGCTAGTTGGCCTGAGATAATTCAAATACATTTCCTATAACACAAACTTTCCAAATACTCTTTTATAGTCATATTACATAATTCTGATCAGATTTCAAACATTAGGACAAGCAGTAGCTTACTCCTTAATTCCAGTGGGAAATTAAAAACAAAATAAGGCCCAAAAATATATATTCTTTGAGACAGGCTCTTGAGGCCAAGGCTTGAGTCCAGTGGCATGATCTCAGCTCACTGCAATCTCCACCTCCTAGGTTCAAGCAGTCCTCCCACCTCAGCCTTCCAAGTAGCTGGGACCACAGGTGCACACGACCACACCGGCTAACTGTTGTACTTTTTTGCAGAGACGGGGTTTCACCATGTTGCCCAGGCTGGTCTGGAACTTCTGAGCTCAAGTAATCCACCCACCTCTTCCTCCCAAGGTGCTGGGATTACAGATGTGAGCCACCACAACCAGGCACAAAAATATCTTTATTTTGTAGCAAAGTTTGATGTTTGACAATAATTGCTTAAAAATGGAGAATTATCAATAAAATTTTAACCAGAGTTTTGTGTTGTGTAAATTAAAAATTTTCAGACTGAATCACACTTTGCTGATGAGACAATGCAAAAATGTTTTTTCAAGCCTCTATTATTTAATTTTTCCTGATTGATTGTGTGTATGTGTAGAGAGACAGAATCTCATTCTGCTGCCCAGGCTGGATGGAGTGCAGTGGTGCGATCATAGCTCACTGCAACCTCTAACTCCTGTGCTCAAAAGAATCCTCCCAGCTGGGCACAGTGGTTTATGCCTGTAATCCCAGCACTTTGGGAGGTTGAGGCAGGCAGATCACCTGAGGTTGGGAGTTCAAGACCAGCCTGACCAACATGGAGAAACCCTGTCTCTACTAAAAATACAAAATTAGCTAGGCATGGTGGTGCATGCCTGTAATCCCAGCTACTTAGGAGGCTGAGGCAAGAGAATCGCTTGAACCCGGAGGGGCGGTGGTTGCGGTGAGCCGAGATCGTGCCATTGCACTCCAGTCTGGGCAACCAGAGCGAAACTCCATCTCAAAAGAAAAAAGAGTCCTCCCACTTCAGCCTTCTGAATGGGCCGGGACTACAGGGATGTGCCACCACACCCCGCTAATTTTTTAAAACTTTTTGTAGGCCGGGCATGGTGGCTCACACCTATAATCCCAGCACTTTGAGAGGCCGAGAAGGGTGGATCACGAGGCCAGGAGATCGAGACCATCCTGGCTAACACGGTGAAACCTCTACTAAAAATACAAAATTAAAATACAAAAATTAGCCGGGCATGGTGGCATGTGCCTGTAGTCCCAGCTACTCAGGAGGCTGAGGCAGGAGAATTGCTTGAACCCGGGAGGCAGAGATCGCAGTGAGCCAAGATCACGCCATTGCACTCCAGCCTGGGTGACAGAGCGAGACTCCGTCTCAAAAAAAACAAAATTTGTAGAGAAGGGGTCTCGGTCTGCTGCCCAAGCTGGTCTCAAATTCCTGGGCTCAAGGGATCCTCCCGCCTTGGCCTCCCAAAGTGCTGGGATTACAGGTTTGAACCACTGTGCCTGGCTAATTTGTCCTGATCTTTTTTTTTTTTTTTTTTAAGACGGGGTCTTGCTCTGTCGCTCAGGCTGGAGTGCAGTGGTACAATCTCAGCTCAGTGCAACCTCTGCCTCCCAGGTTCAAGTGATTCTCCTGCCTCAGCCTCCTGAGTAGCTAGGATTACAGGCGCCCGTCACCATGCCCAGCTAACTTTTGTATTTTTAGTAGAGACAGGGTTTCACCACTTTGGCCAGGCTGGTCTCAAACTCCTGATCTCAAGTGATCCACCCACCTCAGCCTCCCAGAGTGCTGGCGTGAGCCACTGCACCCGATCTATCCTAATCTTTATTGAGAAAAGATGGCCCTTTCCTGTTGCTCAAAAAAGGTTTTTTTTTTCCCTGATGTACAGGTAGAGGTCTAGAGCTGCTCTTGGCTCTTTATGCATTCTACTTTGACCCTATGAGAACCTCATTTCTCTTCCAAGGTGAGCATGTAATCAACATAAAATATGACTTCCCTTTAATTCAACTAGATGTTTAATGAATTCAGCACATTCCAGATGTGCTAAAAAGCTGGTCTTTTAAGTTTTGCCTTAGTAATTTTTGTAGAAGGGTATAGGTAAAGGTATAGGCGTGGTGGTATGTGCCTGTGGTCCCAGCTACTCGGGAGGCTGAGGTGGGAGGATTGCTTGAGCCCAGGAGGTAGAGGTTGCAGTGAATCGAGTTCATGCCTTATATGTATACTTGTGCTTTTCCTTAGGATTTCCCCTGAACAGTTCTGTTAACCTGAATTCCTGTCCTCCTCATCTTTTGTATAAAGAGCCACTGATGGAACACTGTGTCTTTCCCTTATGTGCCATACCTGTTCATGCCTCTCAGGAACCAGAAGTGTAACCCTCGCTCCTACTCTCGACCTAGCAATCTAATCCTTCTTAAGAGATGTTGGAAGAAAAATTATTGACACTGAAATTCATAAAAACATGACATCCCAGAGCTTAACCTAAATTTATAAGAGAATGTTTTAAACAAACTTCTTAAAAATTTTTTTTTAATTTTTTTTGAGACAGAGTCTTGCTCTTGTCACCCAGACTGGAGTGCATTGGCACAATCTCTGCTTACTGCAACCTCTGCCTCCCAGGCTCATGCAGTTCTCCTGCCTCAGCCTCCCGAGTAGCTGCGATTACAGATCACGCCACCACACCCAGCTAATTTTTGTATTTTTAGTAGAGACAGGGTTTCACCATGTTGGCCAGGCTGGTCTTGAACGCCTGACCCCGTGATCTGCCCACCCTGGCCTCCCAAAGTGCTGGGATAACAGTCGTGAGCCACCGTGCCCGGCCCAACACAATTATTTTAATTGTATCAAAATTGTTCCTTTGTGGCTGGGCACAGTGGCTCATACTTGTGATCCCAGCATCTTGGGAGACTGAGACAGGAGGAATGCTTGATGCCAGAAGTTCAAGACCAGACTGAGCAACATAGCAAGAACTCATCTCTACAAAAAAAAAAAAAAAAAGTTTAAAATTAGCCAGTCATGGTGGCATACACCTATATTCCCAGCTACTTAAGAGGCTGAGGCAAGAGGATCACTTGAGCCCAGGAGTTCTAGGTTAAAAGTGAGCTGTGATCACACCCCTGCACTCTAGCCTGGGTGACAGAGTGAGACCCCCAGCTCAAAATAAAAAATTATTATCTTGCAAAGTTTGCTAAGTAATGGTCATTCTTCAACTGTGATATTGTCTTAATGCCATGGGCATTTTCAGGGTTAACAAAATTTTATGGTTTTTTTTTTTTTTTTTTTGTGAGGTAGGGTCTCCCTCTGTTGCCCAGGCTGGAGTGCATTGTGCAATCATGGCTCACTGAAGCCTCCTAACGTCCCGCCTCAATTGATCCTCCCACCTCAGCTTCTCAAATAGATGGGACTACAGGTGCACGCACCATGCCTGGTTGTTGTTGTTTTTGTTTTTGTATTTTTGGTAGAGACAGGGTTTCGCCACATTGCCCAAACTGGTCTCGAACTCCTCACTCAATTGATCTACCTGCCTTGGCCTCCTAAAGGGGTGGAATTACAGGCTTCAGTCACCACACCCGGCCAAAAAAAAAAAAACTTTTGAATTGATTTATTCTACCACATTTAGAACAACCTCTACTTTATCACAAACAAGCTATTTGATTCTTCCAATCAGGTTTATCAAAACTGAAGATTCCAATTTAACATCTTTAATCCAAACATCAGTTTTATTAATATATTGACAAAAAAAGTAAATCTTATTCATAATGAGTTTAAAATTAAAAATTCCATATATTACTGAAATTAAGCTAATATAAATCTCAATCTGATTCTGATAAATTAAGATGTATACGGAAAACAACAACAACCAAACAAAAATAAGATGTATATGGAAACCCTAAAGCAAACACTAAAAAACCCCTCAAAAATTAGTGATTAAAAAAAGAAAATATTGAAAATAGTGATAAAAATCATTAAATAAATTAAAATGTTAAATTAGAAAATATTATTTTGGGCTGGGCATGGTGGCTCACACCAGTAATCCCAACACTTTGGGAGGCTGAGTGAGGAGGATCGCTTGAGGCCATGAGTTTAAGACCTGTATTTGAGTGAGACCTTGTCTCTACAAAAAAATTTTAAAAGTTAGCTGAGTGTGGTGGTACATGCCTGTAGTCCCAGCTACTCTGGAGGCTGAGGCCAGAGGATCCGTTGAGCCCAGGTGTTCAAGGCTGCAGTGAGCTATGATCACACCACTGCACTCTATCCCCAAAGACAGAGTGAGACAGTCTCTTGAAATTAAGAAAATATAATATTCGGCCAGGCCGGGTGGCTCATGCCTGCAATCCCAGCACTTTGGGAGGCCAAGGCAGGTGGATCACAAGGTCAGGAATTCAAGACCAGCCTGGCCAACATGGTGAAACCCCCGTCTCTAGTAAAAATACAAAAATTAGCCGGGCGTGGTGGCACGTGCCTGTACTCCCAGCTACTCGGGAGGCTGAGGCAGGAGAATTGCTTGAATCTGGGAGGCAGAGGTTGCAGTGAACCAAGATCGTGCCACTGCACTCCAGCCTGGGTGACAGAGCAAGACTCTTTCTCAAAAAAAAAAAAAAAAAGAAAAGAAAAGAAAATATAATATTCACTTAACACAGAAGAAAGCAATAGACCTGCAGGTGCTTTCTGATCCTTTTTTTTTTTTTTTTTTTTTAAATAGAACAAGAAAGCAGTAAGGGAGAAACAAAGGGGGAAAAAAACACGAGGGAAAAGTAAAATGGCAAACACAAATCCAGCCACATCAATAATAACATTAAATGTGAATGGGGCTGGGTGCAGTGGCTCACGCCTGTAATCCCAGCACTTTGGGAGGCCGAGGCAGGCGTATCACCTGAGGTCAGGAGTTTGAAACCAGCCTGGCCAACATGGTGAGACCCTGTCCCTACGAAAAATACAAAAATTAGCCAGACATGTTGGTGCAGGCCTGTAATCCCAGCTATTTGGGAGGCTGAGGCAGGAAAATCACCTGAACCTGGGAGGTGGAGGTTGCATTGATCTGAGATTGCACCACTGCACTCCAGACTGGGCAACAGACTGAGACTCCAACCCTCCCCCAACTCCTCCCACCGCCACTGGCCAAAAAAAGTGGATGGAGGCTGGGTGCCGTCGCAGATGCCAATAATCTCAGCACTTTGGGAACCCGAGGTGGGCAGATCACTTGAGATCAGGAGTTTGAGACCAGCCTGCCAACAAGACAAAACCCTGTCCATACCCAAAAATACAAAAATTACAAAAATTAGCTGGGCATAGTGGTGTGC
Source organism: Homo sapiens (assembly GCF_000001405.40). Lineage (NCBI taxonomy): Eukaryota > Metazoa > Chordata > Mammalia > Primates > Hominidae > Homo > Homo sapiens. The sequence continues at coordinate 12,668,474 of NC_000018.10, forward strand.
ACCTGTGGTCCCAGCTATGGAGGCTAAGGCAGGAGAATCACTTGAACCCAGGAGGTAGAGGTTGCAGGGAGCCAAGATTGCACCACTGCACTCCAGCCTGGGAGACAGAGTAAGATTCCATCTCAAAAAAAAAAAAAAAAAAAAAAAAAAAAAAAATAGTGAATGTACTTAATCCAATCAAAAAGCTGAAACTGTTCAGACTGGATTAAAAAAAGAAGATTCAACTATGTGTTGTCTACCTAGCAAGATACACTTTATTCCTTTTTTTTTTTTTTTTTTTTTTGAGACAGAGTCTTGCTCTGTCACCCAGGCTGGAGTGTAGTGGAGAGCAATCTCGGCTCACTGCAGCCTTCGCCTCCCGGGTTTAAGCGATTCCCCTGCCTCAGCCTCCCAAGTAGCTGGGATTACAGGTGTGGGCTACTATGCCTGGCTAATTTTTGTATTTTTAGTAGAGACGGGGTTTCATCAAGTTGGCCAGGCTGGTCTTGAACTCCTGATCCAGGTGATCTGCCTGCCTCAGCCTCCCAATTACAGGCTTGAGCTACCGCACCCCCCGCACTTTTTTTTTTTTTTTTTTTTTTTTTTGAGACAGAGTTTCACTGTTTCCCAAGCTGGAGTGCAGTGGTGTGATCTCAGCTCACGGCAACCTCTTTTTTTTTGAGACAGAGTTTCACTGTTTCCCAAGCTGGAGTGCAGTGGTGTGATCTCAGCTCACGGCAACCTCCACCTCCCAGATTGAAGCGATTCTCCTGTCTCAGCCTCCCGAGTAGCTGGGAATACAGGCATGCGCCACCATGCCCAGCTAATTTTGTATTTTTACTAGAGACAGGGTTTCTCTATGTTGGTCAGGCTGGTCTCGAACTCCTGACCTCAGGTGATCCGCCCGCCTTGGCCTTCCAAAGTGCTGGGATTACAGGCATGAGCCACCGCGCCTGGCCCCAATTTTTTTTATTTTTCAGAGATGCCATCTCACTATGTTGACCAGGCTGTGCTCAAATTTTTATTCAATAGGTTCATGCTTGACTAATGAAAAATGAAGTTTCTGGTTTCTGATATTTTTCTATTAACTAAATAGACATATATAAAACTACATATATATAATATAGAGGGGACTGTTGGCATACATATTGTCAAGAACACCACCTTGGAGACATTATGTTTTTTAAACTTTACATTTTTAATTGAAAAACAACTTTTATGACAGCTAAATATACAAGGTAAATTTAATTCTTAAAAAGAAAAATTGGCGAGGCATGGTGGCTCACGCCTGTAATCCCAGCACTTTGGGAGGCCAAGGCGGGTGGATCACCTGAGGTCGGGAGTTTGAGACCCTCCTGACCAACATGCAGAAACCCTGTCTCTACTTAAAAAAAATTAGCCAAGTGTGGTGGCGCATGCCTGTAATCCCAGCTACTTGGGAGGCTGAGTCAGGAGAATCACTTGAACCCAGGAGGCGGAGGTTGCGGTGAGCCGAGATTGCACCATTGCACTCCAGCCTGGGCAACAAGAGCCAAACTGTCTCAAAAAAAAAAAGAAAAGAAAAAGAAAAAGAAAAATTATTAGTAAGAAGAATAGGCCAGGTGCGATGGTCCATGCCTGTAATCCCGGCACTTGGGGAGGCCAAGGCAGGTGGATTGCCTGAGCTCAGGAGTTCGCGACCAGCCTGGGCAACAAGGTGAAACCCCTCTCTAATAAAATACAAAAAAATTAGCTGGGCGTGGTAGCGTGTGCCTGTAGTCCCAGCTACTTGGGAGGCTGAGGCAGGAGAACTGCTTGAACCTGCGAGGTGGAGGTTGCAGTGAGCCAAGATTGTGCCACTGCACTCCAGCCTGGGCAACAGAGTGAGACTCTGTCTCAAAAAAAAAAGAAAAAAGAATAGCAGACTTCTAGTGGTAAATGCACTGAAATTACCTTATTAAGTCTTCAGAGAAAAATATTAATGCCAGACTCTATTGGTGCATAAAAAGCATATTTATTACAGAGTTTACACCAAAAGCACATTTGAAATACACGTTACTCTGGTACAATAAGGTGGGAAGCTCAGCCTCAATGTTAATACAGCCTTGATCTTAATATAGTCTGTCTCTTAGTACATACCTCATAGTTTGTCTCAAAAGTTGAAAATTACAAGCAATTTTCTGTTGATAGCTTTTTTTGTAATTTTGGCAAAAGAGTGGTTTTTTTTAACTTTTTTAAAAAGTTTTTTTTTTCTTTGAGATAGGGTCTTGCTCTGTCACCCAGGCTGGAGTGCAGTGGCACAATCTTTTGGGCTCAAGTGATTCACCCACCTCAGCCTCCCAAGCAGCTGGGACCACAGGTGTGCACGATCACGCCCTGCTAATTTTTTACATTTTTTGTAGAGAGGGGTTCTTGCTATGTTGCCCAGGCTGGTCTTAAACTCCTGAACCCAAGAGATTCTCCTGCCTCAGCCTCCCAGAGTACTGGAATTATAGGTGTGAACCACTATGCTTTAAAAAAAGCTTCAATTATTATTTTGCTAATTTTCTACAGTCATGTCAGTCTCACAAGAAACATCTGATTACCATTTTTGATGAAAATTGTAGAAGAGGGATCATAATATTTCAGACTTTTTAAACAAATTGAATATTTATTATACATAAAAATAAAACAAAGTAGATTTATTCTTTTAGAGAAATAGGGGGGGGTCTCTCTATGCTCCCAGGCTGGTCTTGAGCTACTTCTTGGGCCATCCTCTGGCCGCAGCCTCCAAAAGTGCTGGGATTATAGGTGTGAGCCATCACACCTGGCCCAAAAAGTAAATTTTAAGACACTTTTAGATTTTAATTTTCGAAAAACGAAATCATTTTATTTGTAGGGGTGAATTAAAGTGATTAAAAGAATTAATAACTTGGATAGCCAACTGGTATAGAGTTACTTTCTTAAGACCAATGGATAAAGCAACTAAATTAAGAACTACACATATCAGAGTGAACAAAGATTCTTTGAAAAAATAAAAAACTTAAAAAAAATGAAAAGAACTATGCACAGAAGTGCTAAATGGGCAATCAAACCCCTCATATCATGTATTATGCAGCTTCTTGCAAAAAGTTGAATTGCTACTCTTTTTAAAGTTTACTTTTGTTCACTTAACACTTTTTTTAATATATAAAATTTTAAAATAAGTTGAGGAATCAGGTTTCACACTTTCTTTTTTTTTTTTTTTTTTTTTTTTGAGACAGAGTCTTGCTCTGTCACCCAGGCTGGAATGCAGTGACGCGATCTTAGCTCACCACCTCTGTGGACTCAAGCGATCCTTCCGCCTCAGACTCCCGAGTAGCTTGGATTATGGGTGTGTGACACCATGCCTAGCTACTTAAAATTAACTTATAAAAAACATTTTTTTTGAGATGGAGTATTGCTCTGTTGCCCACGCTGGAGTACAGTGGCATGATCTTGGCTCATCACAACCTCCGCCTCCCAGGTTCAAGCGATTCTCCTGCCTCAGTCTCCTGAGTAGCTAGACTACAGGCACATGCCACCATGCCCAGCTAATTTTTGTATCTTTAGTAGAGACAGGGTTTCACTGTGTTGGCCAGGCTGGTCTTGAACCCCTGACCTCGTGATCCACCCACATCAGCCTCCCAAAGTGCTGGCATTACAGGTGTGAGCCACCATGCCTGGCCCTTTTTTTTTTTTCTGAGATGCAGTCTCGCTCTGCCTCCCATGCTGGAGTGCAGTGGCGCGATCTCACCTCACTGCAACCTCTGCCTCCCAGGTTCAAGCGATTCTCCTGCCTCAGCCTCCTGAGTAGCTGGGATTACAGGTGTGAGCCACCGCACCCGGCCTAATTTTCGTATTTTTAGTAGAGACAGGGTTTCACCATGTTGCCCAGGCTGGTCACGAACTCCTGACCTCAAGTGATCCACCCACCTCGGCCTCCCAAAGTGCTGGGATTACAGGCATAAACCACTACGCCGAGCCTTACAAAATTTTTAAAACGTGCTCAATTTTAAAACAAAAATCAGTATGGAATCACTCACATATGCTTGTTTTCAGTGGTCTCACACAATCAATCTCTTATTTAGATTAGTCACATATATGCTGATTTTTTTATCACAATGAAAGAAAAAAGGGTTTCAGAAGATAGAATCCATGAAGAGGCTAATAATGAATCCTCTGACCACAGAAAATCAGTGATCGACTGCAAGATCACAATTTATCAGTATCATAACAAAGAGGTATAATAAAGTTTTTCTAAAATACCCAATTCATTTTTACAACAAATCACAGTGATAAATATTTCTAAATGATTCATGTACTTTCATATGAGGTTATTAATATTTATGCTTTTCTGGTATTAGTTTTTTCCTACTCTTGCTTCAAGGTCCAACCATAAATTTCTGGACAGTCTCAAATATCCCAAGGACCACGAATAAACCACAAAAGTGGTAATTCATTAACATTTATTTTCACCAATGCAATAAATAAATCTGTCATGAGGTTAATTTCTCCTAATCTGTATAAAATAATTCCATTAACCTGTGAAAAGTAATGATCATACTGATTTGTCTAGGGCTCAAACCCTTAGACAAACATCTCTTTGATTACCTGTTTGTGTAAAGAAAACTGAATGCATTTTATATTAATATTTAAACTACTGATAACTGTAAACAAAGTAGCATTTATTAAAATAGAATATACACTTAATTTATACTAAATTCCAGGGAGATTTATACAAGTTTTTCAGCCTTAATTTTTAAAGGAATGCATGATTTTTTTTAAACATTACCAGTCAAGTATATACAAAATTGAAGTATGCCATTCAAGCCAGATTGTGATTTTAAAATAACAAACCTCTAAATAGCTAAGTAATGTACAATGTGTAAAATTCCAATTAAACACAGGTATAAATCTTATATAAATATTGGCCCTATAATACCGAGCGATATTTACAAGCAAACATGATCCAAACAGCACATGCAGATTCAGGGTAAGTAAATACTCGGACACGAACTGCCAGTCGCACTTGGTCTCCACGGCAACAGATTATTTCTTCACAGAAAGGAGATCTATTTAAGAAAAAAAAAATTATTCAATTAAGAAGTGACCATACACTTTAATTCCTTATTTGCAAGTAAATCAGTATTTAAAATAATTTTTTCAGGCTAGGCGTGGTGGCTCATGCCTGTAATCCCAGCACTTTGGGAGGCCGAGACAGGTGGATCACCTGAGGTCAGGAGTTCAAGACCAGCTTGGCCAACATAGTGAAACCCCGCCTCTACTAAAAATTACAAAAATTAGCCGCGTGTGGTGGCGGGCGTCTGTAATCCCAGCTACTTGGGAGGCTGAGGCAGGAGAATCGCTTGAATCCAGGAGGCAGAGGTTGCAGTGAGCCAAGAATGTGCCACTGCACTACAGCCTGGGCGACAGACTGAGACTCCATCTCAAAAATAAATAAATAAAATAATTTTTTCAAATTCTGTCTCTGCTATCAAAGACACTGTAATTTTGGTCAAGCTATTCAAATTATAGACTATTTCCTTATAGTCCAAACAAAATCAGAGATACCTGAGACTGCACCAAAATCACTGGGCAAATAATCCCAGACTATCTAGGGCTACATTTCAGACCAAATGAATCAAAATCTGTGGCAAGGAGGGTCAGTCATTGTAAAAGCTCCCATATGACTTGGATGTCATTTCTAAATAACTACCAGATTAGGCTGGGTGCAACGGCTCACACCTGTAATCCCAGCAATTTGGGAGGCTGAGGTGGGAAGACTGCTTGAGCCCAGGAGTTCAAGACCAGCCTGGGCAACATAGGAAGACCCCCATCTCTACAAAATAAAGATAAAAAAAATAGCCAGGTATGGTGGCACATGCCTGTGGTCCCAGTTGCCTGGGAGGGTGAGGTGGAAGGGTCACTTGGGCCCAGGAGGTCAAGGCTACAGTGAGCCATAACTGTGCCACTGTACTCCAGCATGGGCAGCAGAGCAAGACCTTGAGTTAAAAAAAAAAAAAAAAGGAAATTAAAAAAACCCCTGCCGGACTGATCTGTAAGACTCCTAAACTGAAAAAATGATTCCGTAAATTACACCTTACCGAAGACATGTGGCAAATGCACGTCTTGCATTTCTATACACAAAATGTATTGGGAACCCTTTAAATGTGTGACCATCAGGTACAGCCCTTCTTATGGCATCTTGAAATTCTTCATTGCCTGCTGATATACTTGTTGTACGCTCAAATTCATAAGAAGCCAAAGCTGGTGATAAAAGGTAGGAGAGCTGGTCTTCCCAAACAGTAGTGAGGCCAAGATCCTATGAGCAATCAAGAGAAAAAGAAAAAGTGAAATACATTAATATTTTTAAAACCAACTAAATAAAAATGTTGATTATTTTAATGTATACCAAGAAAAGATTTTTAAAAGCTATCATAATATTTTAATAATAATAATTATAGGGATACATAGAAATAAAAATCAGATAAAAGGAACTATAGGTGATCAGATTTTACTTTTTAGAGAAACAACCAAAAAACATTCAAAACAATGTTCACAAAGTCTCCAAATCCTGTACTTCTCTAATATCTACTACAAAATACTATATGAAATAGTCCTAATATGGAGGACAGGTATAATTCTTATATTTTGAGATATTTTACTTAACTTTAAAGAGTTTAGGCCGGGTGCGGTGGCTCACGCCTGTAATCCCAGCAGTTTGGGAGGCTGAGGTGGGCGGATCATGAGGTCAGGAGATTGAGACCATCCTGGCTAACAAGGTGAAACCCTGTATCTACTAAAAATACAAAAAATGAGTTGGGCGTGGTGGCGGGTGCATGTAGTCCCAGCTACTTGGGAGGCTGAGGCAGGAGAATGGTATGAATCCGGGAGGCAGAGCTTGCAGTGAGCCGAGATCGTGCCACTGCACTCCAGCCTGGGCAACAGAGCGAGACTCTGTCTCAAAAAAAATAAATAAATAAAATAAATAAAAAAGAGTTTAGTAAGAATGAATCTGTTTACTAAAGACTGACTCTTCCTACCATAAACTCAACTACAGAGGTGAGAAAAGTCAACAAATTAATTCTATGTGATTAAACAAATATTTACTGAACATGTACTCTATAAAACTTATATACTGTAAGAGATAAAAAGATGAAGACATTTTATAGGCCCTTAGGGAGCTTAAAACATATTTCTATGGAATGTTAAAAACAACATGATTCCATTTATTTTTTATTTTTTTAAATTTTTTGAGACAGAGTCTTACTCTGTTGCCCAGGCTGGAATGCAGTGGCGCGATCTCGGCTCACTGCAACCTCTGCCTCCCAGGTTCAAGCGATTCTCCTGCCTCAGACTCCTGAGTAGCTGGGACTACAGACACCTGCCACCATGCCCGGCTAATTTTTGTATTTTTAGTAGAGACGGGCTTTCACCATGTTGGCCAGGCTGGTCTCAAACTCCTGACCTCAAGTGATCCACCCACCTCGGCCTCCCAAAGTGCTGGGATTACAGGCATAAGCCACCGTGCCCAGCCCATGATTCCATTTATAACACCAAAAGACCTATTGATATCTGGACACATGAAGTTAAAAATAATAATATTACAAATACAAAAAATTCTCAAAATTCTAGATATTTTGATTATCATAATGGATCTTTGGTATTTCCTCATTTTATATTCAAGGTTTTAACTCATCACAAATGGTCTCAAAGATCCACGATTAACAATGCTTTTCCTGCGGCAAAATGTGAACTTTTGCTGATTTACAGGCACCTTAACTTAAATAGTGATCAACACTGGCATCTATCACAGCTTTGTTTTCTTTTTCTGTAAACAGTAATTCCTTTTTTTTTTTTTTTTTTTTTTGAGACAGGGTCTTACTCTGTCACCCAGGCTGGAGTGCAGTGGCACAATCTCGGCTCACTGCAACCTCTGCCTCCCCGGCTCCTTTCACCTCAGCCTCCGAGTATCTGGGACTACAGGCATGCACCACCACACCCGGCTAATTTTTGTACTTTTTGTAGAGATAGGGTCTCACCACGTTGCCCAGGCTGGTCTTGAACTCCTGAGCTCAAGCAATCCACCCATCTCAGCCTCCCAAACTGCTGGGATTACAGGCGTGAGACACTGTGCCTGGCCAAAAGTAATTTTTATAAGATATTGCTTTTATTTGTAAGCAGAACCTAAGAAAAGAAAGCTAAAGCCAATACAAGTGATGGAAGGAAAGAAAAAGTAATAAGGGGCATTCATTTCCAGCAATATAATGGACCAGAGGTCCCCTGACCAACTTTTGCTGAAAACATATTACAAATGCCAGGTTTTCCAAAATGTATGTTTAAATGCTTTGATAAGTTGACAAGTGAATAAGAAATATTTAGAGGCCAAAGCTAAGAGTAACTGGGAACCCAGAGAACATGTTTGATAAATCAGTTTGCCTTTGATAGCCCCAAAGAACACAGAAAACAGGGCTCACCCAAGGTGAGGAGTGGAACAGGGAACCCTAAAAGGTGAATCAGAAATATTTTGTAGGCATTTTGGATTCTAGTCCTTTGTTGGTGATATGTGTTACAAACAACTTTTCCCACCCCACAGCTTCAATCTCTTAATGTCTTCTCTTGATGAGCTTAAGTCTTTAAGATACATTAATCTTTTCCTTTATGACTAATACTTTTTATGTCTTCTTAAAAGCACTTTACAAAGGAAATCTACATGCTATTTGACAAGAGGCTTGATCTGGCTGGGCGCAGTGGCTCACAACTGTAATCCCAGCACTTTGGGAGGCTGAGGCAGGTAGATCACTTCGAGATCAGCCTGGCCAACATGGTGAAACCCTATCTCTACAAAAAATACAAAAACTGGCAGCGTGGTAGCACATGTCTATAATCCCAGTTATTCAGGAGGCTGAGGCAGGAGAATTGCTTAAACCTGGGAGGTAGAGGTTGCAGTGAACCAAGATCACGCCACTGTGCCAAGATCACGCCACTGCGCTCCAGCCTGGGTGACAGAGCGAGAGATTCCATCTCAAAAAAAAAAAAAAAAAAAAAAAAAAGAGGTTTGATCTCAAAAGTAATCAGGGAAATGCAAATTAAAGCCAGACGTCTACCCAGTTGAGTACAACATGAAAACAAACAGAAACCAACCTGGGGAGAAAAATGAATATGAAAAAAGTATAACCCAGTATACATATTTTTTCTTTAAAAAATAATAGAGATGATGTTTCACCATATTCCCCAGGCTGGTCTTGAACTCCTGGGCTCAAGCGATCCACCCACCTCAGCCTCCCAAAGTGCTGGGGTTATAGGCATGAGCCATCAAGCCCAGCCTAACCCAGGATTTTTTAAGGGGCAAATATGTGAATAAGCATTTCACAAAGACAAAATCCAAATAGTGGTATTCAGCAAAAATCTTGACTCTAAGGGATGTGAACAAGTTCACCATTCTTCATTTCTAGGAGGAAGTAATTCATTCTATAAGTATTAATTAATTTGAAGATTTTTGAGTCTCAGAACTTGAACTCTCATGACTTTCAAAATTATAAGCTTCATAATAGTAGGGACTGTAGTTGTTTTGTTCAGGGCTAGAATAGTGACTGGCACTATCACACACACCAAAAAACAGTTAAATACATAAATGAAAAGAAGTATGAAACTACAACTATTTCAGTGTGAATTACCTTCCTGTGTTCTGACACCAGGAGCCTCAGCTGCATTTCAATTTCATTACTTGTTACTGACGCGTCAATTGTGGATGCACACAGAGGTGGAAAGGGAGGAAGGGATGTTGTAGCTCCAGGAGCACACACAGATTTAATTGCTTCCTCACTCATGGGTTTCCATTTGGATTCATCGTTCAAATCAAATACACAGGTTTCTACTGCATCAGAGGGTTGACAATTTCCCAGGAACATCTGATGGTTGAAAACACAACCAATTGTTCGATATGGGTACAGTGGTTTGGGCTGTTCAGCAACTGGAGGTTCATCAGGATTGGTAGGTTTATGGATGTACCTAAAAAAATTAAATAATTTTATATATGAGAACTTAAAAATTAAAAAGGCAGCATCTTACTGAGAAAATTATTCTAACACTTAAGGCCATAACTACTTCTCAGAACTACAGTTTAATACTTGTTTTTCTTTTTTATATTTCCACAATTTGATTACTCTGTATTAATTGTATGGTACGTCTTTACAATATTGAAACCAACTCTGTTAACAACAGAATACATTCTATGTATACTGTTAAGATCAAAGGCCGGATGCGGTAGTCCCAGCACTTTGGGAGGCCGAGGCAGGGGGATCACCTGAGGTCAAGAGTTCGAGACTAACCTGACCAACATGGTGAAACCCCGTCTCTGCTAAAAATACAAAAATTAGCTGGGCATGGGAGCACGTGCCTGTAGTCCCAGCTACTCGGGAGGCTAAGCCAGGAGAATTGCTTGAACCCGGGAGGCGGAGGCTGCAGTGAGCCGTCCAGCCTGAGCAACAAGGGCGAAACTCCATCTCCAAGAAAAAAAAATAAAAATAAAAAAAGTTTGCCTCAGATAACATAATTAAAATAATTTGGTTATGCATTTTTAGGCACAACTAACCAAAACATTATTAGGCATGATTATCAACCAGGGAGAAAGAGGACTCGGGAATGAAAAGAGGGCCCAGGGCTGGGCCTCTAGAACACACACATTTAAAGACAAGATGAAGGAAAAACTAAGAACAGCCAGAGAGGAATAATAAATATTGAAAGACAATGATAAAAAAGAAGCTAAGGAAAGAGAATGTTCCATGAAGAAAGAAGTGAGACAGCCAGGTGGAAAGGGGTCCCCAGAGAAACTCCAACCAGCCTGTGCACTGGGAGGAGTGCACACTGGGGAGAAGCCACAGAAGTTCGAGCAATTTGCAGTGGGGAGGAGCTTGGCCCCTCCTCTTCCTGAGTGGAAGCTGGAATTCAATCTGCGAGGCAGGAAGCACACTAGCAGGCAGGAAGCACACTAGCAGGCACGAAGCACACTAGCAGGCACTCTGGCTTTGTGGAGCGTCCGTTTCCCAGTGTTTTTCCTTTTTGTTCAATAAATTCCATTTTTCTCCCCCTTCAAATTGCCTGCGAGCCTAATTTTTCGTGGCCATGTGACAAGGACTCAGCTCTTAGCTGAACTAAGGAAGAAGTCCTACAACAGAAGTACTCAGCTGTTTCAAAATCTAATGACAGGCTAAAGTACTTTAAAAAATGTGTCCAGTGGATTTGCCAACGTGGAGATGGTAACCACATCAAATTTTAAAAAGAAATCATCATTTACAACTTGAACTTATTTTCAGACTTAGGTATGATCATCAGAAAAAAACATATGCCAGCCAGGTGTGGTGGCTCATGCCTATAATCTCAGCACTTTGGAAGGCCGTGGCAGGTAGACTGCTTGAGCCCAGGAGTTCAAGACCAGCCTAGACAACACAGCAAAAGCTCATCCCTACAAAAAAATTAGCTAGGCATGGCTGTGCACACCTGCAGTCCCAGCTACGCAAGAGGCTGAGGTAGGAGGACCACCAGAACCCAGGAGGGGGAGGCTGCAGTGGGCTGTGACTGTGCCACTGCACTCCAGCCTGAGCAACAGAATGAGACACTGCAAAAAAAAAAAAAGAGAAAACTGAAAAAAAAATATGCTAATCATACAAAACTAGTAAACATAATTTACTGTTTACCAACATCATGTTGGTAAAGAATATTTGAGGTAAAAGTTTTCTTAGAGTTCATTTACTTGGCTGCCATAATTGAAGTACTTTTTTACATAATCACTGAAAAGGCTCTAACTAAAATCATCAACACGTACCTTCAAGTACCATCAATATGGACAAAAAACCCTTATAATTTAAAATACTTATAACTTAAGCCGGACACAGTGGCTCACGCCTGTAATCCCAGCACTTTGGGAGGCTGAGGTAGGTGGATCACCTAAGGTCAGGAGTTCGAGACCAGCCTGGCTAACATGGTGAAAACTTGTCTCTACTAAAAATACAAAAATCAGCCAGGTGCGGTGGCACATGCCTGTAATCCCAGCTACTTGGGAGGCTGAGACAGGAGAATCGGCTTGAACCTGGGAGGTGGAGGTTGCAGTGAGCTGAGATTGTGCCAGTGCACTCCAGCCTGGGCGACAGAGCGAGACTCCATCTCAAAAAAAAAAAAAAAAAAAAACTTATAACTTCATTTTAATATCCTTATAAACTTAGTAAACTAACCTGTGTCCTGTTAAACTCTCCCAAAAAGTGATGGCCCCATCAGTTCCACAAGTCATAACCCATGCATGAGGTACTCCTTTTGCCTTGGTCCCAACACAAACAAAGGCTTCTAATCCATATCCAAGAAGAAGGCTGCACAGAAGGTTAGCGTGATCTTCACAGTCACCCTGGAAGATAAATTAAAATGAAGTATTCATTCTTCCATATTATTTCCTCATTACATACTTAAATACTAAATTATAATAAAAATTTATTGGCTGGGCACAGTGGCTCACGCCTGTAATCCCAACACTTTGGGAGGCCAAGGCGGGTGGATCACATGACGTCAGGAGTTCAAGACCAGCCTGGCCAACATAAGGAAACTCTGTCTCTACTAAAAATACAAAAATTAGCCGGGTGTGGTAGCACACACCATTAGTCCCAGCTACTCAGGAGGCGAGGCAAGAGAATCACGTGAACTTGGGAGGCGGAGGTTGCAGTGAGCTACAATCGCGCCACTGCATTCCAGCCTCAGCAACAGAGTAAGACTCTGTTTCCAAAAAAAAAAAAAAATGTTTATAAAGAACTCACACAACACAGAAAGAAAAGTAGAACATTTTTTTTTTTTTTTTTTTTTGAGACAGGGTCTTCCTCTGTCACCCAGGCTGGTGACATGATTCATAGCAGCCTTGACCTCCTGGGCTTAAGTGATTTCCCCATCTCAGCCTCCCAAGTAGCTGGGACTAAAGGTGTGCACCATGACACCTAGCTAATTTTAAAATTTTTTTTGTATAAACAGGGGTCTTACTGTGTTACCCAGGCTGCTCTTGAACTCCTGGGCTCAAGTGATCCTCCTGCCTCAGCCTCCCAAAGTGTTGGGATTACAGGCATGAGCTCCTGTGCCCAGCCTGGAATATTTTAATAGATTAATAGCTGAAGTACATGAACAAACAAGCAAACAAGTCATACAGCAAGAAATGCAAATAAATGGAAAACACTCAACCAATGACTGATAGTATCTATATGTGATAATTTCAAGAAAATACATACATAAGAAAAATGACTGGCAAGAACAACAACAAAATGCCAACAATGGTTATTACTGGGGAGGTTATATATAATTTTCCACTCTTTTTCCAGATTTTCTTTGGTTATATTACTTTCAATTTTAAAAAGTTATAAAGACCTATAAAAAAATAGAAAATATTAGCTGGGTATGGTGGTGTGTGCCTGTAATCCCAGCTACTCAGGAGGCTGAGGCAGGAGAATCGCTTGAACCTGGGAGGCAGAGATTGCAGTGAGCTGAGATCGTGCCACTGCACTCCAGCCTGGACAACAGAGTGAGACTCTGTCTCTAAAAAAAAAAAGAAAAAAAGAAAAGAAAATATCTGATACTGTGTTCTGTGAAAAAAATTACCAAGATATTAAACACTATGGTTACAATTTCGTATTTAAGTGTAGGAAGACTACACGCGAAAGCAAAAATAACTATTTGAGTTGAGTGTCCGAATGAAGAAATTTCTTTTTTTTTTCCTCTCTTTTGAGATAGGGTCTAGTTCTGACACCCAGGCTGGAGTGCAGTGGCATGATCTCAGCTCAATGCTGCCTTGACGTCCTCAGCTCACTGCAGCCTTGATGTCCCCAGCTCAAGTGATTCCCCCGCCTCAGCCTCCTGAATAGCTGGGACCACAGGCACTCATCACCAGGCCCAGCTATTTTTTGTGTTTTTGTAGAGACAAGGTTTCACCAAGTTGCCCTGGCTGGTCTCGAATTCCTGGACTCAAGCAATCCGCTTGCCTCAGCCTCCCAAAGTGCTGGGACTACAGGCATGAGCCACCTTACCTGGCCAAGAAATTTCTTTCTCCAAAAAATTGGATTTGGTGGTGCTAAAGTTTTTTAAAAAAAATTAACTGTAAGAAAACAAATAGCATTTTATAGTTCTTCAAGTGGCTTTACAAAAATGTAATAACCAATCTTTTATTTTTTAATTTACTTTTTTCTTTTTTGAGACAGAGTCTCGCTCTGTCACCCAGGCTGGAATGCAGTGGCATGACCTCGGCTCACTACAACCTCCTCCTCCCGGGTTCCAATGATTCTCAGCCTCCTGAGTAGCTAGGACTACAGGCGTGCACCACCACACCCAGCTAATTTTTGTATTTTTAGTAGAGAGAGAGTTTCATCATGTTGGCCAGGTTGGTCTTGAACTCCTGACCTCAAGTGATCCACCCACCTCGGCCTCCCAAAGTGCTGCGATTACAGGCATGAGCCACTGCGCCTGGCTTAATCAACCTTTTAGACCCAATTATTTCTGAGATTTTGTCCTAAAGAAAATTCAGAAGTAAAATAAAAATATCTGCAAAGATAGTCAGTGTGAAAGTTCATTCATGGCAACATTAAAAAATTTAAAATGAGCTTAACTTTATGGCCAGGTGTGCCAGCTTTTGCCTGTAATCTCAGCACTTTGGGAGGCTGAAGCGGGCAGATCACTTGAGGCCAGGAGTTTGAGACCACCCTGGCCAAGAAACCCCATCTCTACTAAAAATACCAAAAAAAAAAAAAAAAAAGCCAGGCATGGTGGCTCCATGCCTGTAGTCCCAGCTACTCAGGAGGCTGAGGTAGGAGAATTGCTTGAGGCTGGGAGGCGGAGGTTGCAGTGAGTCGAGATCGTGACACTGCACTCCAGCCTGGGCGACAGAGCGAGACCCCGTCCTAAACAAAAACAAAAGAAAACAACAACAACAAAACCACTGAATAAAAAAAAAAGAGCCTAACTTGGCAGTTCCTACAATAGGGAAATAGTTAAATGTATTTTGTATATTGACTCAAGGAAACTTAAAACACTCATTAAAAAACGGAAATCAGCACTTTAGGAGGCAGAGGCGGGCAGATCACCTAACGTCAGGAGTTCGAGACCAGCCTAGCCAACACAGTGAAACCCCATCTCTACTAAAAATACAAAAATGAGCTGGGGGTGGTGGCGGGCACCTGTAATCCCAGCTACTAGGGAGGCTGAGGCAGGAGAATCGCTTGAACCCAGGAGACGGAGGTTGCAGTGGGCCGAGATCATGCCATTGCACTCCAGCCTGGGCGACAAGAGGAAAACTCTGTCTCATTTAAAAAAAAAAGGAAATCAGAAAGACTGTAGCAACACATAGAAAAATGTTCATAGCATAATGCTTAATTATAAAGCAAGATACAAAAATTTATTTACAATTATAATTATGAAATAAATGATACATATACAGCAGAAAAAATATAAAAAGAAATAATAAACTAGGAATAGAATTATAGGTAAAGTTTCACCATTACTGTTGTAATGCTGTTGTTTGTACAGTAAAAAATCTAAATATATATATGATATATATCATATATATGATATCATATATATATGTATTTTTTTTTGAGACAGAGTCTTGCTCTGTCGTCCAGTTTGGAGTGCAGTGGCGCGATCTCAGCTCACTGCAACCTCCACCTCATGGGTTCAAGTGATTCTCCTTTTTTTGTGTTTTTAGTAGAGATGGGGTTTCACCGTATCAGCAAGGATGATCTCGATCTCCTGACCGTGTGATCCGCCCGCCTCAGCCTCCCAAAGTGCTGGGATTGCAGGCGTGAGCCACCACACCTGGCCCATGCCTGGGTAATTTTTATAGTTTTTTAGAGAGAGGGATTTTGCCATGTTGCCCAGGTTTGTCTGGAACTTCTGGGCTCAAGTGATTTGCCCACCTTGGCCTACCCAAGTGCTGGAATTGCGGGCATGAGCCACCATGCCTGGCCTGCTGTCACCTTTATTTATTTTTTTTGAGACAGAGTCTCGCTCTGTCACCCAGGCTAAAGATAGTTTTTTGTTTTTTTTTTTTGAGATGGAGTTTTGCTCTTATTGCCCACACTGGAGTGCGATGGCGTGATCTCGGCTCACTGCAACCTCCACCTCCCAGGTTCAAGTGATTCTCCTGCCTCAGCCTCCCAAGTAGCTGGGATTACAGGAGCCCGCCACCATGGCTGGCTAATTTTTGTATTTTTTCAGTAGAGATGGAGTTTCTCCATGTTAGCCAGGCTGTTCTAGAACTCCCGACCACAGGTGATCCACCCTCCCCGGCCTCCCAAAGTGCTGGGATTACAGGCGTGAGCCACCGCGCCTGGCCTAAAGATAGTTTTACTTGTTTGTTATCATACTATCAACATTTTTAGAACACAGATTAGGAAATATCCCATAATCTATAAAATTAGTTTACTAAAATCAAGTCATTCAAAAAGTGTAATTAAATATACATTTGTATTTAAATACAAACTAAACAAACTAAATAGCATGCAATTCAAGATTTTTTTCTATTTTAATATTTTTTCTATATTAATTTTGTACTGCCATTTTCTCTTTTTTTTTTATGGAGTTTCGCTCGTTGCCCAGGCTGGAGTGCAATGGCGCGATCTCAGCTCACCACAACCTCCGCCTCCCAGGTTCAAGCAATTCTCCTGCCTCAGCCTCCTCAGTAGCTAAGATTACAGGCACGTGCCACCACACCACGCTAATTTTGTACTTTTAGTGGAGACGGAGTTTCTCCACGTTGGTCAGACTGGTCTTGAACTCCTGACCTCAGGTGATCCACCCACCTCTGCCTCCCAAAGTGCTGGGATTACAGGCATGAGCCACCACGCCCAGCCTTATTTTCTCTTTTTTAAAGATGTATTATCTGAGCAAATTGCAACACATCAGTAGTACCAGAAAGCCATGGTCTGGTCCTGGTGCTGTTCCTAATTCATTCTGCAACTTGATTTCTGACATTTTAGTACTTGTAGGTCCCTACATCACAGAAATCACAATAAATAAGAAACTACATGAGAAAATAAAGATGCTGAGTTTTTTGTGTATTGATATTTAAATGTTATGAAAAACAGAACAAGGTTCTGACGTGGTCAAGCTGATAGCACCCCAAAGCGGTTAGTTCCAGGACCCTTGCAAAACAAAATCCGTGGATACTCAAGGCTTATATAAAATAGTATTTTTTTTTTTTTTGAGACGTGTCTTGCTCTGTCCTCAGGCTAGAGTGCAATGGTGCGATCTCAGCTCACTGCAACCTCCGCCTCCAGGGTCCAAGTGATTCTCCTGCCTCAGCCTCCTGAGTAGCTGGGATTACAGGCACACGACACCATGCCCAGATAATTTTTTGTATTTTAGTAGAGATAGGGTTTCACCATGTTGCCCAGACTGGTCTTGAACTCCTGACCTCAGGTGATCCACCTGCCTCAGCCTCCCAAAATGCTGGGATACAGGCATGAGCCACTGCGGCCAGCCAAAATGGTATAGTATTTTATATATAACCTAAGCACATCCTCCTATATACTTTAAATCACCTCTAAATTGTTTAAAAATCTCAATACAATGTAAATGCTACATAAACGTTGTTACACACCATTTTTTAATTTGTACTATTTTTTATTATTGTAATTTTTTACTTTTGTAAGTATTTTTGATCTGCAGTTGGTTGAATCTACAGATACAGAACCTGTGGGTACAGAGGGTTGACTATATGTGCATTTTTCTAAGGCATTCTTTTACAAATGGATTACAAATTCAGAGTAACTATGATATACTGCTACTTAATTCTATTATGTGTGTATAATACCTTGTTTCTACAGAGAAAGGCCAGCAGAGTGCACCACTGCTCCTGTTTACCTCCTCCTCCAATAACAGGGGCTCGTTCATAACCAAGGACATTAACAAATCTTGCTGCTTGCCTTGGAGTATCAAGAAGCCGTCCAGCTCGAAGTGGTTTAACATAGGAACAGACTGGTCTATTTATCCCATTTTCATCCTAGGGAAAAGGGGAAAAACATCTGTAATGACATATTAATCATCCCCAATTATGTTTTTTTCAAATACATTAATGTAGGATAAAATAATTCAGCATACCATTGATCGAGTGCTTACCTTGTATCCAGTATTTGGCTGCAAAGTGCTGTGTATATAATTTCCCTTAATCCTCATCTCCGTTATTTTCATTTTATAGATGAAAACTGAGGAGCTACAGCTATTATGCAACAGAGCCAGGTTCAAGCTCTGAGCTGTTTTACTCCAAAGGCTGTGGCAATAAGAACTCCTCTGAGAAATGTGTGGGTAGGTATGTAGGGGAGGGAGAGGTGCTCTAAGCTGAAGTATTTTTTCACATTACCATATAGAATTTAACAACATATAGCCAGACAGAACAAATAACTCTTCTGATTGGCTGATATAACAGAAATGATTGTAGCTTGATTCTAGTTTGTTTCCATTAGGGCCTCAAATTTAGAGATCCACAGGAAACAATAATTTGTTAACCAAGTCAATTGAAAGCAAAATTTCAAAAAACACTCTAGAAAAAGTTTTACATCCTAAATACAGGATATCTCCTGGTGTTGGTGCTGAATAACTTGTATGCATATATAGGTCTCTGATGACTGTCTACCACTGTGATTTTACAGTGAGTATTACCAAAGTCCACAATCTCTTTACCTTCATGGTTACTGATACGGCACTGTGAAAGGGCCACTTACTATTCAAGATTTGGAGATGACCTACCCTCCCTGATAGGGTTCCTCAGGACATGAGATCTAACCCAGCCAAAAGAAACACCATCTGTTTGAATTATCAGAACCACTGATGTCTTTCTCCACAACCAGAACATCTTTTTCCAATATAGTCCCATACTTTAGCAAGGAAAAAAAAACTCACTTATTTACATTTGATTATAATGAGAAAGATCATTAATTTTTATGTTGCAGAGCAACTTGGCTATAGATTCCACTCATACCTATAGTTCTCAACTATAGAAGGCATCAATTTTTTTTTTTTTTTTTTTGAGACAGAGTCTCGCTGTTGTCCAGGCTGGAGTGCAGTAGTGTGATTTCGGCTCGCTGCAACCTCCGCCCATGGGTTCAAGCGATTCTTGTGCCTCGGCCTCCTGAGTAGCTGGGATTACAGGTATGTGCCACCACACCTGGCTAATTTTTGTATTTTTGTAGAGATGGGGTTTCACGATGTTGACCAGGCTTGGTCTCAAACTCCTGACCTCAAGTGATCCGCCCACCTCGACCTCCCAAAGTGCTGGTATTACAGGTGTGAGCCACTGTGCCTGGCCTAGAGGGCACCGATTTTTAAAACAGAGGATTATTATTCTAATTTTGGGGGGATGTAGAGAACTATGGTTTTCTTTTACATGAACTTAGCATTACTAATAATCTAGTGTGGTATAAGAATACTAAGTCCTGAAATCACAAACTAAATATTAAAAGAATATCCTCAATCCTCAAGTGATTTACAACATTTTCTTAAAACCTAATGGCCTTAGGCTGGGCACGGTGGCTCACGCCTGTAATCCCAGCACTTTGGGAGGCCAAGGTGGGTGGATCACGAGGTCAGGAGATCAATTCCATCCTGGCTAACATGGTGAAACCCCATCTCCACTAAAAATACAAAAAAAATTAGCCAGGCATGTGGTCCCAGCAACTTAGGAGGCTGAGGCAGGAGAATGGCATGAATCTGGGAGGCGGAGCTTGCAGTGAGCCGAGATCGTGCCACTGCACTCCAGCCTGGGCGAGAGCGAGACTCCATCTCAAAAAAAAAAAAAAAAAAACAAAACCTAGTGGCCTTAAAGTTCAATTTCTGTAACTTATTTTAAAGTTTCTTGCACTAAAAAGTTCAAAAAGCATCATTCAATGAATTACTACTATACTATAGCAAAACCAGCTAACAAAGGGTAAAAAGAATAATGAATTTTTAAGTATAATGGCCACGGCAAATCTACAGATCTTTGGTTAGTATTGAGGTGCAGGACTGTTACTCCTATTCTTACAAATCCACTAACAGGCAAGAAAAGATGAGCACATAAGAAGTGGAAGCATTTGCCTAAGTCAATCATCAATAGTAGCATCTTAGAATGTAAGATATATCATTTTATTACAGCAATATTCTAATATTATCTAAATATATCCCCACAAGCTACTTAACTGTTTTGAAAAGTTAATATTTCAACCTCTGAATGGGCACTGTCCAGTGAGAAAATCACTAACCATTATGAGCTATTTAAATTTTAATTAAAATTTAAAATTCAATTATTTTTAGTCATAATAGCCACATTTTGAATGCTCAGTACATGGCTGGTGGCTACCATACTGGTTAGCACAGATACAGAACATTTCCATCATTGCAAAAAGTTCTTGGCCAGGTGTGGTGGCTCACGCCTATGATCCCAGCACTTTGGGAGGCCGAGGCGGGCGGGTCATGAGGTCAGGAGATCGAGACCATCCTGGCTAACACAGTGAAACCCCATCTCTACTAAAAACACAAAAAATTAGCCAGGCATGGTGGCACGTGCCTGTAGTCCCAGCTACTTGGGAGGCTGAGGCAGGAGAATCACTTGAATCTGGGAGGTGGAGGTTGCAGTGAGCCAAGATCGCACCACTGCACTCAACCCTGGGTGACTGAGACTCTGTCTCACAACAACAACAAAAAAAAGTTCTTTACTTTACTTTCAGTGCTGGATACATTAGAAATTTTTTTGGCCTGGATATGTATATTAACGTTTTGATTTATAACTATTGTTTTTATAATTAGATTGACTGTTTTACACTGTTGTTGTTTAATTTCAGAACTAGTCAAATACAGGAAGCAGCAAGAAACAGTTCTGAGGAATCTAAATTAAATCAGCATTTTATTTACTCTATGTATATGGAAAGAGGTGGCATAAACCAAAAAGGCACCAGTTGAAACTCCAATTTGACACAGACTTTGCCATGACTGAGTTGCTGTTTGGCCTTGAAAAGACTGTTCACTTCTCTAACCTTCATACTGTTTACAAAAAGAGCCAATGCCTGGCCACTTGACAATCTTATATGGTTACTATGAGACTAAATTACGTTCTATGGTTCAAATCTTAAAATGAATTCTGAGAGAGGAAGTCGTTTAAGTAATATTTCCTAAAAGAAAATCCCACTTCCTTGACTTCCTTAGTGCATTTCAACTTCTTCCTCCTCTTTGATCCTGCCATTTCTCTGATTCACTGCCTCACTCCATCCTGAGTCCTCTCTAGTTCCTAATTCCACGTGGCAATGAATAAATGCCTCAGACTATATAGACAGCAGGGAGCCAGTTTATATATATATATATGTATATTTTTTGTCGTTGTTATTGTTTTGAGACAGAGTCTCACTCTGTTGCCCAGGCTGGAGTGCAATGGCGTGATCTTCGCTCACTGCAACCTCCGCCTCCCGGGTTAAGCAATTCTCCTGCCTCAGCCTCCTGACTAACTGGGATTATAGGTGCCTGCCACCAAGCCTGGCTAATTTTTGTATTTTTAGTAGAGACAAGGTTTCGCCATGTTGGCCAGGCTGGTCTCAAACCCCTGACCTCAGAGGATCCACCTGCCTCGGCCTCCCCAAGTGCTGGGATTACAGGCGTGAGCCACCGCGCCCGGCCAGGAAGCCAGTTACATTTTGATTGGTTTCTCCTTGCCTTTGTCCTGATAATGTTGTTACCTTGCCAACCAGTCATTCAATATATAAACAACGCTATCAGAAAGTCAGAAGCCATTTCCCTTATTCCCACCTCTAGTCAACCTCTCATTCCCAAGCTCCCCATCTGGACACTAAACCACTTTTAGCCTGTTCCAAAATCTAGGGAAAGTAGGGTAAAGCTGGATGAATGTACAGGATTTGAGAAACTTAACTTAAAATAATATACTACACTATACTTATATGAAAGCATCTGTATGAGGCTGAATATATACAAAATATTTGAACTGTTCCTTAGGAGTTACAAAAAATACGTGAACCTGACCACATTTTTTGTTGTTTTTTTTTTTGAGACGGAGTCTTGCTGTGTTGCCCAGGCCGGACTGCAGTGGTGCGATCTCGGCTCACTGCAAGCTCCGCCTCCCGGGTTCACGCCATTCTCCTGCCTCAGCCTCCCGAGTAGCTGCGACTATAGGAGCCCGCCATCACGCCCGGCTAATTTTTTGTGTTTTTAGTAGAAACGGGGTTTCACCGTGTTAGCCAGGATGGTCTCGATCTCCTGACCTCTTGATCCACCCACCTCGGCCTCCCCAAGTGCTGGGATTACAGGCGTGAGCCACCGCGCCTAGCTGACCTGACCATATATTTTATATTGGTCTGTTAAAGAGAGAAAATGGGTTTAGGACTCAGGAAAAATGGAGGCAGAGATATATAGTTGAAATGCTTCAGTTAAACATTACTGGTCACTGGCTTAGAAGTCGTGGTTATATACAATTTTTTTTAAAACCCTAACAAAAAATATATATATGCCCAGAGCCCCCCCCCGTTCTGCACACAAGAGCTGGATTTACATATAACCTGCAAAGTGTCCAAATGGTTAATTATTTAGCACTAAGTATCAAGCAAATACACATTCCAAGTTAAACAAAATGGATTTTCATCTACTTTAAATCAAATATATTCAGAAAGGGTTTAAAACACAATAATTGATTCAACCTGAGAAAGGTGATTTTTCAAAAACCCACAATAACTGAAATTGAAAGTAAAATAAGACATAGATTGATCTTGCCACTCACTATGCAGTGAAAGAGAATATTACAAAATCAGCATTTTATTTTACAAATACACTTTTATTTTTTGGAATACATTTTACAAATAAATATTAAATGAAATTTACACACATAACAGTAAATCTCAAATACAGGCATAAAATTATTCTAATATAATTTACAAACCTGTGCAAAAATCTTAACCAGTCGTGAGTTGTGTGAGGGTCGAATTTGCAAATATTCTCTCCACCACTGCTTAGCATATACAAGAAATAATCGCTCTTTCTCTGCAGTTTTCTGACGTTCCAAAGCAAGCTTGAAATTGAAAAAAATATTTTTCAATTTCTATTCATTATCTTTAATTACTACAAAATATGTAGCAAATTTATCTACTTCTCTACATCATTACCACCCTAATCTGAGTCATCATCATCTTCTATAAGAGCCTCCTGACTTCCCTATTTCTACACTTACCCCTAGTACAATCCCATCTCCATACAATAATCATAAGTCACCTTTTTTTCCTCAAAGACAGAATTTTTTTTTTTTTTTTGGTTGTGGAGGATGCAGTCTTGCTCTGTCGCCCAGGCTGGAGTGCAGTGGCAAGATCTCAGCTCACTGCAACCTCTGCCTCCCATGTTCAAGCAATTCTCCTGCCTCAGCCTCCTGAGTAGCTGGGACTACAGGCACGTGCCACCACACTCAGCTAAATTTTTTTTTGTATTTTTAGTAGAGACAGGGTTTCACCACATTGGTCAAGCTAGTCTTGAACTCCTGAGCTCATGATCCGCCCGCCTTGGCCTCCCAAAGTGCTGGGATTACCGCGCCTGGCCCAGAAATTTTTAAATAGTAAATCATACAAGCCGGGCATGGTGGCTCACGCCTGTAATCACAACATTTTGGGAGGCCAAGGCAGGTGGATCATTTGAGGTCAGGGGTTCGAGACCAGCCTGGCCAACATGGTGAAACCCCATCTCAACTAAAAATACAAAAACTAGCTGGGGATGGTGGTACATGCCTGTAATCCCAGCTACTCGGGAGGCTGAGGCAGGAGAATTGCTTGAACCCGGGAGGCAGAGGTTGCAGTGAGCCGAGTTCATGCCACCGTGCTCCACCCTGGGCGATAGAGTGAGACTCTATCTCAAAAAAAAAAAAAACATACTGTCATTCTCTTGTTAAAACACTTCATTCTCCATCACATTGCAAAATACCTGCCCTGGCCTATGAACTCTGGCCCGACTATCTCATTTTCTCCTCTCTCCCCAACCCACTACGCTCTAGCCACACAGGGCTTTCGGTCCTCCATAGGGGCTTTTGTTCTAGGCTGTTCCCAGTGCTGGAAGCTCAGCCCCAATCTTTGCATGGCTGGTTACTTCCTGTTGTTCAGACTCTTTCCCTACCTTAGTCACTCGACCTATAATTAGCCACCCAATAACCACTGTATCATATCACCTGTAATAATTCTCCATAAAACACCTTCTACTATCTGATTATTTTGTTTGCTGACTTATTGTTTCTCCTGCACTAGAATCTAAACTCCTTGAGAGCAAGCTGTCTAGCTGTCTGCTGCCCTATACACAGCTACATCTCCAGTGTCTAGAACAGTGTCTAGCACATTTTGACATCTATTTAGGATCCATACATATTTCTGACTTTAATTTCTTTTAAGAGACAGGGTCTTGCTCTGTCACCCAGTCTGGAGTGCTACTGCATGATCATGGCTCACTGTAGCCTCGAATTCCTGGGCTTAAGCGATCCTCCCACCTCAGCCTCCCCAGTAGCTGGGACTACAGGAATGCACCACCATGTGCAGTTAATTTTTAAAAATTTTTGTAGAGATGAAGTCTACCTATGTTGCCCAGGCTGGTCTTGAACTCCTGGCCTGAAGTGATCCTCTTACCTTGGCCTCCCAAAGTGCTGGGATTACAGATTAATTAGCCTGGCTAAAAGTTTTAATAGTGCAATTTTAAAGAGAAAATTAGAAGCAATTTATTTATCAGATAATAGAATAAACTTATGTTTTAGTCACTAGAAATTATAAATATGACAGTGGAAATATAAGAAAATACATATAAAATAATGTTAAGTTTAAAAAGGAGAACCTGGTGGGGCACAATGGTCCATGTCTGCAATCCCAATGTTTTGGGAGGCTGAGGCAGGTGGATTGCTTGAGGCTGGGAGTCTGAGGTTTCAGTGAGCTATAATCACACCACTGCACTCAAGCCTGAGAGAGTGAGATGCTGTCTCTAAAAAAATAAAATTTAATTAAAAAAAACAAGCTACTACCCCAAAAAAGTAGAGCCCAAACATTTACTTTATATGTCACATAAATATATGAATAACATGATTAAAACTCATGTATACCACTTTGGGAGGCCGAGGCAGGCAGATCACGAGGTCAAGAGATCGAGACCATCCTGGCCAACATGGTGAAACCCTGTCTCTATTAAAAATACAAAAATTAGCTGGGCGTGGTGGCACCCACCTGTAGTCCCAGCTACTCAGGAGACTGAGGCAGGAGAATTGCTTGAACTCGGCAGGCAGACGTTGCAGTGAGCCAAGATTGCGCCACTGCACTCCAACCTGGCGACAGAGCGAGACTCTGTCTGAAAAAAACAAACAAAAAAACCCCTCACGTATACACATAATGTATATGTGTGTATACACCATTTATTTAAGAGACAGGGTCTTAGTCTGTAACCCAGGCTAGTGTGCAGTGGTACAATCACAGCTCACTGTAACCTCAAATTCCTGGGTCAAGCAATCCTCCCATTTCAGCTTCCCAAGCAGCTGGGACTACAAGTATGTACCACCATGCTTGACTAATTTTTTAAAATTTTTGTAGAGACAGGGTCTCACTATGTTGCCCAAGCTGGTCCTAAACTGCTGGACTCAAAAGTGATCCACCCACCTTAGCCTCCCACAGGGCTGGGTATTTATTTGAGTAACATCAAAGTTGGTTCTCACTATGTGGTTTCAGGTATATATACCACCCATGACACATGTCAGAAGCTAGAGATTAGAGGGAGATGAGAGTTTACAAAAGGAAGGAAAAAAAGTTTAAAGAAAACAGGGCAGGACATTGTTTGCCTGAGGGAGAAGCACTAGCGTCTAACCACAGGTCTGTAAAAGGAACAATATGACAGGCAGGGTGGAGTAAAGGGTGGTGTATGTAATCAAGGAGAACCATTCCACAAGTGCCATCCCGGCAAGTCAGCAGATAATGAGAACCTCCAAACTAAAGACTGGCAAGAACTAAACATGGATGGCAAATCCAATGTGAAGGAATGAAAAAATCTGCCGATCTTTTAAGACCCAGGAAGAAAGTAATTCATCAGAGACCTGACAGTGGAATTAGGGAAAAAAGCCTCTCCAAACACACTCTAAAAGTGGCAAGCACTTCTACCCTGAGAGAACAGAGCAGAAAAGACATAAGCAGCAAGCTTTCAATAAACGCCTGCGAAAGAACGTTAAAATCCCATCCCACTGAGGTTGCACTTTACTCTTTGATCTTCTTCAGCTTTATCCTGTAATTCTTTTTTTTTTTTTCTTTTTTTGAGATGGAGTCTTGCTCTGTTGCCCAGGCTGGAGTGCACTGGTGCGATCTGGGCTCACTGCAAGCTCCTCTTACCGGTTCACGCCATTCTCCTGCCTCAGCCTCCCGGGTAGCTGGTACTACAGGTGCCTGCCACCACGCCCGGCTATTTTTTTTTTTTGTATTTTTAGTAGAGGCGGGGTTTCACCGTGTTAGCCAGGATGGTCACGATCTCCTGACCTTGTGATCCGCCCGCCTCGGCCTCCCAAAGTGCTGGGACTACAGGCGTGAGCCACCGGCCTATCCTGTAATTCTTATGCTGTCTCAATAAATGTTCATCGTATTTCCTAAACTAGACTACAGATTCTGCTAGGAAAACAATCTTGTCTTTATTTTCTTCCTCATCCTTTTTGTGAACCTTTGAGTGCTAATCTAGAAAGTAATAAATGGTAATTTTCTAAAAATAGAGTGCTTTCTAGGATCAACAGGTAAATATACTACTATGAAAACAAACACACAAAAAAAGAGAAACTCATAAGTATTTACCTGTGTGTTCACTACTTCTTGAGATAACGTTTGATTGAGTGGTGGATACATTTCAAGTTTTATATTTAAAATTCCCACAGAAACTTTTGATTCTGTGCCTATAAACATAAATATTTTGAACTTCAGAGATTTCAATACTATATATATTTAGTCAACCAAAGTCTAACCAAAATAATTTAGGCACTTGGGTGTTTTATCACTTACATGGAATAAAGATAACATTCAACATTACCTTTAATATTCATATTAAAATGAACCAAATCAATTTTTTTAAACAAAGGTGTTTAATTATAAGGAGATTATTTTCTTAGCTTTCTGACACTCTTTTTCTTCTTTAAGTAGAGATGGGGTCTCCCTATGTTATTCAGGTTGGTCTTAAACTCCAGGGCTCAAGTGATATTCCTGCCTCAGCCTTCCAAAGTGCTTGGTGGGATTACAGGCATGAGCCACTACACCTGGCTTTTCTAACAGGT
Source organism: Homo sapiens (assembly GCF_000001405.40). Taxonomy (NCBI): domain Eukaryota; kingdom Metazoa; phylum Chordata; class Mammalia; order Primates; family Hominidae; genus Homo; species Homo sapiens. Next base: position 12,695,727 of record NC_000018.10, read on the forward strand.
TTTAAGAAACTTTTCTGACTTAAAGGATTTGAGACTCTTAATTTTTGTCTTAATTAAATGTATAATATCAACCAGACTTACATTAAATTCAAAGTCAAAGCAACTGTTAACACCTCATTCCTTCTCCACACACACACACACACACACACACACACACACTAAAAATTAGAAAGCATTTATATTGTCACTTATAGTAACTCCCATTTGTCACTCCCCATTATCCAATTACAGGCTGAGTAGAAATTTTCAATCCATGCCTGGATTTAAAGAACTAGAAAACAAATATACTTCACATCAAAACGATTTAATGTTTCTTCAGTGAATCAGAATCTGCTTGTTTCCAGGTCACTGCTACGATTATCATGTTAGGCCTATTTTTGAAGACAAATTGGGTATTGTTTTTGAAAATAAATTTCTTACATAAAGGACACTTTTTCTATAATTTTTATTTAAAGAAAAATACATTCTTGGTATGACTTATTAAAATCTAAATTACTGGCTGGGCGCGGTGACTCACGCCAATATCCCAGCACTTTGGGAGGCCGAGGCGGGCAGATCACGAGGTCAAGAGATCGAGACCATCCCGGCCAACATGGTGAAACCCCATCTCTACTAAAAATACAAAAATTAGCTGGGTGTGGTGGTGCATGCCTGTAGTCCCAGCTACTTAGCAGGCTGAGCCAGTATAATCGCTTGAACCCAGGAGGCGGGGGTTGCAGTGAGCCGAGATTGCAGCACTGCACTCCAGCCTGGTGACAGAGCGAGACTCCATCTCAAATAATAATAATAATAATAATAATCTAAATTACTAAGGCTATGCTGTCCACTGGCAAGGTTTAACTCTGTGACTAAGTTTAAAAACCAAAGTAATTCCATTATATGTTATAGATAAAACATTGGTAGGTTTTGTTTTCTCATTTTATTAGCAAGTATGTGTTACATAGCGGGCAGTGTGCAAGATTCCAAGGAGACTATGATAAATAAGATAGGCACCAGCTCTGCCCTCAAGGACTAGTTGATACTAACACTGAGCAAATTATTTCCTCTTCCGAGTCTCACTCACCCACACTGTAAAAGGTTGGGAGAACATCTACTCTGTATTTTGCAAGAATCACTGGTACCAAAGGGGATGTATTCCAGGGTGTGATGACTGGACACACATAAGTTTGTATGTGTGTCAAGAATATTAATTTTCTTTATAGCCTTATATTTAATCAAATGAACTTGAAATTAAAACCCTCAAAATTCCTGTATTCATTTTCCAGAAAAAAACATTTCTCCTAAGACAAGGTCAGATTGACCATGAAGTGCTATACTGATATTATTCTTCAAGACATTTCTCAAGATTAGGATGCTGAGGTCCAATTGTAACTCTAACGAAATTCTATTTTACAGGTTTCCCTCTTGGATTATAAAAGCATTTTAAAGATATAAAATATATTTACAAATGAACTGTGGCTATAAAAAGGTTAACAATGATATATTAATCACCATACCTACACCCATAAGTTCCACAGTCAGACTGGTCACTCCATTTTCTGAGCCCAAAACCGATCGCCATTCCAGAAAATATGATGCTACTAAAGTCGTCTCACCAAATATGTCTGTTTTGATTAGCACCATATGAATTGGATCACTTATTGATAACATTGTTGTTGAATCAGCCATTCTAGTTCCATCACCTAGCAATATAATCCAAACGAAATTATACCACACTACATATTCAGTTAGGCCAACATAAAAGAATACTTTTATTAAACAGTAAATAATAAGCTTATATAAAACCAAAGAGAACAATTTGCTAATGTCTCAGAAAGCATGCAAAAAACTGGAAATACAAGTACAGTCCTATTTCTATCACTAACTTTTCAGAAGACTGGCAAATTGTGATGAGTTATCCAGTAACTTACAGCATATCAGTGCTTTCTGATTCATAAGATAAGTCTGTTCTTTAAAAGTACTTAACTAAAGTATATGCTACTACAATAAAAAGCCTTCAAGTATGTCAATATTAATCCCCAAACTACCTCAAGAAATCCCTTTAACCTCCAGAAATTATCACTGTATAATTGACATACAACTGAAAAATACAGCACATCGAATCTAGCAATTTATCCTATTAATTGCCTTATTAAGGTAACATCTTTCAAAGGGAAAAAAATAAATTTTAGTAATGTTTCAGTCATCTTTAAATCTAAAATTGTGAAGACATTCTGAAACTTTGCTTAGTTTACAAATATAAAGATTTCCATACTGACAATTACAAAATACAAAATACCTTTACTGAAAGAAACATAGTGTAAAACAATTACAGGAATCAAGTAGCATAAAATTTAGTTATGAGAATTACATGCTTTATTGGAGAAATAAGAAAAAAAAGAAAAAATTAAAATGACAGTTATATGTTCACATCTAAATTTGACTTTTTATTTTATTTATATTTATTTGTAAGTATTTATAAAAATTTATTAGAAGTTTTTATAAATAATTTATAAATATTTATTCATTTATTTATTTATTTAAACAGAGTCTCACTCTGTTGCCCAGGCTGGAGTGCAATGGGGTGATCTCGGCTCATTACACGCGCCTGCCACCATGCCCGGCTAGAAATTTTGTATTTCTAGTAGAGACAGGGTTTCGACATGTTGGCTAGGCTGGTCTCAAACTCCTGACCTCAGGTGACCCACCTGCCTTGGCCTCCCAAAGTGCTGGGATTACAGGCATGAGCCACCACACCCAGCCTATTTTTTATTTTTTGTAGAGACAATGTCTCACTTTGCCCAGACTTGTCTTGAACTCCTGGCTTCAAATGATTCTCTCACCTAGACCTCCCAAAGTGTTGGGATTTCAGCTGTGAGTCACCGTGCTCAGCCTAAACTTCGACTTTTAAAAGTTACATAACATCATCAATCTGGTTATATTTTATAAATGAGAAGGACCATGTCTCATTTTCCACTATATCATCCCAGCACCTGCCTAGCATAACACTATGCACATAATAGGTATTTAAGTGTGTATTACTAAAGAATCAACAATGAAAACAGTCAAAAAATAATATCCAGGGAAAATGAATAGCAAACAGAATATTGCAAGAAGGTGGATAGTAGTTTAAATTGAAAAGAGCAGTGGGAAACAAAATAGAGATTCCTCCATTATAAATCTCTCCTTACAGAAAAAGTCATTATTATTGTTTCACAATAAAACATAACAAAGATTTACTCAATTAAATGACAATTTATTACTGTTTCTTACCCAAGCTTTCTCTGTGTACTTCAAGTAAAAAGCCATCATGAAAATCTGGTTCACAGGCACATGGAACAGGTTTAGAACGAAAACGTTGGTTTCGATAATGTAAACATAAAGTAAACGTTGAACAAACTTGTCCAGGTAAAGGCTCAGGTTCTTGCAGATGTTCCAAGAAAGCTTTTCCACCCAAAACCTGAAGGTAAAGATACCTCCGTGTTGGATCAATATTAGCTGTAAAGTGTAGCAATATATATGAGGAAACTGCCAAATAACTTAAAAGAATGTGATCAAGACATTAGGAAATAAAAACTTGACAGATAAAAACCCAATACCAAAGACTAAAAAAAAAGCAAAAGAGTAACAAATTTATTACTGTATATGCCAGAATCATTTGCACTCTGGGGAGAAGATACACAAAATATGATATTCTTTTCTGAGTTTACATCCAGGCTACTTTCTCCCAGCTGGAAAAGGCATCAGAGCCAATATGTAGTATACTTTTGCTTTTTAACTGCTTATCCAACATTCCTCCACCTTCACAAACCAACTCATATAATTATCAATTCAGCAAGTGTATTTGTCAATTATATTAATATTTAAAAGCAAGGCTGTACAGTTTTTATAAAACATATTATTAAAACACAAGAAACTGGTGATGCTGTTTTTGCTTCTACCGTGCTATACATTAACTCTTCTGATATACTTCATGCAAAACAATCTGTTTTAGCCAACCATAAAATTTTAAGTATTTTATTTTGGGGGGAAAAAATGGAAATGTCTTCTATCAAATACGAAAGACTACACCACATCAATATTTACTATTAACCACAACTAAATTAATGTTAAAATATACATACTTTTTTTTAATGTCGATTGTCTATCAAAACAAATAGGTTGTTTTGGAGAGGAAGGGAGTTCTTGCTCAACACTGTCCTAGAAAGGCAGGAAAAAAAAATCAAAACAAATTAGAAAACAATTATAGGTTAAGGAAATGTCAATAAACATGACTAAGCACTGAACCTAAAGTCAACAGGGTAAGGCCCTTTCAAAGAACCCCTTATTTTCCTAGCCTAATTAAAATAATGAAAATAAAAGCCTGCATAAAAGATGATGTAAACTGATCACTCCTAAAATCAAATGCTAAGGAATTAAACTGTCTTCAAGTAATACTATCCACATAAAGCTAAAAACAAATCCTTAATACCTTCAACAAGGTTAAACTTTCTGTAAACCTTATGTAACAGTTGGCTTATAATTCCACTATGAGCTGATTTTAATAAAGTGTCATCACAGAGTAGAAGCTGTTATTAGGTCAATTTTTATAACAAACGGGTTCATAAACTTCAAAAACCAAAAAAAGGTGCTGTATTAAAATACTTATTCCCTATTGTATTATGAAGTCCATCCAATTTTCACATTATATTACCCAGGTATTGAGGTCACAGTTTCCATTATTGCCTCACTTTCAAATGAAGGCCTACTTACTAATTGTGCACTGAGAGACTATCATCCCATTATTGACCTATTTGTATTAAAAGATTTGAGGACTCTTATGCAGTCAATTATTTTCTTAAAGAAATTTGTAATTTGTTAATCATAGAGAATATAATCCCAAAAGAGTGCTTATTTTAAAAATACGCTTAATCTAAAAAAGTTACAGATCATAATGAAAAAGAACTTTGTTATGGTGAACTAATTGGACTAAAGTATGTATATTCAAATTTACAGACCTAGAAAATAAGAGAAAATTCTGTCACTGTAGAGACAGGAATAAGATATCTAACACAAATTTCATTGATACACAAAACTATTCAGTATATTCAAGGGCAGAGCTAGCCTATACTTGAAACAAGGACACTAGTAAACAGAATGACCTTGAAGTGGTTTTACTAAAACGAAAGGCCCCACATCGGAACCTTATAAGTAGTGTTACGCATTAGTATATACATATATACTCTCATTTATTTCCCTAAAAGATTACTCACAGTAACAAAATTAAGTTCTTTCATCACATCGTCAATGATTCCTCGACGTCTAAGGGCTTTGATCAAATCTTCTGTTGATAAATGCTGTTGATCAGGTGCCAATTCTTCCCGTATAGTCTCAGCAAGGATTTCTCTTATTCTACCATGGACATCCATCTATGTAGAAAACTCATATTACAATTTATAACATCACAAAGCAGTCAAATACTGCTTCTGAAGTTTTAAGGTTCTCCAGCTAACAGTAAATGCACAATTGTTACCACAATTGAATGGGAACAAAGGTAAGCTTTTAAAGAATGAATCTTTTGAGTACAAATTCTAGAAATAGTCTCCACTGGTTATCTGGCACCTTTGTTACCATTTCTCCACAAACAACACTCAACCAAAAGGAATCTTCTGAGAGGGAGTATAGTATAATCAGAAGAACACGGACTGGGAGTAGGCAGATCAAAGTATGATCTTATTACTTTCATACTTTGATCTGCCTAATGATAAGGGAATCTTACCAGCTTTCAACTTAGTAGATGTGTAACCTCAAGCCAACTTATTTACCCTTTATAAATCTGTTTCGTCACCGATAAGAATGGAAAAACCTAGTGTAGTGCCCTCTCACGATAGTGTTGTGAGGATTAAAGATACTAGACAGCACAAAGCCTGGCACACAAGGGCACCATAAATGGTCGCTTTTATCACTTCAGCATCTTGCACTCAGTCGAGCGAGCGCTGCAGAAACTGGAGGTTCTTCTGGAGCTCCGAAATATTAACAAATTCCGTCATTACAAACCCTTTAGTAACTTCTCTTCCATGACTTATTTGAGAATTGCTGATTGAAGCTCCTGGTTCAACTTCGCTGATACCCACATGTTTCAGCGGTAAAGAAACCCTGATATCTGCCGGGCGCGGAGGCTCACGCCTGTAATCCCAGCACTTTAGGAGGCCGAGGCGGCCGGATCACGAAGTCAGGAGTTCGGGACCAGCCACACCAACATGGTGAAACCGTCTCTACTAAAAATACAAAAATTAGCCGAGCGTGGTGGCGCGCGCCTGTAATCCCAGCTACTCGGGAGGCTGAGGCGGAGAATCGCTTAAACCTGGGAGGCGGAGGTTGCAGTGAGCCGAGATCGTGCCACTGCACTCCAGCCTGGGCAACAGAGAGACTCCGTCTCAAGAAAGAAAAAAAACCTGATATCTTACAGCAGAATATAAACCTCCAAATACAACTTACACTCGATCCGACTTCCAGAAGTCGCTCGCTAAGCGCTTCATTCTCACGGCCGTCCTAAAACGCCAAGACCGCTCGTTCTATCGCCCCAGACTCTTGCTAGCACCTGCTCGGCTCGTTTTCTTTCTCGGAGACGAGGACGCTCTCCTGCCTCAAACTCAAAGCTCTGCCTACTCTGCGTTGCGCACCCCACAATCCTCGCTACAGTCCCGGCAAGCAGATGCCGCTGTCGGCCCGGGGCCGCCGGGCAGGAGGGAAAGGTTATGGGTCGGCCCGGCGGTCTCTCCCAGCACCCGCGACTCTCACCTTGCTCAGCTGCTGGTGGATGAGCTGCTTCAGCTCGGAGGCTTTCTCCGGAGGCAGCGACATGCTGGCAGCCGGCGTCTCCCCGCCGCTTCTCCCCGCCTCAGATGCCCTAACTGCGCGGCCCCGGCCGGGCCAGGGAGCGTTAGGAGCGACTGGAGCACAAAGCGCCGCAGCCGTTCGCCTAGCGCAGCTCCCGGGGGACGCAACGCCGCGTCAGGCCGGGGGCTGACCTGGAAATGAGGCCCCGGCGGCGGCGGCGCCAACTGTTTTCAAACAGTGGCGGACAAACAGGGCTTGGGGCTGGCCCGCACGCTGCCTGATCGTTTCCGCCCGCCGCTCCACCTCCCCGCGGGCCCCGCACCCCGAGACCTCAGCGCACCCCATCGCCTTGCTTGCCAGGGTCTCCGAAAGCGCTGCTGGCCCCTCTTCGCGGCCACCCGGCGGCCTCTTTCCGCCCTCTGAACCGGCAGTTAGCTGGACGGGCCTCAAGGGCCCGGCGCCCAGGGACTCAAAGGACCCTCCCGCGCCCCGCGAGGCTCCGGGGTCTCGGGCTTCCGCCTTCTTGCTGCCCTCGTTCTTGCCAGGGCCGCGGTTAGTCCCTGCTGGCCACCCCACTGCGACCATGTTCGTTCCCTGCGGGGAGTCGGCCCCCGACCTTGCCGGCTTCACCCTCCTAATGGTGAGTCTCCATTTGCGCTCGGGGCTGCCGCCTCCCGAGGCCCCTGCGGTGTCGCCACCCCGACGCGGGGTGTTTGGCGGTGCCTTGGGAGAAATAGGGCACTAGTTTCTATTTCATGTTTTCGGCCGGAAAAAACAGGGAGGTTGTAGCCGGAGGCAGCCGTCCAAACAGAACCTTTGTCGGCTGTAAAACCAAACGTAGTCAAGTCTACAATTTGTAGTCTCTGTTTCCTGTAAAACGTGATGTGTTCGTACGTTCTAGATACACTGTACTTATGTTTTGCAGGGCATCCTTCAGTTTTATCCTAGAAAGTCTTTCTACGACTAGTTTTAGAATTAGTCTTAAGCTAGCATATTATCGTTGTTAACCGGAGAACTACTGATAGGGCAATAAACATTAACTCTTGCCGGTAGTTAGCGCAGTTTTATCGCTCTTTATATTCATTCATTGTTTTAATAAAGTCTGTTATGTGCGAGTATTAGAATAAGACTAGGTGCGTGCCCTCAAAGAATTTACACTGTAGTTGGAAACATGTAATCTAAGAGCAATAAATGCTAGGCTAGAAGCTTGAAAGGGTATAGAAAGGTCCTGAGATAATTGGGAGGGGAGGGACAGATGGCTTGTTAAGAAAGGCTTTATAGAGAAAGTAGTATGCAAAAGATGGAGGGCCCGTGGGCTGGGAGTAGGGGAAAGTAGGCGTTTCAGAAAGATGGATGTCTAAAACAGAGTCAGTAAGCAGGGGGACTTGAAGACTGCCAAGAATTTGGAATGACACATTGAGAGAGAATAGGCTGTAGGCCCTGTGAACCCAGAAGGCACCATTGGAAAATGCACTGTTTGGAGTGGTATAAGGCTGGAGAGAGCTGGAAGTGTCATCCTTATTCATTACATATAAAACACACAGCCCCAGAGAAGAGTGTTTCAAAAAGGAGGGAGTGGCCATGTCAAAAGTAGCCCAGAGATGTGTAAGGTGAAGAAAGTGTATGTTTGGATTTAGCGACATGTTAATGATGGTCACCTGGACAAACAGTTACCAGTGAAGTGGTGAAGAGGAAAGCCATATTGGAGTGGGTTGAATGAATGATAGAAAACAAGTTAAAGATTTGGGTTGTATAATATATATTCAGTCATTAATTCAGAGACAGGCATGATGGCTCATGCCTGTAATCCCAGCACTTTAGAAGGCCGAGTACAGGAGGATCGCTTGAGCTCAGGAGTTCAAGACCAGCCTGGGCGACATAGTGATACCTCATCTCTACAAAAAAATAAATAAAAATTAGCCAGGTGTGGTTTCCTGCACCTGTATCTCAGCTACTCGGGAAGCTGAGGTGGGAGGATCACTTGAGCCCAGGAAGCAGAGGCTGCAGTGAGCTGAAATCGTGCCACTGCACTCCAGCCTGGGCGACAGAGTGAGACCCTGTCTCAAAAAACTTTTTTTTAATAAGAGATAAAGTTTCTGCTTATGTTTTCGTGGACGACTTGGAGAATTTTTGCTACATAGAGAAACAAGAAATGAGGTTGCAGTTAGAGGGCTATGTGGGGTCAAGGGAGAGCCTTTTAGAATGAAAGATATTAGAGCATGTTTACGTGCTGATGGGAATAATACAATATTGTGAGGAAAAGAAGGATGGTACAGAAGAGTTTAACCCAAGTAGCAAAATCGTTGAGAAGGGAATTGCAGGAGGTAACTAGGCAATTGGTAGGTGACAACAGTGAAAAGTGGGAGAACATGCTGAGGGAACACCCGAAGGACAGAAAACAAAAGGAGTTGTTGGAAGAATGCAAAGGAGGAGCTACATTAAAAGGATACTTGGGGGATAGCCTCAATAAAAATTAGGCATGTATTAGATGTAGTTGGTAAGGGAATGGGAAGAAGTTTAGGTAGATTGAATAATATTGAACTTTTTTTTTTTTTTGAGATGGAGTTTTGCTCTTTTTTGCCCAGTCTGGAGTGCAATGGCACGATCTTGGCTCACTGCAACCTCTGCCTCCTGGGTTCAAGTGATTCTCCTGCCTCTGCCTCCCGAGTAGCTGGGATTATAGGCATGCACCACCACGCCCAGCTAATTTTGTATTTTTGGTAGAGACAGGGTTTCACCATGTAGGCCAGGCTGGTCTCAAACTCCTAACCTCAGGTGATCCACCTGCCTCGGCCTCCCAAAGTGCTGGGATTACAGGCATGAGACACCATGCCCGGCGCCCTTTTCTAAAATACAAAATATGGGGAAAAATTTGGGCAAAAGTTTATAGTTTTGGACATGTGGAATGTGAGTTTCCTGTGACCTAACCATGTGGAGACGTCCATTAGGTTGTGGAGCTCCTACGTGTTCTGGGATGTAGGTAGGGATTTGGCAGCTTCATTATTTTAAGTCATGGGAAAAAGAGAGAGAGAGAGAGAGAGAGAGAGAGAGAGTGTGTGTGTGTGTGTGTGTGTGTGTGTTTAGTGTGAAAAGATCACTTCAACCTTTCGGAATGGGTAAAGAGGCACTAATAAAGCAAATGGTAAGCAGACCCAAGAGTGCTTCTGTTCATACCTCGAAGCCTTTACACTTGCTTTCCCACTGCCTGGAATGTTCTTTCCCAGATCTCTGTACGGCTGTCTCCTTTACCTTTTTCAGGTCTCTAGTCATTTGTCACCTAGGGTGAGTCTTTCCTCGAACACTCTACTTAAAATTGCAATCAACCATGTACACACATCCTCACACTCACTTTATTTTTCTCCGTAGCAATTACCACTGTATATTTTAGTGTTTGTTTTGTTTATTACAGGTAAACCACTCTCACTGGAATGGAAGTTCCATGAGGGCATGAACTTTTGTTGGTTTATTTTACTGCATTCCCAGTGCCTAGAGCAACAATTGACATATAGTAGGCATTCAATAAGTATTTGTTAAATAGTCTCAAAGGTGGAGGAGGCCCCAGCAGTTGTAGTTAATGAAAATCAATATCTAGCTATGATGTTATGATGCTTTCAGTACTAATATAACTATTGTATTCTGTCTAAACTTTTTGAAGTGCTGTGGGCCAGGCGTGTTGGCTCACGCCTGTAATCCCAGCACTTTGGGAGGCTGAGGCGGGTGGATCACCTGAGGTCGGTGGATCACCTGAGGTCAGGAGTTTGAGACCAGCCTGGCCAACATGGTGAAACTCCGTCTCTACTAAAAATACAAAAATTAGCTGGGTGTGGTGGTGCGCGCCTATAATCTCAGCTACTCAGGAGGCTGAGGCAGGAGAATTGCTTCAAGCCAGGAGGCAGAGGCTGCAGTGAGCCAAGATCACGCCACTGTACTCCAGCCTGGGAGACAGAGGCAGACTCTGTTTCAAAAAATAAAATAAAGTGCTGCTAATTTTGGTGACTTACTGAACATATCTTTTATAATTTCAGCCAGCAGTATCTGTTGGAAATGTTGGCCAGCTTGCAATGGATCTGATTATTTCTACACTGAATATGTCTAAGATTGGTTACTTCTATACCGATTGTCTTGTGCCAATGGTTGGAAACAATCCATATGCGACCACAGAAGGAAATTCAACAGAACTTAGCATAAATGCTGAAGGTATGTAAGACTTTACCTTGTATTTTTCCACTACAAAGTAGAGTTGTTTTAAATTAGAAATAGACTTTATTGATAATTGTTTTGTAGCAAATGTTTACTTAGTGCCAACTTTGTGTAGAGTTCACAACCCAATCACATTGTCCTATTCTTTTATGTCCTGGTTTTAGTTGTTGTTAGCCTCTTGTAAATGGCAAGTCTTACGAAGGTTGAGAATAAGATCATACTTGTATCTTTTTTTTTTTTATTATTTTTGAGACGGAGTCTCGCTCTCTTGCCCAGGCTGGAGTGCAGTGACGCGATCTCCGCTCACTGCAAGCTCCGCCTCCCGGGTTCACGCCATTCTCCTACCTCAGCCTCCCGAGTAGCTGGGACTACAGGTGCCTGCCACCGCACCTGGCTAATTTTTTGTATTTTTTTAGTAGAGACGGGGGTTTCACTGTGTTAGCCAGGATGGTCTCAATATTCTGACTTCGTGATCCAACCGCCTCAGCCTTCCAAAGTGCTGGGATTACAGGTGTGAGCCACCGTGCCCAGCCCATACTTGTATCTTTTCTAGAATTTTTAAATTTCCTTGTTTTTCAACATGGATTTTTTTCCTTCTATCCTCAGTTTTATCTCCTGTTCTTACTGGTATGTGTAACCATCACTAATAATATGGAAAGGCGAAAAGTAGATTGCGCTGGACTCAGTCTTGTAGGTTTAATATATGTTACGTCAACTAAGTCTTATCCTCGTAGTCATCTTCTTCCATTATAGGATCCATAATAATATGGTATAGATAAGGCTCAAAGAGATTGACTTGCCTGATGCCACTAATAGGTGTAGGCTTTTCCCATACTGTAAATCTTTGTAATTCCTCATTGGACTATCAGGCTTGATTAATCAGGGAACACTGGTTATAATGCAGCACAGCACCAGGTGAGTAAGAGAAGAGCTCCTGTTGATCATGAAGCATGGGAGCACCCAGTTACTACCTTTGATGGCTAACTGTTCTGGTGATCTTTCAGTCTTCTGTTTACCATTTTAAGGTCAAATCCAGAGGTGACAGAAGAGCATGAAAGGCCTTTGGTGAATTGAAAGACAAATGAAGAAGCATTTTGGTTTTTGTGTCTTACTAACCATATCATTGTTTTTAGCTTGCGATAGTGAAATGTACATTTGAGAAATGACCTTATTATTGAACTTCCTACAGGACAGATGGCTTTGTCAACGCAAGACTAAATTTGAGTTACTGCCTCAGAGGATAAAGGACTATAAATGGTTAAAACCAGAATTCATGACCGGGTGCGTTGGTGCACATCTGTAATCCCAACACTTTGAGAGGCTGAGGTAGGAGGAACGCTTGAGCTCAGGAGTTTGAGACCAGCCTGGGCAACAAAATGAGACCCCATCTTTACAAAAAGAAAAAGAAAAAAATTAGCCAACCTGTAGTCCCAACCTCTTAGGAGGCTAACTAACTTGGGAGGACTGTTTGAGCCTGGGAGGTTGTGGCTACAGTGAACCATGATGATGCCACTGCACTCCAGCCCGGGTGACAAAGTGAGACCCTGTCTTAAAAAACAAAAGCCCCTAGAATTTGTATACTTTCCACTAGTGATAACAGCTATCTTTTATTGAGTATTACTATGAGCTAAATGCCATGTACTTTTTTTTTTTTAATGAGATGGAGTTTTGCTCTTGTTGCCCGGGCTGGAGTGCAGTGGCGCGATCTCAGCTCACCGCAGCCTCCGCCTTCCAGTTTCAGGCAGTTCTCCTGCCTCAGCCTCCCGAGTAGCTGGGATTACAGGCATGTGCCACCACACCCAGCTAGTTTTGTATTTTTAGTAGAGACGGAGTTTCTCCATGTTGGTCAGGCTGGTCTTGAACTCCCAAAATCAGGTGATCTGCCTGTCTTGGCCTCCTAAAGTGCTGGGATTACAGGCACAAGCCGCTGCGCCCAGCGGCGTTTACATGTAATTCATTTAATCTTTACAACGTTCTTTTTTTTTTTTTTTTTTTTTTGAGACAGAGTTTTGTTCTTGTTGCCCAGGCTGGAGTGCAATGGCACAATCTCGGCTCACTGCCACCTCTGCCTCCCGGGTTCAAGCGATTCTCCTGCCTCAGCCTCCCGAGTAGCTGGGATTACAGGTGCCCACCACCACACCCGACTACTTTTTGTTTTTGTGTTTTTAGTAAAGATGGGGTTTCGCCATGTTGGCCAGGCTGGTCTCAAACTCCTGATCTCAGATGATCCGCCTGCCTCGTCCTCCCAAAGTGCTGGGATTACAGGTGTGAGGAGCAACTGCGCCCGGCCCCCGTAAACTTTATTTTATTTTATTTTATTTATTTATTTTGGGTGTTTTTTGAGACAGTCTCGCCCTGTTGCCCAGGCTGGAGTGCAGTGGCACGATCTCGGCCCATTGCAACCTCTGCCTCCCGGGTTCAAGCGATTCTCCTGCCTCAGCCTCCTGAGTAGCTAGGATTACAGGCACATGCCACCACGCCCGGCTGATTTTTTGTATTTTTAGTAGAGACGGGGTTGCACCATGTTAGCCAGGATGGTCTCAATCTCCTGACCTCGTGATCTGCCTGCCTCAGCCTCCAAAGTGCTGGGATTACAGGCGTGAGCCACCGCGCCCGATTTGAGATGGAGTCTCACTCCGTCACACAGGCTGGAGTGTGGTGGCGGGATCTCGGCTCACTGCAACCTCTGCCTCCTGGGTTCAAGAGATGCTCCTGCCTCAGCCTCCCAAGAAGCTGGGATTGTAGGCACTCACCACACACCCAGCTAATTCTTGTATTTTTTTTTTTTTTTGACAGAGAGTTTTGCTCTTGTTGCCCAGGCTGTAGTGCAATGCCACGATTTTGGTTCACTGCAACCTCCACCTCCCGGGTTCAAGCAATTCTCTTGCCTCAGCCTCTGGAGTAGTTGGGATTACAGGTCCACGCCCCCACGCCCAGCTAATATTTTGTATTTTTAGTAGAGATGAGGTTTCACCATGCAAGTCAGGCTGGTGTTGAACTCCTGACCTCAGGTGATCCAACCACCTTGGCCTTCCAGAGTGCTGGGATTACAGGCGTGAGCCACCACGCCTGGCCTAATTTTTGTATTTTTAGTAGAGACAGGGTTTCACCATGTTGGCCAGGTGGGTCTTGAACTCCTGACCTCAGGCAGTTCACCCGCCTCAGCCTCCCAAAGTGCCGGAATTACAGGTATGAGCCACCACGCCCAGCCCTCATAAACTTTTTTTTTTTTTTTTGAGATGGAGTCTTGCTCTGTCGCCCAGTCTGGAGTGCGGTGGCACGATCTCGGCTCACTGCAAGCTCTGCCTCCCGGGTTCACGCCATTCTTCCGCCTCAGCCTCCCAAGTAGCTGGGACTACAGACACCCGCCATCACGCCCGGCTACTTTTTTTGTATTTTTAGTAAGACGGGGTTTCACTGTGTTAGCCAGGATGGTCTCCATCTGCTGACCTCATGATCTGCCCGCCTCAGCTTCCCAAAGTGCTGGGATTACAGGTGTGAGCCACCACGCCCGCCCCTTTTAAAGCATCTGTGATTTCACCATTTATCTACCCAAGCTTCACCATAAATTTGATGTTCTTGCTTCAGTTTAAGCAGAATTCATGTTGCTGTGATAGGGGCACTTAATGCCTTATCCTTCTTAGTGCCTCAAACCAGATCCTTTTCAGGCGTGTTACAGCAAGTCAGTACAAGTTTATTTTGGTGCAAAATGTTTTCGTAAGTAC